>NC_000023.11:149627121-149930151 GCF_000001405.40 Homo sapiens
CTTTCCCACAAGGCCATATCTCAGGCTGTCTCAGTGGGGGGAAACCTTGGACAATACCCAGGCTTTCTTGGGCAGATGTCCCTGCGGCCTTCCGCAGTGCACTGTGTCCCTGGTTAATCGAGAATGGAGAATGGCGATGACTTTTACCAAGCATACTGCCTGCAAACATATTGTTAACAAGGTACATCCTGCACAGCCCTAAATCCATTAAACCTTGATTCATTACAGCACAGGTTTCTGTGAGCACAGGGTTGGGACTAAAGTTACAGGTTAACAGCATCTCAAAGCAGAAACAATTTTTCTTAGTACAGATCAAAATGGAGTTTCTTATGTCTTCCTTTTCTACATAGACACAGTAACAATCTGATCTCTCTCTCTCTTCCTCACAAGGTACCCTTCCTACTCTCTGGTCTGATGACAACCCTACAATTCTAGCTCAAAAGTCTGGCTCAAAAGACTAGCTCAATTCAAAATCTAGCTCAAAAGTCATTTCCACTATAGACTCTTCCCTGCCTGCTCGAGACAGAATTAGTAGCTCTGCCATTTGTACTTCTAAGACATTTGGTTTCTTTCACTGTAATGCCTCATACTCTATTGAATTCTTATTTCCCTTTCATTTCTGCTTCTTCCACTAGGCTTACGCATTGAGAGGAGGACTATATTCCTTTATTTTTGTACTTAGAGCACCTAGTACATCACTTGGCACGAGATAGGAATCTAGATGTTTGAGGAATCAATGTTATAATATACTTTGCAAATAACTGTTAGAGGCCAGGTAGCTGACTTTAGTGAACTATATTACCAGCAATCGCATTCCTTTTTCCTGCTTCAAACAAGAGACAAGATAACTTATATGGACTCCAGAATGTCTTCTGAAGATGGAGCATACAGAAGTCTCCAAACACTACTGATCTCATCAGTACCCCATGCCCACAAGTTGGAACCCCCAGAGCAACACTTCTCAGCCTTTGTTCCAGTCTAGCACACCTGAGGGATACACCACACTCCCATCAGGAGCTCACAACAGATGACTAAGAAGGCCCAGCAGAGTTTTCACAGCCTTCCAGTGCCACATGGCTACCAGGGTGGAAGGGCCTTCTCTGAACCAGCAACTCCCCCAAAGTAGCAGAAAATTTCAAGGCTCCATGGTGAGTGCCGGGAGCCCACCTAATGCTACCTACTACCAGATCCCTACCACCTACAATGCCTCAGAATCAGTTTGCCTACTCTAAGAACAGGGCTCTTTCACTGTTAGGAAGCCTCAGGCATTCAAGGAAGGACTTGTTTGTGGGTCCGGTACATCTGTTTCGGCATGTCTTAACCTGCATAACTAAAAAGCAATTATGAAAAGAAGTTCATGATCAACCAGTTCAGTGCCAGATGGAAATAGGTAGAGTGGGTCAGCTGGCAGCCCTGTACATCTGAGTGTTGACACTTGTGAATCATTCTCTGTCACTATAGTTTCCAGAGCCTTGCCAACGCAGCAGTGGGTTCAGACTTACCAAGATCCAAAAGGCTGGAAAGGGGATCTGGAGCCATGACCCATGCCTTGGGACCCACCAAACCATGACAGTGACTATTTCTATGACAAAGACATGCTCTTCAAAGTAAATATAGCCATATTCTGCCTTAGTGCCATGTTCTCTCCCATCTCTCCAAAGCAATGGCTGCACTCTGAAGGTGGGAAGAGTGTGAGAAGAAAGAGAACCAGGCCACAGACCACCAGGAAAGCAGTGATTGAAAGCAGCAGCTCTAGATTTATCTTATAGGCTCTGGAGAGTTATTCAGTTATTTACTCCACAAATATTTATTGAGCCAGGTACTATTCCAAGTATGCAGGCTACGATACTGACACAGTCACGGCCTTGACCCCATGGAGCTTAAAGTTTAGTGGGGGAGGCAGGTATTAATCAAATAAGCATCCAGACAGACACAAGGGTACAAATATGCACTATGATGGAGGAGTAGTAAATACTACAGGAACTGTAGAAACAGGGAGCAGTAAATCTGGTCAGGGAAGTCAGGAATGCTTCCCTTAGCAAGTGCCAAGTGAGGATAAATAGGAGTTCACTAGGTCTGGAGGAGAGGAAAAGAGAGGGAAACATTCCTGGTAAAGAGAACAGTGTGTGACAAGGTCCTGGGGTAGGAGGGAGATGTTGAATTGGTTCAAAAATAGAGGCAGGGAGCAAAGCAGTAGCATCAAGGTTTGAGTCCCCAGCATAAGGTAACTTCCTGTGTACACCCCTCAGTTTTCTTTCTCCTATAGAGAAGGCCTTCCTCAGCATGGAAGGAGACTAAAGCACACTGTCAAAAACTAGGAGTGCTCAGGAGAGGTGAAACACTACCAGCTAAAAAAACAAATCTGATTTACCAATAATACCTGGCCAATGTCCTCTTGAAATATCTGTAAAATTAAGGAACTCACTACCTCTGGCAACAATGAATCAGGAAAATGGCACAGTATAAAAGACCTTTAAACTTTTCAGGTAGAAATACATTTTAATGCAGGTAGAATTAAGAGATTGATGAATATGTTGAGAATTACTATAAATCTGCTTAGATACCAGGTATTTCACTGTAATTTCATATACTAATTTTTTTGGGGGGAAAAGGGCTAAAGGAAAAAACGGTTAAAGGTAGTATCAGTGCAGCACTATTTTGCTTTGGCAACTCCGTTAGCCTGTTTGATCACTTAAGGCAGTTTCTTGAGGCTTCTGAATTCTCTGTCACCTTGCAAACAAGTCACTGTAGCTTTCTATTTGTAAGGCACTTTGTAATCAATCCTTAATTGGCCTCCCTACCCCACTGAGAGATTATACTCATTCTACAGATAAAACAATAGATAAGTGAGTTGCCCAAGGGCACAAAACAATTCAGTTTTTACTTAACTTTCTTATCACCATCTCCAAATAGAAGACATACAGGGCTTGTCCAGCCACAGCACCAACCCTACTACCCTGCAGACCAATCTTAACCCCCTGATGCAGCAGAGGAAGGGACTGCAGTTAGTTCTGTTACCTCCTCTATGCCTTCGAAGCCAACAATGATAATGTCTGCACCGTGTTAGAGACACTGGCACTCCTAACCAGAACATGAACTCAAAGTGGAATAAGAGCACATACAAAGTCACAATGACTCACAAGTTAAAATGTCACCATCCCTAGGGAGACTGCACCCTCAACATACAAATACTCCCCTAAAACTTCCTTTCATCCTCAACAAGCAGCCAAGGCATAGGTCCCCAGAGTTGGCCCCCGCAGTACAGCACTGCACAGTACTGTAAGGCATCTTAAGTGTACAAGCCCTTCTTCACCCCATGCTGAGACCGCCAGCATCTAAAGCACCTAACATAGGTTACAGCACACAAATATTTACTGAGCACGTCTTCCCAACTGGCAAATAAGGGAAACGGATACTCCTTTCGGAGAGTAGTGCATTTAAGAGATCAGTTAGGCCAACTCCTCATTTTACAGAAGGGCCAAAGAAGGGCAGAGAATCACCCAGTTACATATGGCCTCGTCTCCAATCCAAGTCTTTGGGCTCAGTTTAGTTCCACAAACATTTTATATGTGCCTACTATGTGCCAGATACGGTGGGTGGGAGGCGCTGGGGACACTGAGATGAGCAGGAGATGGTCTCAGCTTCAGGGAGCTCACAGCCTGGGGTAAAGAACAGTTACAAAACAGTCGGGCAAGTGCAAGGACAGGCGCTTGAGTGCTTAGCCAGTGTTTTCTCCACACTGTCCACTGGGTGTTCCCCATCTGGAAAAGAAGGACAGCAATATCTACTTCCTGCAAATAAACTTGTAGTGAAGACTGATGAGAAAATGAGTATGGAAAATGATCAGGCTCACCCAGAAATGCATTATATAAGGTATTGCCATACCCCGACACTGACTCCAAGGATTCAACAGTGTTTCAGGTATCCGTTCAACAAAGAAGCAAACAAGAGAGGGATGGGCATAAACCCAAGGAAAACCCCAAGGACTGCGAGGAACTGGAGGAAACAGCTGGGGTGGGGGTAGGGGTGTTGGGTCGAGTGAGACGGCCCTGACGCGGAGAATGGAGGGCCCGCAGCGGCGCAGAAGAGGATGGAACCGAGACGAAGAAGTTGGGACACCAATGAGGGACAGCAAGCAGAAAAGAATGGGGTTCCCTTGGGGCAGGACGGGGCTCGCGGCCGGGCCCTTCCGGCCGTGGCCGGGCAGGGGCTGAAAGCACCGGGCACGGGAGGAGGAAGCGGGCGGGCGCCGAGGCCGACTGTTTTGCCTGGGGACCGCTTGCACCCGCAGGGAGGCTCGGGCAGGCGCCCGGGTCCTCGGGCTGCAGCATCTCGCCCGCCGTGCCTCCCCGGAGCCGAACACCAGCCCGCGCCCGAGCCCGCAGCGCGGACTCCCGGGGGCGCCAACGACGCCGCCTCACCTCGGGTTGAAGTCCTGGAAGAGGCCCCTCAGGTTCATGGCGGAGAACTTCACCGCGGCGTCCTCCTCCTCCTCCCCCGCACCCCGTGCTGCACAGCCTGCGCCTTACAGCGGGTTCATGGCGCCAGCGCCAGCCGCGTCCACGCTGCTGCTCCCGCTACTGCTGCCGTCCCCGCTGCCGTCGCCGTCGCCGTCGCCGCCGCCGCCGCCGCCGCCGCCGCCGCCGCCGCCGCCGCCGCCCGGAGAAACCTGAGCCACCGCCCCCTGCCCCTCCTTCCGGGCTTCCGTACGAGGGCCGCGCATGCGTCCGGAGCCCCGCCCAGAGCGCTCCTCGCTGGGAGGTCCCCATCCTTGTGTCCGCACGCGACCGGCGGAGGAGATGGCAGGGGGATGGAGGCTGGGAGTGAGCAGGGCCCCGAGGAAGGGGATGCTGACGGGCTGAAGGCCTGCAGGGAGGGAGCGCGCCGCCCGGGAGTCTGGCGGGCAGATCTTGGCAGACACCTGTCACCTTGGCCCGCGCTACCTTCTGGAGATTTTCCCCAGTGACGACTGAGCCCTGGGAGTAGTGACAATGAGTGAGACGTTGCATTTTTGGCGATGTCATCCCAGGCTTCACCTGTCACATCTGTCAACGACTCCAAAGTTTGGGTCCCAACTTCCCTTCCAATTCCCAAGCCAGCGTGTCCAGATATGCTGGCTATTCCCTACTCAAGTTACCTAGCACCAAAGTCACTTCCCGTGCCAACCGCCTTCCCCTCCTGGGTTCCCTTTTTCCCTTAGCAGCAGGCCTATTCGTACGCAGGGGGGTATTCAAGCAGGAGACGTGGAAATCATCCTCATTTTTCTAACCCAGTTCAGAGCCTCCTTGGATCCTGTCTAAACTTTGTGGTCACTTCACACCTGACCTCTGCCTCCACTCCAGGCTGCCCTACTTACAAGTACCAGGTTCATCTTCCTTGGGCAAGTCAACATCTTTGAGTCTCAGTTTTTCTCCTCCGCAGAATGGAAATGATAAAAACCTCTTTTCTAAGCGTGTTAGGAAGATTCAGTGAGATCGTGTGCATAACACACTGCCTGGTACATGCTAGGTGTACAAAGAATGCTGTTGCTATCTGGTACTCTTTCAGGTGTCAACCTCCTCAAGGATTTTGTTTGCTTTTGGAATCCAAGAGCAGGACAAGCTCATAGCAGGTGACCTAGTTTACCATCTTCACTTTGGGCAGATTTAAGTTTTCATGAGCACAACAATGCCTTAAACATTAGTCTACTATCATTATGGATAATAGTCATCCTTTGTTGCAATAGCAGAGTTTCACAAATGACAATTTTATACTGTTTAGCCCCAAGGGCAGCTTGAGAGAATCACAATTGCGATAGTCATACTTAGTCTTGATGTATCACCTTTCTTCTGAGAACGTAAAAACATATCATAAGTGGTAATTAAGCTTCCCAACACCCACTGGGAAATGGATATTATTATATGAGCTGATTTTAAGGTTGAGTAATCCAAATCAAGTTTTCATCTGCTGAAGCACCAGGACCCTGTCCCAGACTTTTTCACCCATCTTCCTTTCCCATCCTCTGGGTAAAGTCCAATGTGTAGCCCAGAGGAGGTTCTCAATGAACACTCAAATACAGACGAGGAATTAAGGCGCAGAGAAGCTTGTATAACAGGCCCTGAGCGAGCCAGCAAGTAAGGGTGAAGGAGCACAGATGAAACTCAGGGTCTAGCTGAACCTGCAGCCCATACTGTTAGAAAGAGGTGCTTGCCAGTGGTCAGATTGGACAGCACCATCTTCATTACCAGTGACCGTGCCCCAAGCAGGCATGAGAAGATGGTCTGCCAGTTCAGACACTTGAATAACAGGCATCACTGCCCTTTCAAGAGCTTCATAGATAGAGACCAGGCAGGCTCCTCAGAGTCCAGAATCTTGAGGGCAGACGCTACTTTAATGAGATCCCAGGGAGTCTGGGAGCTGAACCACTGCTCTGCAGGCCCACAAGTTCAATTTTAGCAGTTCTTCCAGAGTTGACCAGGCCCTGGAAGCTATCTAGCAAAGGCAACAGGACACTGATGCACAAATTACTTGTCAGTGTGTTCTTTTGCTCTGACAAGGTAAATTGCCAAGAGGAACATATGAACCTGTCTGTGAGGAAATACAGGAAGAACTGGACTTTCCCAAGGCTTCACATCCCCAGTCTTCAAGAGGTGGATTACCTGGACTGATTCTGGAAGCCCAACCCTTTATGCTACTGGTGCTCTCATGGGGAAAAAAAAGCCAGAAACCAGATGGCCATCTGGTCCTCTCTCCAGCAAGTGCAAAAGACCCTACTGACAACCTGCTGCTCACTTCAGAGCCCTCACTCAGTGTCCCACCCTAGATGGAGGTCCAAAGCCTCAATGACCTGTGTAGACAGACCCACAAGTGATCCTGACATTAAAGAAAGACCCTGGGTCATATGCAGGCACCAGGAGTGCTGGGAAGCTTAATTACCACTTATTAAATGTTTCTACATTCTCAGAAGAAAGGTGATACATCAAGGCTAAGTATGACTAGTGGAGAAGATGACACCCACATCTTCTCCACTAGCAGAGTTTGACTTTATCTTTTCCTTGACTTGCCAAAAAATTCCAGGGCTATCTTGCTAGGGGCTCCCAACATTCTTCACTCAAAGGAAAGAAATGGCTCTGGATTGAAAAAGTATGACCCCCAAATAAGCCAGACAGCATATTCTTGGTGACTTTGGGGTGGGCTTAGGTTACAGTGTTCCAGAAGAATCAGTGTATATCTGACCATGGTTTTAAGGACTAACTTGGATTTGTACCACCCTTCTGATAAGCTGGTGGCTTGTCCAATTCAATATTCACATTGGCTTCAATGTGGTGATATAGGATGCCTCTCCTCTGAAGAGCAAGGCACTGGTGAAGAGAATCCTGGTGAATTTAGACACTTGGACTGGGGAGACCTGGCATAGGGGAAGAAAATGGCCGTGGAACCGCCCTCCACACACCACCAAGGCTCCTTCCCTGGCTGCAGCAGTAGAATGGAGAGAGTGTGGAATTAGTAGATTTGAACTCAACACCAGTTTCACCCTTGCTCCAGTGGAGGGAGGGCCAGCTGGGATCCAGTCCCGTGCAAGGCCTATGGGACTATAAAGAGCTTCTCGGAGGTCAGATTGACAAGTTCTTTAGCCAGGAAACATGGAGGTGCCAGCCTGCAAGGCTTTCTTAGCCTGGAATTCCTCACCCTAGGTTCCCTAAAGTCCACACTTTGAATGCCACCAATTAGAGAATTGCTGAAGATGCTGGGAATTAGTCCACCTGCAGAATGCAATCTCCTGCTTCCTGACAGAACCCTTTGTTTCAGGCAACTTTAGCCTAACTTGGATACACATCTGAGATCTCCCTGGGAGGTGGGTGGGTCTGGAGTCTAGACAGGGATTTGATTAAATACGGGGCTAGATTTAGGGGCTTGGAGAACTGGAGGAGGAGATTGCAGGGAGGCAACTGAAGGGACCACAGAGGTAGTAGCTGTAGTTCTGCTTGGACTTGCAGCAACCCCTATGGCCTTCCAGAGCCCAGAAGGAGCCACCTCCTCAGGGAGTCTTCCCTCAGGTAGGCAAATTACAGTTACTGAGAGAGAAGAGGGAGGGAGGACAGTCCCAAGGCCCCAGTGGACCTCCTGTCACCCAGGGTAGCCCTGGGAGTGGGTGGTTTATCATCCCTCATGGAGCAAGCTTTCTGCTAAAGGAAGCAGGGGCCATTTCCTGTTGGAAGGCAGAATGGGGAGCCTTTGCCTGGGCCAGCAAACCACCACGGTATCCCTGTGCTTCTCCTCTGGACCTCTCCTGATGCCAGGGTTTCCAGGAAGCCTTCCCGGCTGTGCCACACTCCTCCAGTGTGCTGTGTATGCAAAGCCCAGGTCAAGTGTGTGTGGCCAAGCACACGGGGCAGACAAAAAGGCCCATGCTTGCCAAAGGTCACCAACCAGCTGCCCACATGATTCCTTTTTCTCCTTGTTCCCAACCTGCTCTCATTCCTGAATCTCCACTCAATGCTTGTCTTTCTCCCTTTCTGTTTCCACACTGTATTTCTGACACATTCCTCTGGGGCCCTCTGCCCTAACTAATCAAATGTGCTCTTCCTCATCTTGCCTTCCCCTAATGGATCCTTTCATCTTGGGTAGCCTGTAACCTTCACTCCTTTAGTTGCATTCATCTGACATATGTCTTCCAGAGTGTCTGCTTTGTGCCGGGCACTGTGGAAGGCACTGGGAACACACAGATATGAATAATGAAAACACAGCATTGTGCACGATAAGCATTGGGGATGAGGGAACCGCTGAGCTGAAAAAATAACATTGTAAGGTAGGAAGAGAGGAAATGAGGTTCCAGGCAGAGTAAACAACAGTTGTAAAAACACAGAAGTCAGTGAATGGAGGCAGGTGCACCATTTTGGAGAACAATATTGTCTGCAACCATCCTCCCTTCCCTTCCCACCACCCCACTCTGCCTACAGGCAGCTGTGCGTGTGCTCTCAGCTCTCTGTGCTTGGAGGAGTCAGTTTTGGAGTCCCATGATGCTTCCCACTATGCCCCTGTATTCTTGGATCCTGGCATGCAGTAGGTGCTCAGGCAATGGTCATGAAATGAATGCTGATGTTGGACAGTCACAGGGCACAAACAAAAAAGCAGTTCTTCCTCATCCCTTGCCTCAAACCAGGCAACTTGTGTCTGCAGGAAAAATGACCCTTTCTTTCCAAGTTTCTAATAGCTGCAGACATTATGTGGGTACCCACACTCCCACTTTCCTACAAATCATTGACATGTTGAGGTTTTTTGTGTCTTATTATAAAACAACTTATACCATGCTTGTACAGTTCTAAGATGTGAGATGAACCATCTATTTAATAACAGATTTTCAAGGGTAAAACCCTGCATGAATCAATGTACTTATGCATCTTAAGATCTGTACTCTTTCAGAAATATTACCATGTACAGGAGAAGGTGCATCTTAGATGTTCAGCAGTAATTGCTCCTTTTTATTCATCATAAGAAGGCCTACTTTGGGCCATCTTATAATCGTCGTTATGAGTTGAATTGTACCCTCCAAAATATACCCTTCAATATGCTGAAGTCCTAATCCCCAATACCTGTGAAGGTGACCTCACTGGTAATAGGGACTTTGCAGCTGTAATAAAGTTAAAATGAGGTCATTGGAGTGAGCCCTTAATCCAATATGACTAATGTCCTTGTAAGAAAAGAGAAAATGAAACACAGACCCAGAGAGAAGACAGCCATGTGAAACTGAAGGCAGAGACTGGAGTGATGCTGCCACAAGCCAAGGAACACCTGGGGCTACCAGAAGCTGGAATAGGCAAGGAAAGATCTTCGCCTAGAGCCTTCAGAGGGAGCACAACCCTGCCAACACCTTGATATTAGGCACTGAACCTCCAGAACTGAGAGAGAATTAATTGGTACTGTTTTATACCGCACACTTTGTGGTATAACACTTCGGTATGGCAGTCCCAGGAAACTAGCGCAATCTTACACCAATGCTCCGAAGTTGTGCTATGTTTTGGTTTGGCTGTGTCCCCACCCAAATCTCATCTTGAATTGTAGTTCCCCATATCCCCACCTGTCATGGGAGGGACCTAGTGAGAGTTAATTGAATCATGGGGGCAGGTACCGTCATGCTGTTCTTGGGATATTGAGTAAATTCTCACAAGATCTGATGGTTTTATAAGAGGCCTTTTCCCTTTTTGCTCAGCTTTTCTTCTTGCTGCTGCCATGTGAAGAAGGACATGTTTGCTTCCCCTTCTGCCATGATTATAAGTTTCCTGAGGCCTCCCCAGCCCTGCAGAACTGTGAGTCAATTAAACCTCTTTTCTTTATAAATTACCCAGTCTCCGGTATTTCTTCATATCAGCATGAGAATGGACTAATACACCCCGTTTTTCAGATGAGGAAACTGGCAGATCACTAGGGGTCAAGCATAGAAAAGGTGCAGCCAGAAGAACTAATCTTTTATAGTCTGTATGAGTCAGGGTTCTCTAGAGGGACAGAACTAATAGGATAGATATATGTATATATATTTAAAGATGAGTTTAAGTATTAACTCACACAATCACAGGGTCCCACAATAGGCTGTCTGCAAGCTGAGGAGCAAGGAGACCCCATTGAAGCTCCAAAACTGAAGCACTTGGAGACCGATGTTCAAGGGCAGGAAGCATCCAGCACAAGAGAAAGATGTAGGCTGGGAGGCTATGCCAGTCTAGTCTTTTCACGTTTTTCTGCCTGGTTTATATTCTAGCCATGCTGGTAGCTGATTAGATGGTTCTCACCCAGATTAAGGGTGGGTCTGCCTTTCCTAGCCCACTGACTCAAATGTTAATCTCCTTTGGCAACACCTTCACAGACACACCCAGGATCAATACTTTGCATCCTTCAATTCAATCAAGTTGACACTCAGTATTAACCATCACAGAGTCTTACCCAAACCACTCGGAGGTGGCTTCCAGTTCATTATGGGGGCATAAGTGTGTCCTCAGAGACATAATTCCTCTTCTGGCTGCTTTCTGGGAGGAAATGTAGAAAAGGAAATTGGAAATATTATTGGCACAAGAGAGGTTTGCAGTTGACAAGTAGGTAAACCCAGGCTGATTCAAACCTTGAAAATGATTGTGTGAGCAACGATAGTTTTTTTAAAAATATCAATAGTTTTAGGGGTATAGTTGGTTTTTGATTACATGGATAAATTCTTTAGAGGTGATTTCTGAGATTTTGGTGCATCACCTGAGCAGGGTATGTTGTACCCAATATGTAGTCTTTCATCCCTCACCCCTGCCCACCCTTCCCCCTGAGTGCCCAAAGTCCATTACATCATTCTTATGCCTTTGCATCCTCTTAGCTTAGATCTCACTTATAAGTGAGAACATACGATGTTTGGTTTTCCATTCATATGTTACTTCATTTAGAATAACGGCCTCGAGCTCCATCCAAGTTGCTGCAAGGGCCATTATTTCATTCTGCTTTATGGCTGAGTAGTATTTCATGGTGTATATCTACCACATTTTCTTTATTCACTTGTTGGTTGGCGGACATTTAGGTTGGATCCATATTTTTGCAACTGTGTATTGTGCTGTTATAAACATGCGTGTGCATGTGTCTTTTTCATATAATGACTTCTTTTCCTCTGGGTAGATACCCAGTAGTGGGTTTGTTGGATCAAATGGTAGTTATACTTTTAGTTCTTTAAGGAATCTCCATACTGTTTTCTGTAGTTGTACTAGTTTACATTCCCACCAGCAGTGTAAAAGTGTTCCCTTTTTACCACATTCATGCCAACATCTATTTTTTTTTATTTTTAAATTATGGCCATTCTTGCAGGAGTAAGGTGGTGTCTCATTGTGGTTTAAATTTGCATTTCCTAGACAATTAGTAAGAATGTTTTTTAAATAATCATGTGGAGGGCCAACCTGCAAGTACAAGCTGTGACAGAGGTAATTTGGAATGTGGCTCCAGCATTCCTCAAAACCATGAACTTGGGAGGCCAGGAGAATGCAGTGTGGAACCTTTTCTTTGGCATTCAGGGTGTCCAGCCAGAGGACTCTCCCTCACAAAGCTTTGGGGTGTTGGGTTGAATGCAAGGAGGGTGGGCCTGGAAGATGTCTTGGAAGCCTTCTTCAGGGTCAACACCCACAGATCCATATATTGATCCTGGCCCCAGTTCAGTGACCCTGACTTTTGCCCCAGCCAGGGCTAGAACAAGTTATACCATATCTGCACAGTTCCGAGATGTGAGATGAACTACCCACAACAACAGATTTTCAGGAGAGGAAGAAATGTACCAATCAATGCCCATGTAGACTCTAAGACAAATATTGGTACAGAAACATTAAAAACAATAAATGGAGGCATTTAAAACAAATATACATGGATAGGAAGATTCAGTATTGTCAAGATGTCAGTTTTTCCTAACTTGATCTATATATTTAACAAAATCCCAATTAAAATCCAGCAATTTATTGTGTTGATGTCAACAAAGGGAAGGGCTGGCAAGAGCCAGGCAGGAGGTCAGCTCCTTGCCAAGGGGGCTGGAGTTCAGAGTAGGGGGTTAGCCATGGCTGGTGGAACAGGGAGGTTTCCCAGGGAAGTGAGACCATGTCTGTGAGGCCTCCCACCCGCCCCTCAGGGGGCAGGCTCAGGACATCTGGAAACCCTCAAGACCTATCCACGGATGGGCACAGGGAGGCTCCTATCTGCTCCGCCCTGACATGGTCAAGATTGGCTCTGTCCTGTGTGATGTGTGCCCACACTAGAGGCTGCTGTGGAGGATGCTGGACCCTGTAAATGCCTCCAGGGGAGGCTGTGGGGGTGTGTGGAACATCCTAGCTGCTCCAGCCCTGCAGTCCTTAGGAAACACAGGGTGAGCACTCTCCACACACCTTGGCTCTAAGAAGGGACATGCAGTATCCCTGTTTCCAGCAGTGTCCTTCCTTCCATTCTGGAGTGCCACACAGGCATCTGCGTCTGGCCATTCCCAGGAGTACCTGGCTCATAACATGGTCCAGCCTCATTCTGCTCCCATGTCCCTCTCCCCACAGCCAGCCCAGGGCAGTACAGCTGGATTTGGCAGGTGCTCCTCCTCACTCATCTCCTGGGGTGGCTGTTCCTCAGCATGGACCCCAAAGCCCTCTCACACCAAGCTCCTTTCGAAATCCTAATGTGGGTCTAAGTGTATTCTGGGAACTGAGGAGTGTTGCGATGTTCACCGCCCCCACCATCTGCTACAGCCTTTAGTCTTCTTTAACTGCCTCTCTGGGCATACTGAGGCCCTAGCTGCCTCTGCTAGGACACCCCAGCCCCACCTCTCTGGATCAACCTCAGAAAGCAAAACCTCATTGTCGCCCATTTAAGGTAATCAGTTAATCAAAAGCCAGGCATTACATGGGGGATTATTTGAATAGTACCTCCTAATCATAGTAATTTGTCACTCATCACACTGCAATGATTATTATTTACCAACCACTAGGAGACTCGCCAAAAACTTCATCATCTCCTGCCAGTTCTACCACAATATCTTGGAAGGGGATTCCTTACTGGGGAATTTCAAATGATGATATTTGCGTGTTAACATAATCATCAGATCCTGTCTTGGGCCCAGTGGTTGTTAGTAGAGATAAGAACGGTAAAGCTGTAAACAGGGCCAACTGAGGCCAAGTATTGGGGACTATGGGCACATTTGGGCACAGCAACGAGAGAAGGAAACCCCTGGTCTCAACTGAGATTTTGGCTATTTTGGCCACTGCCTTCCACCCATACTGAGGAGGACAACACCACTTTCGGAAGCCTGAAGGTTGCAGGTCACATGAAAAACTTCCTGTAGTCAGCATCCTATGGGGTGATTCCTACCCAGGGCCTTAAATGCACAGAATCTGGTTTCTCACATCTAAAGGAGCAAATGTGTATGACAACTCCTAGGTGTAGAGTGATCTGTGTTCTGTGTTGTTATGGTTTGAGAATTAATGTATTGCTTCTGCAGCACCTTCAATAGAAATGACTGTGACAAAATAATGTGTCTGCTTCTATTTCAGTGGCAAAGAGTAATCACATGACCCTTCCTAACTTCAAAAGGACTGTGATGTTCCCCTGTGTTCAGGAAGGAAAGGAGGACAAGACATAGATGAGCACTTGTAGTATCTCCCATAAACTGTTTTGCAGATGTCCAACATAAAGCAACTACAATTAATCCTTGAACAACATGGGAGTTAGGGGCACTGACCCTCCATGCAGTCAAAAATCCACCTATAACTTTTGCCTCCCCCAAAACTTAACTAATAAGCTATTGTCGACTGGAAGCCTTATTGATGATGTAAACAGTTGATTAACAGATATTTTTGTGTATTATGTGTATAATATGCTGTATTCTAACAATAAACTATAAAAAAAATTAAGAAAATCATAAGGAGGAGAAAATATATTTACTATTCATTAAGTGGAAGTAAATCATCATGAAGATATGCGTCATTATCATCTTCACATTGAGTAGGCTGAGGAAAAGGAAGAGGAGGGGTTAGTCTTGCTGTCTCAGGGCTGGCAGAGGAGGAAGAGGTAGGAGGGGAAGCAGGAGAGGCAGGCATACTCAGTGTAATTGAATGAAAATACGTTGTAATTTTCTTTTTCTTATATCTAAAAGTTTCTATATGGTACCAATCCTTCTTCCACTGTTTGTTTTAGTTTCAGTGCCCACATCATAGAAGGGTCCATGTCGTAAAAGGAGTCAAAAGCAGTCTTAAAAAATTGGAACCCTTCTGCCAGATTGTCTAGTGTTAGTTTTTTTTCCTGGCACCGTTTCTTATACATCTTTTTCCTCATGATCTGTCACTGGTTTGGAAACACTCATCTCCATCAAGTCACCTTCTGTTATTTCCTCTGGCATGGTGTCTATTAGCTCTTGAATTTTTTCAAGATTCATATCTTGAAATCTTTTACATTCCATCTTTTGGACCATATCCACAACCTCTTTCATTGTTTCCTTATTTGTCTCTGTCGTAAATCCTGTGAAGTCATGCACAACATCTGGACATAATTTTCTCCAGCAGAAATTTATTGTTTAAAGTTTGATGGCTTTCACAGATTTTCTATAACAATAATGGCACCTTCAATGGTAAAATCCTTCCAGACTTTCATAATTTTCTCTCTATGGGGTTTCTCTTCCATAGCGTTGACAATCCTTTCCATAGAGTACCATGTGTAGTGAGCCTTAGAAGTCCTTATCCTGATTTAGAGGCTGAATTAGAGACCTTGTGTTTGGGGATAACTTCGATCATTTCAGCACCCTCAATGTTGAACTCATTGGGTTCTGGGTGGCCAGGGACATTGTCTAATAGCAAAAGAACTTTAAAAGGCAGTCACTTACTGCCAAGGTACCTCCTGTCTCCAGGGACAAAGCATCGATAGAACCAATCCAGAATAAGTGTTCTAATTGTCCAGGCTTTCTTGTTGTACAACCCAAAGACTAGAAGCTGATATTTTATCTTTCCCTTTCAAGGTTTGAGGGTTAGCAGCTTTATAGATAAGGACAGTCCTGATCACAAACTTGACTGCATTTGCATAAAACAATAGAGTTAGCCTATTGCTTTGTGCCTTAAATCCTGGTGCTTCCTTCTCTTCCTCACTAATTAATGTCCTTTGTGGCATTTTTCCCCCGGAGTAGGGTATTTTCATCTGCATTAAAAACCTGTACAGGCAGATATGTTTTCTTCTCAATAATTTTCTTAATGACGTCTGGGAACTTGTCTGCTACCTCTTGGTTAGTAGAAGCTGCTTTTCCTGTTATCTTGACATTTTTCAAGCCAAATCTCTTTCTAAGATTATCAAACCACTGCCTCTATCCCAGTGGGTATATATATATGGATATATATATATATATATATATACCTGTGCTTTGCCCAAACTTGCCCATACTCCCCAATATCTGGCCTCAGTTGGCCCAGTTTATATATAATGTGTATACATATATATATTTCATTTTATTATGTATATATTTAAATATATATGTATATACATAATAAAATTATTGAACCATCCTTTGCTGGCATTATATTCTCCAGCTTTATATTCTACACGGATCTTTTGCGTTAAGTTATCATATAATAACTTGGATTTTTCTGGATTCATATTAGAATCTATAGGTATGCCTTTCTTGTGGCAATTCTGCACCACATAAAGGCTGCATTTGCCATATGGGATAAAAAGGTGTTTCACAAAATGTGCAAGGTTTTCACACCTGCTGATGTAGTTGCAGAAACAGCTTCATGAATTTCTTTTTCTTTTTCTTTTTTCTTTTGTTTTTACAATGGTTCTTATGCAGATTTCATTAATCTTGAAACAGTGGGCAACTACAGCTGCAAATCCAATCTACGGTACATGTTAAGCAATTCAACTTTTCTTATAATGTTATTTCTTTTCTCTGCTTCTTGGCAGGAATTCCAGCATCACTAGTGGCACATTGTATAGATCCAATGGTGTTATTCAAGTTTTAAAGTATTGGACTAAACATGATGGAAAATACGTGAGAACCATGAGAGATCACTTTTTACTGCTATACGCAATTTACTGGAGAGACAAACTCCTCACATGGAGATAATTAGCGTCCCATGGCTTTTCAAGCAGATAGAAGAACACTTGAGCTTACTGCAATAGCAACAGGAGGTGGCTATGAAATTATTACAGTAGCACAGCTTATGCTACAGTTAATTTTATGCAGTTATGATTTAATACTACATCTCAACATTTGTTTACATTTATCTTGACTGTGAATAATACCATGTACGGTCTGTAACTTTTTGTGTACATAAATTTTGATAAAACCTTTTACAATAGACTTCATATATTTTATAGTACTAAATAACAAAATATCCTAGTATCCACATATATTTTATTCATTCATGACATAACTCTTTTTTTATATCTCTAGGCTATGCAGTTTGTGAGTTTTTTCAAATTGTTGCAAACTCCAAAAAAATTTCCAATATATTTATTTAAAAAGTCTGTGTATAAGTGAACCCACATAGTTCAAACCCATGTTGTTCAAAGGTCAACTGTATTATAATTTATTACTACAGCAATCCTCTTCATTTCTGGGAGGAATTTCTGAAAAGGTCAGATTTGCTTCAAAATTCCCCAGCTTTTTCAAGTACCTACTTATTATATGACAGATGCTTCAAATACAGGATCACATCTACTTTTCAAATAATTCTAGAAATCTCATCAGGGAAGGTTCACCTTCTTCACTCAATGGCACATTTCTGCACTTCCCTTTGCAATAACCTCTAATCTCAGTAGGTTGAGATTTTTACCCTATTTGATTCATGGTCAAAATTTTAACTTGTGAGTCTTTGTTACTGTCCACATAACTGAACTTACCTGAAGACTTGTGCAAGTGCCATTAGGCACTTTGCAAACAAGGATTTTCCTGTGGAGAGGCACACAGACAAGAGATAGCAGAAATATAGTTTTTTTTTTTCTTTTTAAATCAGAGCTAGCATGTCCAAAGAGGAAGCGTTTTTCACCTCCTTGGAGGGCTCCAGGGTTTTTAGAAATTCTGCTTCAGTAGATTTTTTTTTCCTACAGTGGTTTACATGGTCTTTCTGCATCTACAAGCTTTGATGTTTGACCACCTAGGTAAGCTTATTAACCTGTGTGTATTCAGTGGAAAGTCTAATAAGACATTTTATTAAAATCCTACTCCTATATCTAGATGCTTTCAAAAACCCTTTATCTAACTTTACATTTCAGTAACAAGAAGGAATACGTTGTGTGCCAAATCAGAGCCTGCACCCATTTGGAAAAGTTTCAGAGTGTATTTTGACTCTCAGGCATATAACCAGGCATCTGAACATCACTGTCCAAGTGAACTTTTATGTCAAAGAGGCTGTTGCCATTAGAGGAGTTCCAGGGTGAGCAATGTGACAGCCAAAGGACGTTTTCAGGAAGCAGGCATGCTCTATGTCAGGGGGAAGGCAGGTGATTCTGGGCCATTCCACTGGGAGCAAGGCACAGTTTTCAGATGATCATTTTCACATGCTTACTTTAGGTCAGCTTTTAGTGCCTTGACCTCAGCATTCTTCTTTTTGTCACCTTAGAGACATTCTGCAATACTTACTACAAAAATGAATTACAAGTCAGAAGATAGACCTCAAGCTGGGGAGAATGGGAATAGCGTGGTCTCTAGATGAATCAGGCCAGGGATCTGGTGCCAATCTGTCACTTACTAACTATGTGATCCTGGGAAATTACTAAGCCCAGTGAGCCTCAGTTTCTTTATCTGTAACATGTGTTTGGTACTTTTTATAATAGACTATTAGAATATAAGACATTTATTAAAACACTTGGCACAGTGCCTGACATACATTGCATCTTTAATAACTATCATTTATTTCTTTTTTTTTTTTGAGACGGAGTTTCACTCTTGTTGCCCAGGCTGGAGTGCAATGGCATGATCTCGGCTCACCGCAACCTCCGCCTCCCAGGTTCAAGCAATTCTCCTGCCTCAGCCTCCCGAGTAGCTGGGATTACAGGCATGCACCACCACGCCTGGCTAATTTTGTATTTTTAGTAGAGACAGGGTTTCTCCATGTTGAGGCTGGTCTCGAACTCCTGACCTCAGGTGATCCACCCACCTCAGCCTCCCAAAGTGCTGGGATTACAGGTGTGAGCCACCGTGCCCAGCCCAACTATCATTTATTTCTAACATTATTTTGACCCCAGATTTTGGAAAATATTTTTGTTTTCCAGGACATCTCAGAGAATTTGCAGTTGAATGGGAAACAGAATTATCACTAAAAAATGCTGCTTAGTAAATGTCCCTTGAAGAGGATTCATTATTTAATTAGGTGTTGGGGAGTCTTCCATAGCTGAGTGCAACTCACTAACTTTAAGATCCTAGAATTTGGGTCACAAACTCCTTTCTTCCCTCCCAGCTTCTGTTTCAACCAAACCACTATTTTTCATTCACCTCATTCATATCATCCCCACCAAAAGTATAGCCATTTCAGTGGAGTCAGCTGTACACCAAACCAGGCAGAAGAGTACCTGGCCAGTGGCTTCTGGCCTCCCTTCCTGAGAGATTCATGCTTATCTCAGGAAATTCTTGCAGATGGCAGATGTTGGGTATCAGTCAGCCACCTCTTACACTGTGTTCGACTACACTGGGACAAAAGTGCAGGACACCTTCCATTCCTGCCCCTGGTGGAGACTCCTCTCTGCTACATCCACCACCCAAAAGGAACTTCTCAGAGCAGTTTTTCATTCCAGGCTTTTCTCTAACCCTCTAAGACTCATGGTCTGAGATTGTGGCGCTTGTCAGCTTCATTATAATCAACTCCTCAAGAAGGAACTGCGGTTTCCCAAAGATCAAAACGCCCAGCTCAGGGCATTTAACTTCACCACTCTCACCTGGAGCCCCACACCCTCACCCCTCTCTTACTTTTCCTCTGCATCTTAGAGGACATCTCGCCACCTTAATTACATGAATGCAACTCCTAGACTCTACTACTCTAAGGGTAGGGGTTTCTCTGGCTTATTCTAGTAACTCCACTACTAACCCAGAGCCTTCCAAAGAGGAGATGCTCATAAAAGTTGTGGAAAGAAAGACTCAGTGAGCAGGTCTTTTGTTTAAGTTGTAATTTCTCCTACAACCTTGAAAAAGCGAAGCAAATCCAGTTATATGTATATGTTTCAATTTTTATAGAACAACAGATGAAAATGGATAAAAAGGCTAGAATTAGCAGACTTTTCCTTTTATTTTATGGCCCCATCAATCTTATTGATAATTTCTTACATTTGCCAAGAAAATATCTATTCCAATGCCATGGTATATTGTTATAAGTCACAAAGCAATATGGAAGGTTTCCCAGTATGTCTCACTGAAGGCAGCAGTGGCCAGTCTGGAGTGGATGCTACCATCATATGAACTACAACAGGGAGGTGCAGCCAGGGCTGCACACTCCTTGGAACCAGCATGAGGCAGGGACAAGTGGGAGCCCTGCCCCTTCCGAGTTGGTGGGGTGGGAGCTCCCCGGGTGCAGCCACAGCCACCCAAGTCGCAGCTTTGGATACAGGCCTCCCGCTTCATGGAGCAGACAGGAGCCTCACTCCCCTGGGTGCAGCTGCAGCTACCCAAGTCGCAGCTTTGGATACAGGCCTCCCGCTTCATGGAGCAGACAGGAGCCTCACTCCCCTGGGTGCAGCTGCAGCCACCCAAACCATCGCTGCAGACCCAGGCATCCTGCTGCATGGAGCAGGCAGAAGCCCCGCCCCCCTCCCCTGGGCACAGCTGCAACCGCCCAAACCATCACTGCAGATTCTGGCATACCTGCCCTCTTGGGGGCCCAGGAAGGCCCCCACCACCCTGGCAGGGTCAGAAATGCCTGCTCCTACTCCTGGCTTCTCCCTGCTATCAGCAACCACTCCAGACTCAGAGCAAAGTTGGGCCAAGCCCAGGTGCTGCCACAGCCTGGCTGGGTGTGCACACACTCAGGGCAGTGCTGACATGTCAGTCCCCTGCTGGCTTGG
The DNA here is from genome assembly GCF_000001405.40 of Homo sapiens. Taxonomy (NCBI): domain Eukaryota; kingdom Metazoa; phylum Chordata; class Mammalia; order Primates; family Hominidae; genus Homo; species Homo sapiens. The sequence goes on from NC_000023.11 coordinate 149,647,621, forward strand.
ACCCCTACGGAATTTGGGCGCCAATGAGCATAGTAGGGAAGCTGATGGGGTGGTGAGGGCAGCTCATAACTGGCCTGTAGGCATCCCTTGGCACCTATGGCCTGGGCTCTGTGAATGACAGCAGGAGGCAGACAGGTTCCTGGGCAGAAGGCGGCGAGTCCCTGGTGAGGCCCCACCTTCAGGCCGGGGAGGGCCTGAAGTCTGGGGGCTGGGCTGCCAGTCCTGTGGACCAGAGTGGGAACTTGTGGTGCCTTTTCTGGGCCCACCCATGGCCACCGATGGACCAATTGGCATGCACTTTCTCCCTTCTGAGGCCCAAAAATCCCCAGGCTCAGCCAGAAGTGAGCAGATGTCGGGACAACCAGCTTCAGAGAGGAGCTATCCACTCCAGGGCCTCCCCTCTGCTGGAAGCTGCAGAGATGGGAGGACCTGCCTGCAGAGAGAAGCTTCCCACTCCAGGGTCTCCTCTCTGCTAGGAGCTGAACACTTGTTGGGACACCCTGCCTGCAGGAAGGAGCTGACCCCCTGCAGGAGACTAAGCTGTTCTATTGCTAATTAAAGCTCCTCTTCATCTTGCTCACCCTCCATTTGTCTGTGTACCTCATTCTTCCTGGTCACAGGACAAGAACTTGGAACCCATTGAATAGCTGAGCTAATAGAGCTGTAACACAAACAGACTGAAATATGCCCCTTGCTCACCATGTTGCGAGCAAAGAGAAGGAGATAAGACCTGTGGCCCATCCGGGAGCCCAGACCTGGGAGCTCCCTGAGCCAGGGCTGTGACTCCCTCTTTGGGGCCTTGCAGTTCCTGGCATCTCCAAGCTTCTAGGTGCCACCATGTTCTGCAGTGCCAGCTGTGGAAGCTGCTTGTGGTGTGCCTGGTCCAGCTGCAGGTTTGTGGAGAGCCAACACCTGTGCCAGTGCCTAGAGCTGCCTGCCCCACTGCAGCAGCTGGCATGTCGGACTGTGTGCAGTGGCTGGACCCCACAGTCATTCACACAACCCTCACCATTCCACGCCTGACTCGCCCTTGGCGGGAATTGGACACAGACTGGTAGTGCGAGCTGAGTGCAGCATGCCAGATTGAATGGTCAAAACAAGCCCAACAGGCCCAAGCAAAATTCAGGCAAAGGTGCCAGTGGCCACAGAGGTTTCTTGCCAGAAAAATGACACCCCAAAGGTCCCATAACATTACAAAATAACAAACTCTTATACATGAAATGGATTAGTAAAAATACATGTGTGATTAATATCATTCATAAACTTAGATGTTAAAACTAATTAAATCTTCTGTTAAAAGGAACAAATTTGAAAATTACTAAAAGGAAACAAAGATAAATCTCCAATCACTCAATAGAACAGGAAGCCAAAGATGGTATGCAATGTGTTTCCTTCCACCCACCTTGACCTCCCTTACCAAGAACTCTGACTACTCTGTTCAAATACAGGGTGAAGAAAGGGCCTGATTTCACATGGGGTAGGTTGTGCCCCTGGAACTTGCACTGGCCCTGTCCCTAAACCTGCCACCTGGTGGCCCTGGCTGCAACTTGTACTCATACTCCCTCTTCCCCCTCTCTTAAAGCCTCTTCTTACAGAGACGGGTAGGAGGTGGGATCTGTCCCATGGACCTTGGCCACATACTCCAGGACTTTCATCTTGTTGGTTTTAGTGTGGGCTCTTGGACTCTACAGGAACTCATAGTGTGCAGGATCACTGCTGGGCACCTGGTGGTACTCCAGGTAGTTTTCCTGCACCCAGTCTTGGGTGAGCAGCTTCCTGGGCTTCCCATAGACACTGTGCTTCTTCCCAGCATACAGCCCCATCACACTCAGGGTTTCCCATATGACCTCTTCAGGGGTGCAGTTGCCCTCCATTATAATCGTGCACAGGACCATTATCTGGAGGCCTGCATTGGGCTTGCTCTGATCATCACCCAGCAGGCCGTCATAGGAGAGGCCCAGGGAAGTGACAAGGATGTAGGAGTGGCCAGTGGTATCCACTTCCTTCATGTCAAAAAAAAAAAAGACCAGCCACATGCACTTGAAGATCACAGGAAAGTAATCCTTATAATTTTTGATGACACTCTCTAGCATTTCTGCCTTTGTGTTTGTCTCCTTGACTCAATACTTGTAGAGCAGGAAATGAACCAACTCAGTCACCTTCCCATCAAGTGCTTCTTGGAACAAGGTCTTCAGGTCTGCTGGGTCTGGTGAGGTGCCTGGAGCCTCCTCTTGGCTGCTGGAGCCCTCATTAGATTGGCTCCATAGAGTGTTGTCAATGGTAGTGGGGGAGGTAGAGGTTCCCTGAGGACTCTGGGGAGAACCAGGTGACCCAGCAGCAGGCAGCCCCTCCAGGGTGCCCACTGTCAGAGGAGAGGAGAAGGAGGCAGCCTCCTGTTCCTCAGCCAAGGGAGCCTGCACACCCACCAGGCCCAAAGCCTCGTCTCCTTCGGCCTCAAGGCTTTCCTCAGGCTCGCAGTGCTGATTCCTCTGCTCAGGAGACATGATGACTCTGGTCAGAATGGCAGAGTGTGGGCAGGAGCTGGGCAAGTGGGACCCACAGGCCTGAGGAGAGAGGGAGCCAGTGAGGGACCTCAGCTGAGAGCCGAACCTTGGAGGCTCTAACAAAAGCAGACTTATGGATCTTTTCATTTGGTGCTCCTCTGGGGCCTCCTGGGGCACCTATCCTCCTAGCTGGCCTGTTCACCGAGAACTTGGAGGAAGTGAGAGTGTTACAGTGGGTAGCTAGTCAGGTATGAATAGGGAAGGAGAGGGTTCCCCCAGCCCCTTCACTCATGTGCACATGCATGCGTGCGTGCACACACACACACTAGGAATGTTGGGTGACCATTAGGCGATGGTCAAGTGGTTGTTAACTATTTCTGTAAAGTAATAATTGTTCACAGCCCTTGCCAGGGGAAGGCAGTCTCCTAATAGAAAACACCTGAAATGGATCAGCAGCTTCCCAACAAGATCTCAGGACTGGGGAGAAAGTAACACAAGATCTCTGAAGTAGGCTGATATGGTTTGGCTGTGTCCCCACCCAAATCTCATCTTGAATTCCCACGCATTGTGGGAGGGACCCAGTGGGAGGTAACTGAATCATAGAGGCAGGTCCTTCCCATGCTGTTCTCATGATAGTAAGTCTCATGAGATCTGATGGTTATTATAAAGGGGAGTTTTCCTGCAAAAGCTTTTTTTTTTTTTTTTTTGCTTGCTGCCATCCATGTAAGATGTGACTTTCTCCTCCTTGCCTTCTGCCATGATTGTGAGGCTTCCCCAGCCACACGGAACTGTAAGTCCAGTTAAACGTCTTTCTATTGTAAATTGCCCGGTCTTGGGTATGTCTTTATCAGCAATGTGAAAACTAATACATATGCCAACATAAAACCCCAAGTCAAGAGGTCAAGCTGTGACTTTGGTTTCTCAAGTTGACTACTTGGCCCTCTTCCGAGTTATACTTTTCTTGTTTCCTTTCCTTCCTTTCCTTACTGTTCTAAAGCTTTGTGTTTTGTTTGTTTGTTTGTTTGTTTTTTGCCTCAGTCTTTCCTTCTGCCTTTGGCCCCTCAGTCGAATTCTTTCTTCTGAGGAGGTAAGAACTGAAATTGCCGCAGACCTATATGGATACACCACCAGTAACTCAGGGTAACTTGGGTACCTGCCACCACTAACAAGAGGGCTCCTCAGGGTGCAGCTTGTCAGCAGAAGCCACGGCTCCAGCAATAACAGTAGGACAGGTGGGTTGGCACTTTGGAGTCCCCTCTGCTCTGGGGCCGGTGGAGCCCTTTGTATACATTTAAAGTAAACACCTCACCTTGCCTGCTGGCAATACCTGGGCCTCCTCTGCTGTATGACTTCAGGACACTGCCTCAGACCAAGGCCCAAACCTCTCTGAGACCTGGGAGAAAGAAGTGAGGGGGCACCACACGGAAAATTCTGCACGGGATTCCCAAGGCTGACAGAAGGAGCAGGTTTCAGGGGTGCCTCCTCTGTCTGCGTTCCTCCAGGTATTCAGATTTATTCCCGACAGGGCCCAGCCCTTTCGCTCCTGCTCAACTGTGGATGAGTCTTGTGTGCCAAGGCCACCATCTTCCTGGGACCCCCAAGGAGAAAGTGGGGGACCATGTCCCTTCTCCACAGGCCTGCCTTGGGCCTCCCAGGACTGATAGCAGAGGCAGATTTCCTAGGTCCAGGATAACAGGTCTGCTGAGTCCTCTCTCAGGGCTCTAGGGGACTTCTCTCTTTGCTGGCCTGAGGCCCTACTCCTCATATTACACCCCTCTCGTCACTGGCACCCCAAAGACACAGCAAAGATGTGCCACACACAGCCAGCACTCCCAGGACCTCCCAGGGTCGAGGTCCTCTGAGTCCTCCCTCTTCTTCCTCCTCTTGATCCTGTCAGGGCTGAGCCTCACCCCTTTGTGGACCTGAATCTATATCCCTCAAATTCCCAAGGCCAATTGAGAAGGTGCCTCAGTCTCAGAAAGAAGTGGAGTAGGCCCCCTGTTCTGGGTTGCTGGGTCCCCTCAGGCCTGCCTTGTCTCCCAGCCTGGCCTGGACCCACCTTCTGCTCCCCTGAGGCCGTGCTCATGATTCCAAGCCCCTTCCCTCCATCAGCCCCCGATGTGAACATCAGGATCCACATGCCTGTCCACCATGCCCGGAACTTCCCAGGGCTGACAGCAGAGATGGAGCCTCGCTCTGTGGGATCTCAGCCCTCCTTCAGGGTCTGGACCATGATGCCTGGCAGGCAGAGCATGGGTCCTGCCCTTTCCTAATCAGCCTTTCCCTGGTCACACCAAGCTCTGTCTCCAGAATGCCCTGCGGCTTAAGTGGCAGTGGAGCCGGGAGCGGCCCAGCCTGAGAAGTCTGCCCCCAGGTGGCCCAGGGCTGGCAGCAGGGGTGGCACTGGGTTAATTGGGGTCCTCTCTCTGGGGTAGGGGCATCCTCAGTCTTCCTCAGTGTCTCACCTTGCCTCCTCACAGAGCCGGGGCCTGTTTCACTCCACCAATCTCAAGCTGCCACTCAGAGCGAGGCGCTCTTGCTATCCTCTGACCCCTGAGGCCACGTCAGTGGCGTGACATCCGGCCCCCAAGCCTGGGGCTTCCCTGGGTCGACAGCAGCAGCGGAACTGGATTCTTCCAGGCATGGGGGTAGGAATGGTTATAGGGGCCCTCAAGCTTCCCTTAGGGTCCTGACATTGATTCCTTGCAGAGCCTGGACACCCTGCCCTCTGCCAATTGGGTCTGCTCCCTTCACACCAAGTCTCTGACTCCCAGTCCCCTGAGGTGGCAGTGGTGGGAGGCGTGTGTTCAGGGCGACAACATTGCCAGGATCTTCCAGGATTGTTAGAAGGGGCTGAGCTGGATTCTCTGGTTCCTCTACAAGGGGAGGGTGGACTCTCAGTCCTCACTCAAGAGGATCCTCCTCCTGGCTCTTGGATCTTTGATGAAGCCATGGGCAGGAGATACTCTGTTTCTGCCACTTCTGAGCATTTGCCCAGCTGCATCTCTTGCAGAGAATGGCTGCGGGTCCCAGGCCAGGTACTCCCTGCAGAGCGGCAGCTTCTGTGATTGTAGTGACCTCTGGGAGAAGACACACACCTTCCCAAGGAAGCTCTTCCCCAGCCACAGGTCGAGTTTGCAAACCTGTTTTCCTAAAATATTTGTTTTTACATTAAATAGGCTGAGCAGCAGCATGAAATTTGGGGATTCCTGCCATTAGAATTATCGAGTATTTCATAGCTCAGTGCAGTGATTTTCATTTTTAAACTTTCATTCAGCATCAGAAATCATACTTAACCTCATTATGCCTGTTTCATTCTAATGCTCAACACTCTATTTGTAATCCATTCTTTATGTTCAGTTAAGCCAATTCACCTATTAATGTGGTTTTAGGTGGTTATTAGCACAGACTGGAGCTACTACTGTTTCAATGAAACCAGACTACTGGCACCTGTGGTCTCAGGTGCCACCTGACATTTTCACACTGGAATAGGGGCAAAAATTTAAACATTTCCTTCTACACATCCTGTCATCTTCCTTCTATGCCAGCTATGGACTCTCCCTAACTTCCTTGACACTCTGGCCATTTCGATTACAGGTACCAGTTAAACACAGTCTTCATTCTCCCCCAGGGCTTTGCTTTGTTGTTTAGATTTTGTTGTTGATACTATTTGTTTTTTTATTTTATTTTATTCTTTCTTCTATAGTTTTCCAGGATTGATTTTGGTAGTTGAGGGCAGAAGTCCAAGCCTGACATTCATCTTGGCAGCTAAATTTTAAGCATTATATCTGTAAATCTTGAATAAGAAAAATTGATATCTTTTCAATAGTCTGTTCCCTATTAAGGGATATAGAATACGGCTCTGTTTATCTGGGAACTTTTTGACCTAACTCTATCAGTACTTGCATAGTTGTTTCCATAAAGATCTTGTATGCTTTGTCTGTCTCCATTGGATAATTTCTAGATTTTGTTGCCATTGTGAATGGGGTATTTTCTATTACTTGTTCTGAATAGTTATTTATTTGGGTTGCAAGGATTTTGATTTTACTGTAGTAATCTTCTGTATACTATTTTTCTGAAGTCTGTTATTTGACTATTCCATCTGCACAATTCTTTGAATTTTCTAGATAATCATATTGTCGTACCAAATATTAAATCTGTTCAATATTTATACTGATTTTTTTTTATATCCACCTCTCTGGCCTTATGTTACAGTGTAATTTCCAAAGATAGAGGTTATAGCATAGTCCTATGACAATAATTCTTCTGACATTTCATATTTGGGTATGCTGGCCAGTGATCGTAGGAAAAGCTAATTTCCTTCTAACCTCATTTGGCTAAAACTTTTGACCATGACCTCTTGTAGAATTTCCTCCAGAATCTTTTCTGTACCTATTATACCTATTAAAGTGATCACTTTTTAAAATCTTAATTCGATAACGTAGGAAATCACAACTGAAAATTGTTTTATATTAAATCATGTTTTTGTTCCTTGGACACAATCCGTTAATTCACTTCTATGTTGAATATGCTACTAATTTAATTAATATATTTGCCTCTGTGTGAGTGAAGTTTGGCTCAAGTGTTTTCACGGTGCTGTCCTCCTCTGGTACCTGAATGAAGAATGGTTAGCTTGGGAAAATAATTTGAATAATTGCCCAACTTTTCGTATGCCTTGGAAGAGTTTACTTAAGGTGGCTTTGAGCTTTACCTGATAACAATGTAGAATTGGCCTCCGAAGCTGCCTTGTCCACATTTGAGGATGGCTTGAGCTTAGATTAGTTTCACTTTTTATTGTTTGGTTAAAGATTTGAATTTCTTTTTGTATCAATTTGTTCATGTACTTATTTTCCTAAAATATTATCCATTTCACTTAGGATTTCAAATTAAATATCATATTTATTTCAAAAATATTTTCATTACAAGCATTTTCAAATACACCTAATAATAGGGTAAATACTATAATTAATCTAATATACCAGACTTTCAGTATCAATAATCTTCAACTCATGGCCAATCTGGTTCTAGTTATACCCCTACCTACTCCGCATAGCAGAAACTGAAATAATGTGGAGCAAATCCAAGACACCATGTGATCTCATCTCCAAATACATCAGAGTGCATTTCTAAAGATAACTACTCTCTTATAAAACATAAAGCCAACATTATTATCTTTCCTAAACATGTAAGCAAGTCATTAATATAATGAAATGTTCACTTATTTGTCACATGTATCTGGTGGACATATGCTCCTGTTAAAATGCAGTTTCTTTGAATCGGTTTGCAAATATGATCTATACATTGTGTTTATGTTCTTAATAGCCACCTTAAGTAATTTATAGATTCCCCCACATTACCTTTTTTTGAAACTCATTTGTTGAAAATGAAGACATGCCTTGTGTTCTGTCCAGTTTCCCATACTCTGGATTTTGCTGAGCGCAATACTTCTCTTCCTGCATTACCTATCTGTTTTTCCATGTTGCCTACTTTTTCCATTAAAGCCTCTTAAATTTTTAAAAATAGTCATTTTAAATTATCTGCCTCCTAATTCCAATATCTGAGTCATATTAGAGTCCAGTTCTGTTGATTGTCTTGTCTCTTCAGACTATGTATTTTCTTACTCTTTTGCGTGTGTCCCTTGCAATCCTTTTGTTGAGAGTGAACGTGTTGTATGAGGTCATAGGAACAGAGGCAATTAGATCTCTACAGTGAGGATGTATGTCAATTTGGCTGGGAGTTGGGCTTTATTTCTTATACCTATAGATGCCAGAGGCTTCAGATTCCTCTAGTGTCCTTGTTTTTGTCTTCCGTTTTATTAATTGTGGCAAATGTGTAATGCTAATATAAGAGGATGGTAATAGGGAAAACTGGGTGTGGGGTATATGAGAATTCTCTGTACTATCTCTGCAATAATTCTGTAAGCCTAAACATTTTCTAAAATAAAAAGTCATTAATAAAGAATGACTTGTTGGACCCCATTGGAAGGAACAAGAATAACCACCCCTCACATTGAGAATTGGCTCTGCAAGAGAGAGAATAAAACATTTATCCTGCATTTCCTGTACTAACTGTATTTCAGGATGACACAATAGCTACAGTTGATGAGGAAAGTTTCTTCCTTACTGGAGAATTCCAGCTGAGGAAAATGCAACATATGAGAGAAAAGGAAAACAAGTATTTGCAATATCCAGCAATGCAACTGATGCAATCCATGCTAATCAATGGATGAAACATTGTTGAAGGGTTGATGACGCACTCTGCAATGGAGGAACAAGGCTGTCTCCACCTCTCCACCTGAGCCCACTGATCAGAGCCAATATGATCAAGGGTTGAACAGCCAGAAGTTGTATGCCTCCTGCTGGAGTACAGTAGGAAGCACAAAGAGCCTCCTATGTGTACCTTCCCCCCCAACAAAAAGCCAAACCTGCTTCTGGCCTCCACCTGAGGTGAACTTTGAAAGATAGGAAATCCAGTCCTGGATTAAGACATCTGGCCCCTCATTGAAGACACAGAGTCTACTCTGGAATGAGCACTAGGTGTCACCAGACAGCCTTCTGCTTTGTTCTGCACCCAGTCTTTACACGTGCACCATTGTCCTGCCCGCCGCAGCAGTGCCACAGCAGCAGGCCAACAGCCTTGCCTGTTCAATGCCAATGGTGCCTTCCATCCCCTTTATCCCGAGAGAAAGGTTTCTGGACACCTAGACCTGTATTCTGTACCCAGTCCTCAGGTCAAGTCAGTAACCTGGAATAGAAACCTGGATCCAAGAAGCCAGTTCATGGTACAGTGCAGCTGACCTGGCTCTGAGGCAGTCCATGGCTCAGAGGATCAGGGAATACCCTTTACCTGGCTCACCAGACCAGTGTCTCTAGACCCTGCCCTCTACACTCTGTTCCAAGGCCCCGAGCGACTGCATGTCTTTGTTCTCTTCTAGACGATTGCTCTTATAATACTGTTAGCATTCCTTCCCAGACATCCTCGGTTCTCTCTCGAGATATCTCTTCTGTGAGGCCTTCTATGAATACCATTGTAAAAATTGCAATCCCTCCTTCCACCCAATTTCCAGCACTCCTTATTTAGCTCTCTCGATTCAATTTGTTTCCATAGCGTTTGTCACCATAAAACCTACTTCACCTGTAACTTTGTTCCGCAGTTCATTGTGTGCCTGCCCCTCCCCTCCCGCTAGAACATAAGCTCCACAGAAGCAGGGAATTTGTTCAATGCTGTATCCTCAGAGCTTAGAGCAGTGCCTGGCAAACAGTACATGCTCAGTACTCAGCTGTGGGACGCATGAAGAACTACAGCTCCATGGTCCTAGTATTCGCAGCCTCTGCATTGGAGCCTCGTGGCATTTTCAGTCCTCCCAATTACCCAGCAATCAAAGTTTAAATGCATCCCAGCACCCTCTTATTGTTGAGTCATGGAACAGGTAAGCAACTGAGCTCTAGGGACTCCAGAGACCTGCTGCCCCAGCGCCTGGTCTGTGCTCCTGGCATCCTGGGGAAGTCAGCAAGGCAGGGCTACAAACATCAGTGGCTATCTGAGCACTCTCTCTTGCCAGTAGGCAGCTGTGGCCCTTGTCCCAATTCCCTGCTCCTCTCTCTGGTCGTTTGGGTCTGCAAGCAGCCAATGTCAAGGTCTCACATGTCTCTGGGTTTCAGCTGGGCCTTAAAGGGATTTATGTAACATTCAGTTCAAGTAACACTTTCCCATTGATTCCTGGACAAGCTCTAGACAGAAGTCCCATGTTCGCCAATGACTTTGATGCTACTTCCCTGGAGAAAGTAGGAAGGGTGGCCAACGTGGTTTGCAAGGTTGCATTCATCTGGAGAATGCTCCATCATGATTTCTCCCCAATGCCAGTAGACAGGTGCCATCCCTGCCTTTGTACACACCGTTCCTTGCTGCGTGAAGTTATTTGAGGAATCATTACACACTCTCCAAGAGGTAACATAACATGATTTCATTCGCTCATTCATTCAATATTTATCCAGCTCCTCATATGCTCCAGGCACTGACCTAAGTGCTGGAGATACTGTATTCACTATAAAAAGGGCTTCCCACCTCCGTGGTGTTCTTCCTAATAATGCATAATCATGCATGCCCTTCTAATCGTGAGAAGACATTAGACCCACTGAAACTGAGGGATGTTCTACAAAAATCAGACTAGTATTCCTAGAGTCCTCCAAGACAGATTTGATGCCAAGATGGGGAAGAAGGAAGAGTATGTTGGAGGCCTAGGTCCTTGCAGACATGTTCTGGAGATACACACTGGGGTTTGGGAGCACAGCAGGAGGGACTGTGGAGTGGGCAGAACCCTCCAGGGAGAGGTCAGGGGAGCAGTGCAGGAGTTTGAGGCTGCACAAGAATGACATGACCTCCATGGGAAGAGCACACTACTCACCCTCCTTCTGAGATGAAGCATTCTCTTCCCCCTCCTTTAGCCATGTGACAGGATCTGGTCAGGTGAGGAGAGGAGTGACACAGATGGGGAACTGGCACCAGGTCCTCAGGGGATGGCAGGCAAGAAGCTGGGGCTCATGAAGCTATGTGAGGCAGATTCCATAGAAGGAGACTCGGGAGCTTTGGGTTTCATTCTCACATCCTGAGAACACATCCAGAGACTTAAGTCATACACATTTGCTCCCTTCTATGCGAGATGCCAGATTCTGTACTTTGAAGGCCCTGGGCAGGGATGGAGGTCTTCACAGGAAGCAACACCCCGTAGGAAGCTGACTGCAGGAATTCCTGCATTGCCATCTGCACCCTTTGGGCCCTGAAGCATGACCCATCAGTATTTTAAGAGCCACGATGTGTCCTTGAATTGGAGGCTGGCAGCCAGCAGTCAAATGCCCTTGTTGGGATTGCAAGTTTCCTTCTCCTGGGGCCCATAGTTGTGTTCTCATGTCCCCTGCTGCTGTGTCCACACTGCCCCAATCGGGCCTCAGTCTGCCCAGCTTGGGGCTTTGCGCTTCCTCTCTCCCCACTAACTACTGCTCAAGACCTGGAGCTGATGCTCATATGCGATTATCATTGTGATAAATTCCCTGGTAAGGATCTCCTTCCAAGGTCTTGTGGTGACAGAACTGGCAGGAGATGATGAAGCCTTTTGGGGAGGCTCCTAGTGAATAATAAGCATTCTGACATGATGAGTGACAAATCACGATGATTAGGAGATATTATTCAAATAATTCCCCAGGTAATGTCTGGCTTTTGATTAACCGATCACCTTAAATGGGTGACTATGAGGTTTTGCTTTCTCAGGCTGATGATCCAGAGAGGTGGGGCTGGGGTGTCCTAGCAGAGGCAGCTAGGGCCTCGGTATCCCCAGACAGGCAGCTAAAGAAGACTAAAGGCTGTAGCAGATGGTGGGGGCGTTGAGTATCGGGACACTCCGCAGTCCGCAGAATACTCCCAGATCCACGTTAGGACTTGGAAAGCAGCTGGGTGTGAGAGGGCTTTGGGGTCCTGAGGGATTAGGCTGTGCTGAGCATCAGCCACCCCAGGAGGGGCGTGAGGAGAAGCACCTGCCAGGTCCAGCTGTACTGCCCTGGGCCGGCTGTGGGGAGAGGGACATGGGAGCAGAAGGAGGCTGAGGTGAGCTGGAACCCTGGACCAGGTCATTAGGTGGGTGCTCCCAGGAATGGCCTGGGTCAGACCCCTGTGGGCGCTCCAGGATGGAACAGGACATTACCGGAAACAGCGACATCACATGTCCCTTCTTGGAGGGAGCCAGTGGGTGTGGAGAGTGGTGCCCTAGGCAGTTAAGGACATCCCAGGTACCTCCCCATCTCCCACATGCACGGCCTTTTCAGGAGTCATTTCCAGGATCCAACATCCTCACCCGTATCCTTACATGCTGACATACCAGGGCCCAAGCCTGTTGCATGTGTTGGAAGCCAGATAAAGTTGATCCAAGAAGATTATTTGATTTTTCAATAAACCATTATTTAATAAATATATCATGATCTCCCAGTGGGCGCTAAGGCTTATCACGGGCACCAGTAGTTCCAAACATGGCATTCAAACCTTGCTTTGAGGTGCTCACGATCTAATAGGGGTATGTGGCTGGGTTAGTAGATTCTTTCTGCATGGTTTCAGAAGAGCCAAGGTGTGTGTAGGACACAAATGTACAATTAGAAACATGTTTGTTTCCAAGTGAGAATAGTTTAGCCGGACTTAGGTTTAAGGGACACAGCTGGAAGCAGGGGCTCTGGACCCAGCCAGCCTGGATATGAGTCTTGGCGCTGCCACTTCCTAGTTGTGTGATCATGGGCGAGCTTCCAAACTCCTTGTATCTCAGTTCCCTCATCTGTCAAACATGAATAGCAGTAGCATGTACTTCACGAAGCACATATAAGGACTGCATCAGGTAATATCTGTCAAGCACATAAACAATGCCTGGTACATAGCAAGTGTCATGGGAGTGTTTATTAAATCAGCAACTCCTGACCTCAGTAGTCACTGGTGTGTGTGCGGCTTCAGGATCCAGTAAGACAGCTCGTGGAAGGTTGGTAAAATATGGCCGAAACTTGTCCTCCACGGGGCTGTGAGGAACTTGAAGCACTTATCCCACTGCCTGGCACAGTAAATGATCTGTCAACTGTGTACAGTTATCCTCGTCCTTAAGGCTTCCCCTGATCCTCGGGTGCTCCAGAGGGTGCTGTTGCATCTGTCAAATGTTCTTACTTTCTGCAGCCTCCTAGTGTCCAGTCCTGGTGAAGCCCCTTCACATCCTGAATGGCTTCTGCCATCATTGTGCAGTGCTGGGCAGCCCGGGGTGGGTCACAGGCATTTTTTCAGTGGAGCTCTCAAATAACAGGTGTTTTGATTTCAAAGCTCAGTTCTTATCCACCACACTGGCTTACTGTGGGATGCAGAACTATTGCTGTGACAGCAATAATAGCATCCTCTCACTAGTACTTTACAGTTTATTCAGTGGGCCACAGAGGTTATCTCATTTGCTGAAACAAGTAACAGGACACAGTAGGCTTGAGATTCTGGCTTTTGATTGAGCCCAAGTCAAATTCCTGAGGAGTCTATTTTTAGAGTTCCCGACAGCGGACAGGGATGGCCCCTGCCCATGGCTTAAGCCTCCAATAGTGGTGATATCTCAGGGTCTAACTTCCACTTCATTCTGCTGTCATTTCGGAGCACAGTAGTTACAGTAATTTTTGAAAACAGAAAGCAACCAGGATAGCCTTGAAGAAGTAACCCCATACGAAGCAGGGGGATGGGGGCTTCGTACTCCTCCCATTGATTCCTTGACTAGTCACTAGAAGGAAGCTGACCCCGGAAAGGAAGTTTCCTACAACTGAGGGCCGTCCATGGAGAGGACCCTGGTTATCGGTCATCAACAAACAATACCTTTGGGGGAATGAGCGCCTCAGTTATAAAGCAAAGATCTTGGTAGCACTATACCATCCACTACAGTCCATCTTCTCTTGCAACAGTTAAACCTACATTTTTTTCTATTTTTTTTATTTATAATGTTTTGCGGTACATAGTAGCTGCATATATACTTATGGGGCACATGGGATATTTTGAGACAGGCATGCAATGCATAATCACATCAGGGTAAATGGAATATCCATCACCTCAAGCATTTATCCTTTCTTCGTGTTACACACATTTCAATTATACTCTTTTTTGTTATTAAAATGTACAATAAATTATGGTTGATTGTAGTCACCCTGTTGTATGATCAAATATTAGATTCATTCAATCTAACTATATTTTTGTACTCATTAAACATCCTTCCCCCCCCCCCCACTCCACTACCCTTCTCAGACTCTGTTAACCATCCTTCTACTCTGTCTCTATGAGTTCAATTGTTGCCATTTTTGGCTCCCACAAATCAGTGAGAATATGCAAAGTTTGTCTTTCTGTGCCTGGCTTATTCCACTTAACATAATGCCCTCCAGTTCCACCTTGTTGTTGTGAATGACAGGATCTCATTCTTTATTATTGCTGAATAGTACTCCATTGCGTATATGTATCACATTTTCTTATTCCATTCATCTGTGGATGGATGCTTAGGTTGTTTCCAAATCTTGGGTTTTGTGACCAGTGCTGCAACAAACATGGGAGTGCAGATATCTCTTCGATATCCTGATTTCCTTTCTTTTGGGTATATGCCAAGCAGTGGATTAACCCTACTTTTTCATGTAGAAAGTTCACCTCATTTGAGCACAACTCCTCAAGGATTCTGGTGATCCCTTACTAAAGAAGTTCACATGAGAAAGAAGAGTGTACAAACGATAGGCCCTCTGTGGCAGCTGGCCTCTAAGCCACAACTGATGATAATTCTGTTCCTTGTCTACTATCCATTCTAGAGTACTGTCGGTTTCAACCAGAATCTTTGCTGTTCTCTATTACTTACCCAATAGAGTAGTGCAAACCCTCATCCCGGAAGGTTCTGGGCTCCTGGTCCTCCACGACCTTCTCAGGCTGTGGCACTTACAATTGTCCCTATACTATAGAAATCTGGCAGGGGACTACGAAGACACATTCAAGGGGTCACTCGAGAGCCAAACATTCCTCTCTGTTCCCATTGTATAAGGGCAGCCCTACCTCCTCCTGATGATCAGAGCCAATATCCCTGCAAGCATGGCAACTCCTTTTTATGCTTGCTGGTCCTATAGCATGAGAAGCTCAAAGTGCCCAGATGGGAGCAATAGCTTGAAATTTAATGGAAAGAGTCCCATTAAATTGTTTTTTTCCAGGTGGAAGTAATCTTACTTTGGGAACCAATATATCTAGCCAGCACTGTCCAATAGGGTAACCAGCAGCCACATGTGACCATTGAGTATACAAACCTGGTTAGTGTGACTGAGGACCTGAACTTTAAATTTAATTTTAAATAGTGTAAACTTATGTGCAAATAGCTAAATGTGGCTAGTGACACCTTATTGGAAAGCACAGTTCTAGAACTACAGAACCTAAACTCATGTAGCAGAAAGTACAAATTCCCATACAGGTCACAGGGAGTGACAGTAAGTGAGGTCATTCCACCCTTTGGTATCTGCATCATGTATTCTATCTATTGATGGAAGAGAATGGTAATAGATTTAGGGTATATACAGTACAGTAGAGAATGACACCCCATCCTCAAGGCTGTGATCTCCAAATTTGCACCTCATTTGCACTGTGAAGAAGCCACTCCATTATTCCAGTAGACCAGTGGCTTTTGGGTGGCGCAGTATGAGATAACAACTTTAGATCATACGGTCATGTGCCCACTGAGCACTTCCTTTGCTATATGTGGGTCCCTTGGTCCCAGCTGATCGTATGGAGTATCCTGGCTCAGTGTATCCAACATTCTTTAAGCCCTGTGTTAGTGGTGCCCGACAAAGAAATGTGAGCAGGAAAGTCAAACTTATACCTGTAATGTGTACAAATTCCAGTAAAGATGAATCTCTGCTCCTTCCAGGATGGAATTTGCTGGACGCAATCAACAAGCCACAAGGGGCTGATTAGTCTCCTTAAGTAATGGTGCCCTACTGGGTATTCAGCACTGGCCTCTGTTGCTGGCAGTTTGAACATTTGGCAAAAATAGCTGGATATGCCTGGGTGAATGGGGACCCATGCTGTTGAACACATGCATAGCATCCACTTCTTCCACCGTGGCTATTGCACACATAAGGCCATTGTGTAGCATTAATGTGGCCAGCGACTGAGGCTGGCTAATGTCAACTAGTTAGGTCATTTTTTTCTTGATTAAACGTTTAGTGTCTCTTCCATGGTGAATGCTCTCTTGAGCCTTAAGACGTGATACAAATATCTTCACATATAGTGTCCCTTCTCATACGTCCATCAATAAACCTCCGTCCCCAATCCTGCTTATTGCAATCTGTCACTACTTCTCATTCTAAGTCCCTGAGCAGCTGTCCAATTTATTTTTCACTGTCCATAAGTCCATTCGTAGTTTGGGTCACTTCTTTTTTAGATATGAAGTGGATCATCAGATGCACCATTTGAAGCTCTGCCACCTGGGGATTTCTGCTCAACAATGTATTTCTTGACCACATACGATTGAGGTAGTATTACAACAGAAGTTCATTTTCAGGTTGCGCTCTAAATCCGGCCAAACCATCTATTATCTAAGCTCAGCACTTCTACTCCTCCAGCAGCTGGTCATAAGAGAACTTCCTGGTCCATTAATCTATAGGAATAAAAAAGAGCTGAAGGAGAGACACAGACACAACAGTGGCAGATGACATTGGGGATTAGGTCACCTGCTTGTAATCTATGGCCGTGCTGGTATCTGGTCCTGGATATGCTACTTCTATCTTATCACAGATTACTTTTGGAATCACCTGACTTTGTGGGTCTGACAGAACCTAGCTCATGATGATCAGTAGCGACATGCCATGTGCCTGAGGCCGTGGTGATCTGTTCTAGTGAAGATAACAAATCTGTTAAAGGCTCTTGCCATTGAGCTTGCAGTAGTGCAAAGTTGCAGTAGTCCCAGTGACCCATCAGGTTCTTGTAGGAGCCAGGCTGCTACCTTAAATTAAGATATGATGGGGATCACCACCCCTACATCCTTTAGGTATTAAGGGTGTCATTAACATTTTCCATCCCTCAGGATGCAATATTGTTTATTACTTACTATCATGGCCAAGGTGCAGGAAGTGCACTTGGCCTTCTCTACTCTGCTAGCTCTTCTACTAACAGCCACGGACCCAGTCAGGGTTTGTGCCCATTATCGAGGAAGTCCATTTCAATTTCCCATTTGGAAACTGGATAAATGGGCACTCTGGGTCAGACCTAGGCAAGAACTCCATTTATTCCTGGCCCACATTTGCTTCCACTCTAACAAACAGGGGGCCATGATGAAGCTTCAGGTCCTAGGTGTCAGTGTCAATGCAGATTCTGTGTCCAGCGGTCCTTGAAATGTTTGAGTGTTTTCCCCCTTCCCAGTGTTCAGTTACTGAGGTGAATAGACATAGGTTCCTTTGGAAACTGGGCTTGGAAAACCACTATTGTATCAACTTGCCATAGTATTGCAGGTGGTTTCCTCAAGAGGACTCTACCATTGTGTTATGTTCAGTTAATAAATTCTGTGTCTGAGAATTGGCTCAGGTCTGGAAACTGGGAGATGGATTAAAACTTTATTGGAGCAGTTTACCCAGCCTACTGCTTATTGAGCCTCGATTTCATGTGGGTATATAAGTTAAGCAACATACTTGTTGTCTGTTCTTCTATCTTGGCTCTAAAAGCACTGTGTTCTGTTAACAGAGTCTGCTCCTCTCTGCAGATGAGATTCCCTGTTTGCCACTCAAGTTTCCTGCTTATTATGATCATTGTGACCATCTTGCTTTTGAAATTTAAGTGCCACTTCCGTAGTCAAAGGGGCAGGTGGCCCAAAGCTTCCAGTTTGGGGTGAAATTGCAAGAAATAGAGACTCTGTAGACAGCATCTGCATAGCACCAACTCCAGAATTCACTGACCACAGGTGATGCTGTGGGCCCTGACCTCCCATGGCTTCCCAGGGTCTGGACTAGGGGAGAAAGTATAAATTTCACCAGAGCGCTATTCATGAACACACATGCGGCAGCTCCAGAAATTAAAACAAAACAAAACAAAACAAAACAAAAAAAACAACTGAGTCATGTTTACAAGAGGATAGAGACCCCGTGTCATGCAGGAGTGAGTGCAGTCAGTGAACTCTGAATTGTTAATGTTAACCCAACTTGGAAGAAAGAAAGTGCAATTGATTTTATTCATTGACATGATCCTGTATGCAGAAAATTCTAACAAACCCACCAAAAAGTATTAGAACTATTCAATGAGTTTAGCAAGTTCACAAGATACAAGGTCAGTACAAAAATTAGTAGCATTTCTATATACTAACAATGAATAAACCCAAAGTGAAATTAAGAAAATAATTGCATTAAGAATAAAATACTTAGGAAGAAATCTAACAAAATGAGTGCACAGCTTATACACTAAAAACTAAACAACATTCTTGAGAGGAGTGCAAGGGAATCTGAATGAGAGAGATGCATGCACTGTGTTCATGAGTCAGGAGATGCAATATTGTTAAGATGTCAGTTCTTTCCAAAATGATGTGTAGATTCTACATGATACCTATAAAAATTCCAGCAGATCTTTGTGTCGAACTTGACTAGCTAGTTCTAGAATTTATATTAAAGTGCAAAAGACCCAGAATAGCCACACGCATTTTGGAAAAAAAAAAAAAAAAAGCTGGAGAACATTTACTTGCCGATTCAAGATATAGTAATCATGACTGTATGGTTTTGGTATAGGAGTAGACATACAGATCAATGTAACAGAATTAAAAGTCTATAAATAAGCCCACATATCCTTGTGATCAACTGATTTTTAACAAAGGTGCTAACATATTAATTCCACGGGGGAAGGAATAGTCTTTTCAACGAATGGCACTGGGAAAATTGAATATCCACCTGCAAAAATATGAATTTGCACCTTTATAGCAGACCTTAGAAAAATTAACTCATAGGAGAAAATCTTCATTACCTTGGCTTAGGCAAAGTTTTATTAACATCAGCAAAGCACACTTTTGAAAAAAAATCAACAAATTGTACTTCATCAAAATTTAAAACTTTTTTTACTGGAAAAGTCACAATTAAGAAAATGGGCCAGATTTGGTGGCTCATGCCTGCAATCCCAGCACTTGGGAGGCTGAGGCAGATCGCTTGAGCCCAGGAATTCGAGACCAACCTGAGGCACATGGTGAAGCCTCCTTTTTACTAAAAATACAAAAATTAACCCAGCATTGTGACACGCGCCTGTAGTCCCAGCTCCTTGGGAGGCAGAGGTGGGAGGATCCATTGAATCTGGGAGGTTGAGGTTGAGGCTGCAGTGAGCCATGTTTGCACCACTGCACTCCAGCCTGAGCAACAGAGCAAGACTCTATTAAAAAAAAAAAAAAAAAAAAGGAAACATACGTCCATACAAAGACTTGTACAGGAATGTTCATCGAAGCATATTCACAGTAACTGAAAAGTTACAACAATCCAAATGTCCATCAACTAGTAGATGGATAAGCAACATATGCTGCATCTTTGCAATGCTGTTCAACAGTAAAAAGGAAAGGGCTACAGGTACATGGTACAGCATGGATTAAACAAATAAGCCATGTGATATAATTCCTTTTATATGAAATTTCCAGTAAAGGCAAATCATTAAAGATAGAAAGAAAGTGGATTAGTTGTTGCCATGGAGTGGGCTGGGCACGTGAATTAACTATAAGTGGGCATAGGAATCTTATTGTGTGATGGAAATGTTCTAAAACTAGGACTGTGGTGATGGTTGCATGACCTAGTAACTCTAGTAAAAAATCATTGATTTGTACATTTCAAATGGGTGAATTTTGTGGTTTGTAAATTATACATCAATAAAGTTTGAAAAAACCCAACAACCTAAGACTGGGCAACCTTGAAGACTTTAACTCTCAAGTTTGTCCACACTGAGCCTCCAGCAGTTCATCAGTTACAGTTTAAGTTTTCTGCACCATTACTGGCTCCAAAAGTGATTTCTGTTTCTGGGCTTCTGCTTCAGTAAGCTGTGATTCTCTGTATCCACCTGTCTAGCTCTCCAGTTTTGGGGGCACTGCTTTGCTCTGTGACCTTAGTTCTCCGATGAATCTGAGAAGAGTTACTGATTTCTGCTTTGCTCAGTTTCTGTTCTTGTTGTGAGGATGAGAGTGATGACTTCTAAGCTCCTTATATGCCAGACCAGAAACCAGAAATTTCCAATAAAAAGATATTTTCTTGTTTAATTTTGAAAGGTGATATTAAGCCTCTGCCTGGCACAACCTCTCTGGTCCTCCACAAGCTTAGGCCAACTCAGGACCCCGGTGTAGCCAGCCCTGGAGGGCCTCCACACCCTGAAGCATGAGGGACATGCCTGGAGCCAGCAGCTTTACAGAAGAGCTCTGGGGAGCAGGTTTCTGGGTGGGGGTTATAGAAGCTGTGGCTCAGCATCTGCAGCTGGAAGCTAACAAAGTGATGCATTCATTTGAGGTATTATCACAGAATGGGCTTGTGTACCTTGCAGCTGTCATCAAAAACCATCATTCTTCCAACAGTAACTTGTCCACAAACCGCATTTCCTCTTTGCCTCTGGAGCTGCATGAACTAGTAGTGGACTAGATTTTTGCCTGGATTCTATCTCTACTTGTGAGCAAGCGTTTTCCTTTAGTGGAAATTCCTTTATTCATAGTTGCCAAAAATTGGAAGCAACCAAGAGGTGCTCAATACGTGAATGAATTAATAAACGGTGGTACTTACAGACAATGAAATGTTATCAATAAAAATAAGTCAGGTCGGGTACGATGAGTCACACCTGGAATCCCAGCACTTTGGGATACCAAGGTGGAAGGATCGTTTGTGGCCAGGAATTCAAGACCAGCCTGAGCAATATACTGAGACCCTGTCTGTACAAAAATTTAAGAAAATAGTTGAGCGTGGTGGTGTGTGCCTGTAGTCACAGCTACTCAGGAGGCTGAGGCAGAAGGATTTCTTGAGCCCAGGAGTTCAAGGTTTATTATGGACAGTGAGCTGTGATGGTACCACTGCACTCCAACCTGGGTGACAGAGCAAGACACTGTCTGTAAACAACAACGATAAAAACAAACAAATAAACAAACAAACAAAAAACCCACGGAGGAACCTAGTGAAGAAGCCGGTCTGAGAGGACAACATATTGTGTGATTCCAACTGCATGACTTTCTAGAAAAGGCAAGCTGGAGAGACAGTTACAAAGATCAGTGGTTACCAGAGTTTTGGAGGCAGCAAGGGAGGGATAAATAGGTGAAGCACACATATTCATTGGGTGGTGAAACTGTAATGGTGGATACACAATATTATGCATTTGTCAAAACCCAAAGATCCTTGCAACACAAAGAGTGAACCTTCATGTAAACTACGGACTTTAGTTAAAAACAATGTATCAATAACGATACTAGTTCATTAATTGTGAAAAATGTAGCATACTAGCAGAGGATAATAATAGAGAAAACTTTGTACAGGGGACAAAAGGAGTATATGGGAAACGTACTATCTCCTCAATTTTCTACCAGTCCAAAATTTTTCTAATAATAAAGCCTATTCATTAAAAAACAACTAGAACTAAATATACAACTAACAAACAACCCAGCAATCACACACCTGGGAATTTATTTTAGAAAACTAACAACTTATATTCACACGAAATCCTGTACAAGAATGTTCACTGCAGCTTTATTAATAAGCAAGTACTGGAAACAGCCCAGATGTCCCTCAACAGACTAATGGTTTAAAAGACAACTGCTGGCCGGGTGCGATGGCTCGCACCTGTAATCCTAGCACTTTGAGAGGCCGAGGCGGGTGGATGACCTGAGGTCAGGAGTTTGAGACCTGCCTGGCCAACATGACGAAACCCCGTCTCTACTAAAAATTTAAAATTAGCCGGGCATGGTGGCGGGTACCTACAATCCCAGCTATTTGGGAGGCTGAGGCAGAAGAATCAGTTGAACCCGGCGGGGAGCGGAGATTGCAATGAGCTGAGATCACGCCACTTCACTCCAGCCTGGGTGAAAGAGCGAAACTCCATCTCGAACAAACAAACAAACAAAACCTGTGGTTCATCCAGGTCCCTTGGAATACTACTCAGCAATGAAAAGAAATAGACTGTTCATACACACAATAAGCTGGATGAATCGCCAGACAGTCATGCCAGATTTTTAAAAAGCCAGTACCAAAAGCTTACATAATTGTATGACTGCATTCAAATAACATTCTTGAAATGATAAAATGATAAAAATACAGAACAGATGAGTGGTGTTTCTAGGGGTTGAGGAGGAGAAGGTGGTGTAGGAAGAAAGTGGCTGTGGCTATAAAAGGGCAACATGAGGGACCCTTGTGGTGACTGTTCTATGTCTTGACTGTATCAAGTTAATATCCTAATTGTGATACTGTACTACACTTTTGCAAGATGTTATCATTAGAGGAAGGTACATAAAGGGTGCACAGGGTCTATCTGTATTATTTCTTACAACTGCATGTGAGTCTACAATTGTCTCAAATAAAAATTGAACTTGAATAATAATATGTAGACAATGCTCCCCTTTATTGCCTGCACGGGGGAGGAGCCACTCCCACACCCCATCCTTGGTAGCCAACTGCTCCATTCCAAAGGTATTTTTTAAGCGAGAGTGTTGCTGAATCAGTGTTGGATTTTCAATGTCCAAACACCATTAATTTAGTGCTTCAGAGTGCTGTTCATGATTTTTAGTAGGAAGGTTTTTGGTTTTTATGAGGGCAATTACTTTGTGTGCCTTTTATGGGGGGCGACGCTGGAACCATACACATAACTCCTCTCCCCAGCTGGGTCCACAGCCCTGCAAGCACACACGGATATACCAACCTTTTCCTCTTCTCCCATGGGCCAATGTGTTAAGGAGGAAATTTGTCTCCAGAATTCAGCCCCGACCCAATCCTTCTCCTATGTGCTTGGCTAACTGTGAATCAACCTGGCTGGGGTTGCCCATGTGACCCCAACCGGGCAACACCCACCTCCATCTCTTCCCACACACTACCTCTTCCCTCCTTCCTCTCTCCCCACCATCGGAGAACATGTAGACACACATATCAGTTTACAACAGACTCATTTAGTTTTCTTTTTTGATTTAGATTTATTGTTATTGATAAGGTTTATAATAACAAATTAAATATTTAAAATCAAAGGCCAATTATTAGGTCTCATTTAGTTGCTTATTTCATTTACTTTTATTTACCTTCCCCTAGTGTCTGAATAACTATCAAGAAACAAGTCAAACCTGTGAAAATACCTGTTAACATTCAACATATATTTTTATATATTTCTGTTCTATGAGTCATTTAATTTTCATCACCATGGAGCATGCCCTGCTGGGTATAAAATGTACCCTAGACCTTGTTGGCTATTTCTCTGGGGACTAGACCTCTGGTGACTTTGCAGATAGATCTCAGGTCTCTGGTATTGCCCTGAAATTACTGGCTGCCCAGGGGACACACTGGAGATGGTTTTGGTCCCGCTGTGGCTCGTTTTGATTGAGCTCCTCATTCAGCTGGTCACGGTGGCCTGGTAGTGTTGGCCTACTCCCTTCCTGGAGTTTTCCTCAAGCAGTGGTCATTTTGGGAGAGGCTTCTTTTCTGGAACGCCATCAAAGTGTTTCTTTTCCCTTGCTGGTTTGGGAACCTGAAAGGACAACAAGGAGATCACAGAAAGGCATTGCTTTTGGGGAAGTGGATGGAGGAGGGATGGAAAGACGGGTTTCATGAGAAGGGATACAGGCTGGGGTGGGGGGTTGTGTCAGGCCAGGATAGGGTAGAAGTCTTGGGAGGGAGGAGTCAAGGGGAAGACGAGGAGGAGCTTGGGTGGGTTCCTCACCTTGATAGGGCTTCTGGACCTTGATTGAGAAGGGGTCTTCCTCCTCCTCGCCTCTTTGGTGTTGGCAGGTGGTTGTTCCACAACTGGGCTGGAGGCTTATGGTTTCTTGGCCATCTTCACCTTGTCCTCGTCTCTCAATGGTCTACTCCAGGCCACCTGGCCTCCCCATATATACCCCTCCCAGGACAATGACGAACCACATCCCTAAGCTTTGACTAGTCAGAGAGCCACTACCCATCCAGTGGTGGCTCTGGAAGGCTTAAATATACAAAGCACCAACCTGACACCTCTGTGGTGATGGTGGGGGAGGGGTGGCAGTGAGGGGGCCAAGATGCTCTGGTTGGAGAAACGTAGCATTTCATTAGCAACCCTATACAGCCATCCAAACTAACCTGCTACCCTCTCCATCTCCCCATATTAAGTTCTGGTGGGTCACATCGTGGGGAGAGAGTGTTCCCTCCAAGCCTTCCCCCATGGCCACCTCATTGAGTGGCTCACTCCATTCTCTCCTACCCTTCACGATTATCTAATTTTTGTACATCTTACCAAAAATCCCTCCAAGGTAATATGGCCGATTTAGCTGTATGCAGAGATGTGAATCATCCCACTTCCCTCCTAAAAATTTATCCTATGTAACTTGAAGACCACTCACTTCTTGGTTACTGTCAGGGAAAAGTTCCATCCCGCATTCTTTTCCTAGTGTCCGTAGAGGTCCCTTCAGTTTTCTGTTTTCCAATCTGAAATCGCTGCCTTCAGGCTGTCAGGCTCTCATGCTGTAAACAGCCTTGTTCTACTGAGTATCTTATTAGTCTTGTTTCAACTATGGGCATTGTGTTCATCTCAGTCTGTGTAGTACCAGATTTGGGTTTTAACAGGAGGGATGAGGGAGATATTCATTTGCCAGAAGTTGTGCGGGGTGTTTGCATGCAGGAAACTACAACCTAAGACGTTTGAGTTCACAGAGGTGGAGTGGTTGTTCAACATTATACTTGTTGCTCAGTGCAACGAAGAAAGAAAAAGACCTCCAGATTGGAAAGGGAAAAGCAAAACCGTCTTTAGTCTATGCAGAAACCTGTACAAATCTAAAATAAAAGTGCTTCTAGAACTAATAATTGAATTTGGCATGGTCACAAGATAAAATATCAATACACAAAAATTAATTCTATTTTATATACTAGCAATGAGAAATTGGAAATTGAAATTAAAAACAGTATGATTTAAAAGTAACACTAGGCCAGGCGTGAAGGATCACACCTGCAATCCCAGCACTTTGGGAGGCCGAGGCAGGCGGATTACCTGAAGTCAGGAGTTCGAGAACAACCTGGCCGACGTGGTGAAACCCCGTCTCTATGAAAAATACAAAAATTAGCAGTGTGTGGTGGCGGGCACCTGTAATCCCAGCTACATGGGAGGCTGAGGCTGGAGGATCATTTGAACCTGGGAGATGGAGGTTGCAGTGAGCCGAGACCTCGCCACTGCACTCCAGCCTGGGCAGCAAGAGCGAAACTCCGTCTCAAAATAAAATAATAAAATAAAAGTAACACTAGAAAACATGAAATACATAGACATAACTATGATGAAATATGTAGAAGATCTGTACACCAAAAACTAAGAAATATTGCAGTGATAAATTAATGAAGGATAAATGCCTAAATAAAGTTTATTTTGGTATTTGTCTCCTAAATAAATGGAGATAGCTATCTTATTCATGAGTTGGAAGACTTACTACTGTTAAGATGTACATTCTTTCCAAATTCATATATAGATTCAATAAAATCCATATCAAAAACCTGAAAGACTTTTTTAAAAATAGAAATTGACAGGCTGGTGTTCACATTCATGTATAAGTACAAAGAACTTAGAGTAGCCAAAATAACTTTTAAAAAGACAACAACACGTGTATACCTGTGTAAGAAACCTGCACGTTCTGCACATGTATCCCAGAACTTAAAGTGTAATAAGTTAAAAAAAAAAGACAACAAAAGTTGCATGGGTTACACTACTTAATTTCAAGGCTTATTATAAAGTCACAATAATCAGAAGAGTGTAGTATTGTCATAACAATAGAAATGTGTCAATGGAACTAAAGAGAGAGTCTAGAAATATATTCACGTATATGTATTTATAGAGAATTCCTTATTGATTTGAATAGACAGTTCTCAAAAGAAGACATACATATAGCAAACAAGCATGTAACAAGTGCTCTGCCTGTTTGATCATCAGAGAAATGCAAATCAAAGCTACAGTGAGATATCATCTCACCCCAGTTAGAATGGCTTATATCCAAAAGACAGCAACAACAAATGTTTGCAAGGATGTAGAGAACAGAGAACTCCCATACACTGTTGGTGGGAATGTAAATTAGTATAACCACTATGAAGAACAGTTTGAAGGGTCCTCCAAAAACTAAAAATAGAGCTACCATATGATCCAGCAATCCCATTGCTGAGCATATACTCAAAAGAAAGGAAATCAGTATATCAAAGAGATATCTGTATTCCCATGTTTGTTACAGCACTATTCAAAACAGCCAAGATTCGGAAGCAACCTAAATTTCCATCAACAGATGAATGGCTAAATAAAATATGGTACATATACACAATGGAGTGCTACTCAGCCATCAAAAAGAATGAGATTCTATCATTTGCAACAACATGGATGGAACTGGAGATCATTTTGTTAAGTCACAACAGGGTGACTATGGTCAATAGTTTTTAGTTATTTTAAAATAACTAAAAGAACATAATTGAATTGTCTGTAACACAAAGAGTAAATGCTTGAGGGGATGGGTACCCCATTTCACATGATGTGATTATTACACATTTCATGCCTGTATCAAAACATCTCATGTACTTATGAGATGTACAACTACTATGTACCCACAAAAGTAAGAATTCTTTAAAAATGACACATAAAATGTTTTAAAAATGCTATTCCCACAATTGATTTTCCTTGTCAAATATTAATGGTACCCATTTTAGTCTAAACATCCTTGATAAAAGAAAAAACATAGGAAGACTCACACTTCCTGATTTCAAAATTTATGACAAAGCAACTGGTCAAGACAGTAGTGGTACAAGGATAGAAGTATAGATCCATGAAATAGAATTGAGAGTCCAGAAATAAACTCATGTCTCTGGGGACAACTGATTTTAATAAGGGTGTCAAGAGAACCCAATGGGGGAAAGAATGATCTTTTCAACAAATGGTGCTGGGGCAGCTAGATAAGCACATACAAAAGAATGAAGTTTGACCTTACCTCACAGTATATACAAAAATTAACTCAAAATGAACAAAAGACCTAAATATAAGAGCTATTACTATAAAATTTGCAGAAAACAACATAGGGGTATATCTTCATGACCTTAGATTAGGCAAATAATTCCTAGATATGACACCAAAAGCATGAACAGAAAAAAAATAGATAAATTGGACTTCACAAAGATTTTAAACTTTTGGGCTTCAAAGGACACCATCAAGACAGTGAAATGCCAACCCAGCTGATGATTGTTCTTCTCAGATTTCTCAAAACTACTCCTGTACATTGTCGTATACTCCCTCCCCCTCTGGCTTCTTTCCCCTGGGTTCCAGGGTCCCTGTCCCTAGTGGGCTGAACTCTGGATTCAGAGCTCTGAGTGCCAGCCTGCCTGGGGCTCTGTGGACTTGGTTTTGCATGTGGTCTCACTCATGAACTCTGACAATTGCTCTCCCCTGGATCCACCCAATGCCCCTCACGGGCTGAGCATGTCCTGTCTGCTCTCCTTCCGTGCCTCCTGGTCAGTCTGACTGAATCTTTTTTCCTCAAATGAAAAACATATGTTGACATTTCAAAATTTTAAATTTTAAATCATGCCCAGAGGAATAGTCTTACTTAGAACACTGCATAAATCCAGCTTCGTATGGGTAAGAAATTAACTTAGTGTTCTAATTAACCTAGCTAGAAAATGCAGAGACACAAATTAAAGTAACATTGAGAAAATATTTTTCACTCATATTTTTGATCAAAATTTTAAAATTAATATAGTAAAATGTTCACGAGAGTATAAAATATCCACATACATTAATGCCAGATCTGACTGGCAGACGCTGACCGAGCGATGGATAAAAAATGTACTCAGACACAGGTATCCAGTGAAAGAGAAGGCTAGGGGACTGGGCCATTCACATAAAGAGTTGTAGCAGCCATGGCCCCAACAAGCCGGCACTGCGGGCAAATATTCACTACAGATTTAATGACAAAGGCTTTGAGTCAACACATCTTGTGGGTAATTAACATGGCCGCCCCCCAGAGAGAGCAGTCCTGCACACAGATGGTTAAAGGCCAGGTTTCGGGCCTAAGTAAACTAACTGATCTAGATCAATTCCTTTACACTTCCTTGTTATCTGCTTTTTGCTCTCTGGCTTTGGATAAGAGACTTTGGCTGCCTTCAGCCAAATTTTTGAAGCTTTTGCAAAACCTCCTGGCCTTCCAAGGCTTGTGTTTTTCCTATAATTCCTTCTTATAATTTCTCCCACCACCCTGACCTATCTCTTACATCTCCCCCTTTTCTGTTTTTTTGCATCAGATTTTGTTGATTGAAGAGCACAGATGTGTACAGCAACATGTTTGTCTGGCACAGCGGTTATAACTCATATTCTGGCTTTGAATCCTAGAATTAGTAAATAACATAAGGCAAACATGAGTATAATTCACAACGTTCTTTTCCAATCAAGGAGTGACCCCCAGGAGTGGGGATCTATCCAGGAGAGATGTTCTCTCATACCCTTCCGTATGGCTATTTGTTGGGCTTGTAGGTCTATGGCGTTTAGGGATTCTAGAATTTTAGTTTTAAGTTGCTTTACGTCTGCTGTTAAATTATCACGAAAGGTTCCCCAGAGGTGCTGTTTCACCTTATCCCAACTATGTATTGATTGATTCCAAGGTAGAGAGGTAACACAGATGTGCCTAAGCTCCCAGTCACAGTTTAATTGCTGTTGGAACGCAAGTGCATCTTGTTGCTCCCCTACATATTCCAAGTCAGCCTCAAGGGCTTGCAGATGTGCAAGAATCTTTTGATCTATACCCTGCTGTAAGAGAAGTACATCAGACACATTTCTGGCCAAATTATCTACAAAAGTAGCTGTCTGTACTGATTCAGTAATAGATGCTACAGCAACACTAGCAGTTGCTAGGATGACTATGGCTGAGACCATAAAGGCTATAAGTGTAACTATAAATCTTTTGCGTCTGACCTGGGACAGGGCACATTCTAAGGTGGCAAGGGCAGAGGAACCTTGCCAATTGCATGTTAAATTGACCGGTAGGAAAGCCTCAGATTGTCTCCTCAATACCATGACACTAGCAATATTTAAATTAGATATATTATAATTAGTGATACAAGAGATGAACCAAGCCTGTCCCTGCATTCGAGTCACAAACGTGGAGTTTTGGGGTGTAATAGAAATATTGGTTCCCATAAGGAAAACATATGGATGGGTAGTGCAAATCAGGCAAATCAGGCACTGATCGGTGTGATTATGAAAAAAGGTCATAGTATAATTGTGACTGGAATTATGATATGTCCCATGCCAGGTGTTAAGGGAAGTGCTAAGATGTCCCAGGTGCCATAAAGTGTCTTGGGGTGGCATGGACTCTACTTGGGGTCTGGGATATCCCTCCCCCCATCGGCCCAAATTATAGGGGAACGGGATGTGGCTACAAAACTGCCATTGATGCCAAGATAGACATGGACATCAATACGATCGCCCTGCAAATGGCTGGGAGGACTCCAGTCTAAGATGTTATAATTGCTTAACTGGAGGCTACAGGCCTGTTCCCCGTGACAGACCTCCCAGCTAAAGTGGAATCCGTTACTTTCCCAGCTTTGTTCTTTAGCACAGGGAGGAATGTTTGGGAAAATGGCATTGATTGCATTGCCTGGTTTGAGGCTACCTGCTACTAAGACTGTTAAAGCATTTCCTTTGCCACAATGTAGCCAAAATTGTGTTTGAGCAGGTACACAGTAAGGGTTAGAACTTTTATAACTTACACACAGTGGGAGGATAGTGGAGTGATATGTAGTGTTACCTGGCACCTTAGTCCACTGTGTGCCATTAATGAGGGACCCCACTAGGGGTAAATCTATCTCTCCCAGCCAAGCAGTTATGTTATTAGAGGCTGGGAAGGGGGTGTCTGCCCAGGTGATGGGGCAGAAGAAGGGCAGATCTAAGCGATGAGTCCAATAGAGTGCAGCAGGTGCAGATTGCAGACAAAGCGAGAGCATAAAAAGGATCAATGCCCTACATGAGTTGCAATGTACAACAGAGAGCATAGCAAGGAACAAATTATCTGGAGTGAATGGTGTCTGTGTCCGGAGCAGGATTCGCTCGGCCTCCTGAGTTGTCTTCTTCAGCATCCCCCAGGTAATGTCTGGGGCTTGTGTCATCCGAGGAAGCAGTATTGTCTGGGGCTGCGGGTCCTGCAGGGTCATTTTCTTCATTTCTGGTATGGGTTGGGTCCTAGTCATGCCATGGTATGGTTTGATGCATCCTGCTGGAATCCAAAGAGGATCTGAGGGGGTGTGAACACAAGCATATCCTTTCCCCCATTTAAGCAATTCATTTGGACCATACCATACATTACTGTTTACAACTTTCTGTAAAACAGCAGGTTTTATGTCTTGAGAGGTTTTAGCAAAGTGCTTTTCTACAGCTGATGGAAATTTATCTTTAAATTTAAAAAATTAAGGGTAAATAAGGCTTGTGCCAATAGTGTTGCAGTGTCCTTAACTCATATTCCCCCTTTTTTGTTTTTTTGAGCATATTTTTAAAGGTGAAATGGACATGTTCTACTATGGCCTGTCCTTGGGGGGTTATGCGGGATGCCTGTGGAATGTTGGATGTTCCACATGTGACAAAATTGTTGAAGCTGTGAGCTGGCATAAGCCAGACCGTTATCAGTTTTATTTTTTGTGGGCCGCCCCATAAATGCAAAAGTTAAAAGAAGATGTTTAATGACATATCGGGTGGACTCTCCAGGAAAGGCATGAGCACTAATTACATGAGAATTGGTATCAATGGACACATGTACATATCTTAGTTTTCCAAATTCAGGGATGTGTCTAACATCTGTTTGCCATAACTGATTAGGTTCTAGTCCTCTAGGGTTA
This sequence comes from Homo sapiens, assembly GCF_000001405.40. Lineage (NCBI taxonomy): Eukaryota > Metazoa > Chordata > Mammalia > Primates > Hominidae > Homo > Homo sapiens. The sequence continues at coordinate 149,678,675 of NC_000023.11, forward strand.
ACACCTGTAGAAGGAGGGGATGTGCCTGTGAGCTGGCAATCTGGGCATTGCAGGATAATTTGTCTAGCTACTCTCTGGATAAGTTGAAATCGTTTGGATAAGTTTCTCCAATTTTGGTGGGAAAATTGATGTTATTGGGTGGATTGGTTAAGCCGTGATGTCACCACTTGTAGGTCTGCTTGTTCATTGTCATAAGCCAGTGGGCCAGGCAGTGAGCTGTGGGCTCGAATATATGTGATAAAAATAGGATGTGTACGTTGATCTAGCAATTGCTGAAGTCGAACAAAAAGTGCACACAGTGTGGGCTCCAGAGTGGACTTAATGAGGGTTGTTTCAAGGTTCTGCAGTAAATAAATAGAGTAAGCAGGGTCACTAACAATATTGATGGGTTGAGCGAAAAAATTCTCGAAGGCCAATATTAAGGCTCCAACTTCAGCTCTCTGAGTGCTAGTAAATCCAGAATGAATGAGGGAATTATGCGGTCTCCACCAAATAGCCGCTGTTCCATGTTTACCAGAGCCATCGGTAAACAGTGTTAAAATGTTAGGTATGGGGGAGTGAGCTATTTTTGCAGGCAAAACCACAGAAGTATGAGATAAGAACTGAAGTCATTTATCAGCAGGAAGGGCATGCTCTACATGGCCTGTGTAATCAGAGAGTGCTGTTTGCAGGCCTAAAGATAAAGGCAATACTGCTTCGAATTGCTTTTTACTCAAAGGAATTCTGATGACATCAGGATCATAACCTAGCAACCTATTGCATTGTCTGCGGCCTGAATGGATGACTTTACTAATTAGCTGGATATATAGAGAGAGTGTTTTAGTCCTATTATGTGGGCAAAAAACCCATTCTAGAAAGTGCAGCCCTGGGCCCATCTGTCCTATTAATCCTCTTGGGGAATGTTTAGTGGGAAAAACAAACAACTGAACTGAATATCATGGATCTATGCAATCTAGTTGCCTGTGAGAAATAGCTTGCTCTACTCCCTCAATTTCCCTTTATGCTGCAGGAGTTAAGTGCCTAGAAGAGTCTAGAGCAGCATTGCCTTTTAATATAGAAAACAGGTTTTGGAACTTATAAGTAGTTATGCCTAAGGTGGGGCGAAGCCAGTTAATATTGCCTAGTAATTTCTGGTCATTATTTAAGGTGTGTAAGTTGCTAGTATTTAATTTAACCTTTTGAGGTTTTGCTGACCGGGAAGTTAGTATGTGCCCAAGGTATTTCCTAGGAGAGGACATTTGTACTTTTTCAGGTGCTATGATTGAACCTCTTAACTGCGTGTTCTTTACGACAGAGGAATATAAACTTAAAAGTACTGGCTCTGTTGGGGCTGCTGGTAAAATATTATCCACAAAATGAATAATCTTGCAATTAGGAAATTATTTTCTACTGGGGAGCAAAGCTTGATTTACATGTTACTGACACATGGTAGGACTGTTCAGCATTCCTGGAGGAAGCACTTTCCAATGAAATCTGCAAGCTGGCCTTTCATTATTGATAGCTGGTATTGTAAACGCAAATTTTTCTCTGCCCTGTTTTGCAAGGGGAATAGTACAAAAGCACTCTTTTAAGTCAATAACAACTGTAGGCCAATCTTGAGGAATCGCCGTGGGGGAAGGGAGCCCCTGTTGAAGGGGCCCCATAGGTTACAAATTAGCATTAATAGCACATAAGTCATGCAAAAGTCTCCATTTACCAGACTTTTTGGGAATGACAAAAGTGGGCAAATTCTAAGGGCTATTTGATGGTTCTATATGGCTGGCTTTTAATTGCTCCTCAACTAGTTCATGGGCTCTTTGTAATTTCTCTCCCTTTAAAGGCCACTGTTCTACCCAAACTGGATCTAGAGAGAGACACGTGAGGGGTAGGGGAAGAATTACAACAGTGGCCATTATTAGAAAGGGGTCTGTAGAGTGATCCCCACATTGGGCTAATAGGTCCCGCCCCCAAAGATTAACAGGGATGGACATGATTAGAGGTTGTATAACTGTTTTTCTTCCCTCCAAATCGCAACATATTAGGGGGCGTGTGCTCTGCTTGGCTGTGTGCGCTTCCCCGATGCCGACAATTTTTCGTTTCTGAGTGACCGAAGGCCAAGTTTCTGGCCAGTTTTGATCGCTAATGATTGAAATATCCACCTCTGTGTCCAATAAGCTAGTAACATTTTTATTTCCAATTTTTAAGGTAATCATGGGTCTCTGATAAGCGATTAATTGGTTCCAATATACTCCTGTGGCTCCCGTGCTTCCAAAACTTCCCTTTCCCCTTTCTTTTCCCTGGGCTTTGGGGACCCAGTATGGTAAGAGTATTAACTGGGCTATCTTTGATCCAGGGAGAAGAATATGCAGACCTTTACGTTCCATCATAACTAATATTTCACTTTGATAATCACTATCAATTACCCAAGTGAGCACATTAATCCCTTGACTGGATAGCCTTGATTGCCCTAGGACAAACCTTGGCTGGTTTGGCTGGAAAAAGAGCAATAGCAGTGTTTATTTAAAGAGACAGTACACTCTGGAAGACAAATCAGAGTGGGCTGTTGAAAGAGAGAATGAGCCAGCAGCAGCTAGTGCTGGGGGACTCTCTTTATGAGAATCTTACATGATTATTCATGAAGGGGCATGACGGAATGTCACTTGCAATCATGTTTTATGTGGTCCCCTTGACCGCACATGCTCTGTGGTTGTGCATACTAGTACACATGTGGCATGTCTCATTAGCATTTAAAGTCTCCACCCCAGGGTGTGTTTTTCACTATTATAATAAGCAAAAGGCTACTCCAGGGTGATTTATGGGAGGAGTGTGCATGCTCCTCAGTAGGAAAAGTCCCTACCATTGTTGCCTCCAGTTAGGGCCTGGTAAGACCCCTTCTGGGCTGGAAGAGCCTAACCACAAGGCCAGCTGTAGCCAATATAGCCATTGGTTTTTATTTTTATTTTTATTTTTATTTTTTTCTGATTGTCAGTGGGCAGTGTCTCCCAGGACTTCTTTTCCCAGGGACTCCCTTGCCTGCTCATTTCTGGCTATCTGCCTACTCTAACAGGTATACATAATATAAATCGGTAACTAAAAAGTTAATACAGGGCTTCTAACTTCAGCCCTGACTGTAAAGGTGTTGAACACTGACATGGTCATTTTTACTACAAAAATATGCTTGGCAAACTGAAAATCAGTTATTTTTCTCACACATACTAAGGAATTGATGTTGCAGGGCAAATTACCACCCAAAATCAGGAGAGTCAGGTACAAAGAGGCAAAGCTAAGATATACTTATCAGGAGTAGACAATTCTGGGTCTGTAACCTAGTAAAAAACCTTTAAATGGTAATTGAATGAAATTTTAGATGCTGAATGTGGAGTACCATGAGAGTGATAAATTACTTGGCAGCCACAGTCTTGGGAGGCAAATTGTTGAGTGCTTTACCTCCAGGAGCATCAGCGAATTCTCACCGTGAAGGTCTGAGCAAGCTTCTCTCATTCATCTGGGCAGGAGTAGGAGAAAAATAGCTATTGTGAAAAACACTCAGAGCCTTCTCCATAACAAAGGTGTTCTCCAGCAGTAAAAGGCTTTGCCATAGCGTCATCCCAGCTTGGGGAATGGCATTCCTCCCACTGCAAACTTCTAGCTTTCTTGTCTTACCTAAAGGATATCAAATTGAGTTTGATCTAAAGCTTCCCCTCTACATATTTGAAGGTTGGCCTAAAGATTCCTCTACACATAGTGAAGTGTAACCTAACTTGAAGTATAGACAGATTGTAATATACCTTGTAACAAGCAACTGAGTCTTAGTCAACCACAGGCAGCCAACTGTTCAAAGCAGGTTCAAACAAGGCAAATCCCCAGCTGTTGCCAATCCAGTTCTTTCTGTACGTCATTTCTGTTTTCTGTATATTACTATCCTTTATTGGTTCACAAATATTATCTCACCACGTGGCAACCCTGGAGTTGCTCTGAACCTATTTTGGTTCTGGAGCTGCCTGATTTGACAGTCTTTCTTTGCTTAGGAACACAGGAGTGAGCAAAAGGATTTGGGGGAAATGGGGCAAAGAAACTATACTGCTGGTGAAACAGTCACGAAGGCCACAACTCAGAGACACATATTCAATAAGTCCTGCAATTCAATCATAAGATTAAGAATGATCCTGTTATAGGACCAACAGGTTCATGTGCTCACTGAGCAGTAACAGTTGAATACGCTAAGACAGCAAAGTTTGCAGAAGAGAAAGAGTTTAATCATCACAGGGCCCTGAGTAAGGAGATGGGAGGAGACCCCCAAATCCATCTCCCCAAGGAGTTCTGGGATGAGATTTTTGTCAGGCCTCTGAGCCCAAGCCTGCACATATACATTCAGATGGCCTAAAGCAAGTGAAGAATCACAAAAGAAGTGAAAATGGCTGGTTCCTGCCTTAACTGATGACATTCCACCACTGTGATTTGTTCCTGCCCTACCTTAACTGAGTGATTAACCTTGTGAAATTCCTTCTCCTGGCTCAGAAGCTGCCCCACTGAGCACCCTGTGACCCCCGCCCCTGCCTGCAAGAGAAAACCCCCCTTTGACTGTAATTTTCCACTACCCACCAAAATCCTATAAAACTGCCCCACCCCTATCTCCCTTCGCTTACTCTCTTTTTGGAGTCAGCCCGCCTGCACCCAGGTGATTAAAAAGCTTTATTGCTCACACAAAGCCTGTTTGGTGGTCTTTTCACATGGATACGCGTGACAGTTTTTAAGAGGATCATGGAGGGCAAGGGGCTGAAAGTTGGAGTCGTTGATTGTTTGGGGTAAGAGGGATGAAGTCATCAGGATGTGGAAACTGCATTCTTCCGTGAGCCAGCTCCTCCTGGGGTCCTTCAGACCAGCTACAATCAGTAGGTTTCACTGGTATGAAGGATTGGAAAGAATATCTCAAAAGGAAAACTTAACGTTTCAGAATGTTTAAGTTGCTATCTATAGAGCAATTATGGGGACCTATAATCTGATAACAAGGTCTGTGTGATTTTGAGGCAGAGACAAATGACTATGAGGAGTGGGTCAGAGAGCAAGCTAACCTAGTGATTAATGCTGACTGTGCTGAAAGCTTGGTTTGTTTTCATTTCTCCTCCTCTCTTCTTCCCTGATTAATTGTATAACATTTACAAAGATGGTTTCAATTCTTTCCCTAACACCTTACAACCACATTGATGGTGGATTACAATGGATGATACAACCACATCGACAGTGGATTACAATGGATGAAGAGCTAGAAGACAGAGGCTTAATTTAATTGGTAGTTATTAAGAAAACCAAAGACAATAGGAGGGAGACAAAAAAGAATACTGCAGGGCATTGAAGGCTTTGGCACCTACAGCTGCAGCAAACATTAAGCCCTGTCCAAGACCTAGTCAAATTAACAGAAAGTATCACACTAAAAGCTTTTCATCTTGGTTTACTATTACCAAATACATCACATTCAGTTTTTCACAAAAACTTCCACAGCATGACGCAAGGCAAGGAAAAAGAGCCTGAGGTGACAAAGCAAGTTGCAAAAGCAGACTGAGTATAACACAAATTTTATACTTATAAAATATGAATATAAAATATCAGTGATTCATATGTTTAAGGTCTAATAAAAAAAGTAGACAACACACAAGAATAGATGGGAAATGACAGCAAAGAGGTGAAAACTGTATTAAATAATCTAAAGTGAGTGCTAGAATTCAAAGGTAATGTAACAGAAATGAAGAATGCCTTTGATGTAGCCTTATTTAAAACTGAGTACTGAGCATATAAACAAACTTTCCTAGGTGGTCAAAACCATAGCCTCTCTCACAGTGGTACATGAAGAAAGACCATGGAAATCACTGTGCAGTAAACATCTTCTGACACGAAATTCCCATTTATCTTTACTTCGAGAAGGGTTTGGTCAGTGATATGGTTTGGCTGTGTCCCCACCCAAATGCCATCTTGAATTGTAGTTCCCATAATCCCCACGTGTCATGGGAGGTATCCGTGGGAGGTGATTGAATCATAGGAGTGGTTACCCAGATGCTGCCGTTCTTGTGATAGTGAGTGAGTTCTCATGAGATCTGATGGTTGTATAAGGAGCTTCTCCCCCTTTGGCTGGGCACTTCTTGCTGCTGCTATGTGAAGAAGGACATATTTGCTTCCCCTTCCACCATGATTGGAAGTTTCCTGAGGCCTCCCCAGCCCTGTGAAACTGAGTCAATTAAACCTCTATTCTTTATAAATTAACCAGTCTTGGGCAGTTCTTTGTTTTTTTTTTTTTTTTTTGAGACGGAGTCTCGCTCTGTCGCCCAGGCTGGAGTGCAGTGGCGGGATCTCGGCTCACTGCAAGCTCCGCCTCCCGGGTTCACGCCATTCTCCTGCCTCAGCCTCCCGAGTAGCTGGGACTACAGGCGCCCGCCACTACGCCCGGCTAATTTTTTTTGTATTTTTAGTAGAGACGGGGTTTCACCGTTTTAGCCGGGATGGTCTCGATCTCCTGACCTCGTGATCCGCCCGCCTCGGCCTCCCAAAGTGCTGGGATTACAGGCGTGAGCCACCGCGCCCGGCCGGGCAGTTCTTTATAATAGCATAAGAATGGACTAATACAGTAAATTGGTAACGGGTAGTGGCGAGCTGTTGTAAAGATACCAAAACTGTGGAAGCGAATCTGGAACTGAGTAACAGGCAGAGGTTGGAACAGTTTGGAGGGCTCAGAAGTCAGGAAAATGTGGGAAAGTTTGAAGCTTCCTAGAGACTTGGAGAGCTCAGGAGACAGGAAGATGTAGGAGTTTAGAACTTTCCAGAGACTTGTTGAATGGCTTTAACCAAAATGCTTATAGTGATATGGACAATGAAGTCCAGGCTGAAGTGGTCTCAGATAGAGATGACAAACTTGTAGGGAACTGGAATAAAGACGACTCTTGCTATGCTAGCAAACAGACTGGTGGCATTTTGCCCCTGCCCCAGAGATCTGTGGAACTTTGAACTTGAGAGTGATGATTTAGCGTATCTAGCAGAAGAAATTTCTAAGCAGTAAAGCATTCAAAAGGTGAAAGAGCATATAAATTGGAACATTTGTAGCCTGACAATGCAGTGGAAAAGAAAATCCCGTTTTCTGGGGAGAAATTCAAGCCAACTGCAGATATTTGCATAAGTAACATGGAGACAAATGTAATCACCAAGACAATGGGGAAAATGTCTCCAGAGCATGCCAGAGACCTTCACGGCAGCCCTTCCCATCATAGGTCCAGAGGCTGAGGAGGGAAAAATAGTTTCCTGGGCCAGGGCCACCATACTGTGTACAGCCCAGGGACTGGGTGCCCTGTGTTCCAGCCCCTCCAGCCGTGTCTACAAGGAGCCAAGGTACAGCTCGGGTCATGGCTTCAGAGGGTGCAATCACCAAGTCTTGGCAGCTTCCCTGTGGTGTTGAGCCTGCCGGTCCAGGGAAGTCAAGAATTGAGGTTTGGCAACCTCTGCCTACTTCAGAGGATGTATGGAAACTCTTGGATGTTCAGGAAGAAGATTCTTGCAGGGGTGGGGCCCTCATGGAGAACCTCTGCTAAAGCAGTGATGAAAGGATATGTGGGGTTGGAGCCTCCACACAGTGTCCTCACTGGGGTATTCCCTAGTGGAACTGTGAGAAGAGAACTACAGTCCTCCAGATCCCAGAATGGGATCTTCCTTGAGGGAAGTTGGGTGGGGGGTTGTACCCTGCAATGCCACAGGGGCAGAGCTGCCCAAGGCCATGGGAGACCACCTCTTGCATCAGCGTGACCTAGATGTGAGACATGAAATCAGAGGAGATCATTTTGGAAATTTAAGGTTTAATGACTGACCTATTGGATTTTGGACTTGCATGGGGCCTGTAGCCCCTTTGTTTTGGCCAATTTCTCCCAGGTGGAATGGATGTCTTTACCCCCATTGTATCTAAGAAGTAACTAACTTGCTTTTGATTTTACGGGCTCATCGGCAGAAGGGACTTGCCTTGTCTCAAATGAGATTTGGAAGTTGTACTTTTCAGTTAATTCTGAAATGAGTTAAAACTTTGGGAGACTGTCAGGAAGGCATGATTTTGTTTTGAAATGTGAGGACATGAGATATGGGAGGGGCCAGGGGCAGAATGTTGTGGTTTGGCTGTGTCCCACCAAAATCTCATCTTGAATGGTAGTTCCCATAATCCCTATGTGTCATGGGAGGAACATGGTGAGAGGTAATTTAACCATGGGGATGGTTACCCTCATGCTGTTCTTGTGATAGTGAGTGAGTTGTCTGATGGTTTTATATGGGGCTTTTTCCCCTTTTGCTCAGCACTTCTCCTTGCTGCCACCATGTGAAGAAGGACATATTTGTTTCCCCTCCTGCATGATTGTAAGTTTCCTGAGGCCTCTCTAGCCTTGTGAAACTTTGTGTCAATTAAACCTCTTTCCTTTATAAATTACCCAGTCTCTGCCAGTTCTTTATAGTAGCATGAGAATGGACTAATGCAGTCAGACTGACCAGATGGCAGGGAAGGAGAGAAGACAGGACACCATCAGCTCATGAGGGGCATTAGGAGGATCCAAGAAAGGGCAACTGCCAGAGTCCATGAGAGAGACCACGCACACAACCAAGTCCACAGAGCCCCAGGCAGGCTGGCACTCAGAGCTCTCAATCCAGAGTTCAGCCCAGTGGGATCAGGGACCTGAGGGATATAAGGGGAAAGGCAGTAGGGAGGACAGGACAATGAGCAGGAATAGGCTTGGGAAATCTGGGAACCATAATCTCCAGCTGAACATGGCCACGTGATGTGAGTGAGCAGGCCCGGTAGCTGAATGCACCAGGGCATTTCATCTGCTTTCATCTGTTTTCATCTGCTTTCACACCACAACAATCAACACAGAAGACTTCTGTGACTGAATGTATGGGGATTTCTCCTCACCAAAAAGCAAGAAATCAATTCTACAGCAGACACCAGCTAGGTGCCTTTTAATTCAATTCCATTCTGACGCTATCTATCTGGAGATAGCATCAGATCCACAGGTTGAGGACTCAGTCCCACAACAGTGCCCTCTCTTCAGATGCTAGTCAAAAGTCCAGGCCTCTGGAACTTCTAACTGATTGGCTTCAACTTCAGGTTGTCATGACCCCTTCTTTAGGCTTGATTTGCTGGATCAGCTCACAAAACTCAGGGAGATATTTATGTTTACTGGTTTATAACAAAGGATATTTTAAAGGACACAATGAAACAGCCATATAAAGAGGTACATAGGGCGAGTTCTGGAGGGTCTGCCCTGCAAGGGCTTCTGTTCCCATGCAGTTGGGGTGCAGCACTCTCCTGGCACGTGGATGAGTTCTTATGCACCTTTCTGGAAGCCTCCATGAATTCAGCTGTTCAGAAGCTCTCAATATCCTGTCCTCCTGACCCTTTTACTAAGACTTCATTGGATAGGCATGATTGAAGCATGGACAGATGTGTAGAAATATGATTGGACAGAAAGATATAACCTAATACTAAGAGACTGAGTTGGGAAACCAGCAAGGCCTGTCTGTTCAGATTCTTCCTGTTCTCCCTGAGCAGCATTGTGTCCTCCAGGGTATGGGTCAGGACCTCTTCTGAAATGGGAGTTTAAGACCTACAATCAGACAAGGTAGGTCAGAGAATTTCTTTATGACCAGCTCTAAGACAGGTGAGGAGAGATGACTGTTTTTAGTTTCTATGGCTTGTCTTAGGGAGAAAAAGAAGAAGGTGAAAGGGGGGCAAAAGAAAGTTAGAAAGCGAGATTGTGTTTTCCGAGGTCTCCTTCTGAGGCCTAAAGCACTCCAACATTACAACAGAAGACTGTCTTCCACCTTTACTATTCCGAAGCTGTTCTGAAGCTGCTTCGGGAACCAAAGACAACAGGACAAATATTTTAATGAAAGATATTCGTATTGTTTTACTCACTTAGGAAATAACAAGATCTATAAGAATGTCAGGAATCATGGAGTGATATATGTATGTACATATACATATACACATACATATACATATACATATACATATACATATACATATACATATACATATACACATACACATACATATACATATACAATTAGCCTACATTAAAATTTCCCCATCTCCTGTCAGGAAGGGTATAGCTGGCTGCCTGAGTCATTCTCTTGATCACTGTAGTAATCCTGTGCACTCTCACCAGGGCAGGGAGCTGTCTTGACCCCCAGTGGAGGCTGACAATTTTTTTCCTGTGTACACTGGACCCCTTTCATAGAGGTGGGTGCTATGCAAGTGGAGCTGGTGACTGATGGCTGACCATTGATACAGGCTAGGAATACCAATGAGCAAGGTAAGGGAATGTGCATCTGCAAGGAGGGGTAAGCTGGAGTGGGAATGCCCAGGACCAACTAATTCAGTAACTATAGATAAAGGGCTATGAAAAATGATCCAGATGATGTTCCCAGCTCAGAATGCCTCCCATGGTTTCTGCGTCCTTGTCACAACAGAGAACCTGTGTCCTGTGACTATAAAAGTGGGTCTATATGTCAGCAGATAATGTCTGGAATAGAGGATTGGTTTAAAGTGCAGATATTTGGAGGGTAGATGGAAAACCCATGGAGATGGTACACACTTCCTTGTTAAACCTCTTCTAATCTAGTGTGTTCTAGGCAGCTGGCAACTTTGCAGTAACTAAAGTCAGTGAAGCAAAGGGCTGAAAGCAATATTAGGCACAAGTAGAGGATGCCAGGACACCACAATGCATCCCATATCTCACTAGTAGACCATGGTTGCCAAATTTTAGACATAGAATCCCTTATTTTAACTGAAGCCTTCCATAGAACTCCAATTTATGAACATTAGAAGGCAGAGCAGTCTGGCTGAAGTGAGCACTCTAGTCCCAGAGTCCTGTTCGCCCAGCATCCTTTCTCCCTCCTTTAGGCAGTGGGCCCTGATGCCTTACCTGCTACAGAACACTGGGGATGCCCCTGCACTGCTGGGAAAGCCCTGTGCTAGAAGACCTTCCTCAAAGGTGGGCTTCATCATGCCCCTGCACAGGCACATATCTATGTGGATGCCATTCTGCCCAATGCACTGAATCCCAATTTTGCTTCCTGGCTCTCCAGCCCTGCCAACAACTGATAGCCCCCAATCTTTTTATCATCAGCATACCTCACCATGTCACCTCTTGTTTACCCAGTTCTTCATTGTCCTACCCCTGACCTAAACACACGTAGGCACACACTGTTCTTCTACATATTTATCTATTCTCTATTCTCAAAATGGGACTGTTTACCCTCCCTCCCTCCAATCCACTATCCCTCTGAGAATTTTGCAAGGATCTTCCTTAGTGTTGGCCCCAATCTCTGTCTCTAACCTCATTCCTAGCCCTGCTTCAGCCTCTCCTCCGGGAAAGAGGCCCCTGCTACTGCCTATCATCACCAAACAGCACTATGGGCATGTTCACTGTGTTTCCTTCTTTTGAGAGTGTTCTTAGACCATGTACAAGCATGCTCAACAAGAGCAAGGATCTTGACTCATTTTACTTTTACCTGTTGCCTCTGCTTCCGCACATGGTGCACAATCCCCTTGACTGATGTTCAGATGGCTTCATCTCAACCAAAATTTATTAGAGATATGTCTCTTAATTTCCTTTAAGAAAACAAGGTAAAGTTCTTTCTATAAGAGTTTCTCATTTAAGGAATATTACAGAGTAATTGTCTGGAGTTCACAGCACTCTCTCTGTTCACATAATAAACGATGAGTGTTTTTTAAAAATGTCTTGTTATGTGCAGGCTCACCTTATTAGTATACCTCATGTGCAATGAGGAAAACAGTCATCTCTATTCAGCTCTACCCATTGGCACTTAGAATAGTCAGATACATAAAAACCAACGGTATACTTCCATTTCCCCCTTCTCATCCTATGGTCTATTCTAAGCATACATTTTGCATTTACATATGTTGTAAGCCACATCATACATTGCTATTTTTAACTTAATACCTTTAAGTACTGTTATTTTAAACAGTTACTTTGCTATGAAGACATTACATAATAAGGAAAATATGTTTTATACTTATGCATGCAGTTGCACCTTCTAGGGCTCTTGATTCCTTTGTGTAGATCCGGATTTTTCTCTGGCATCACTTTCCATCTGCCTGGAGGACTTACTTTAACATTTCTTCTAGTGCACATATGTTGGTGATAAATTCATTCTAATTTTGCATTCCCGAAACAAAAGTGTTTCATCTTTATTCTTGGAATATATTTTCATCAATATAGAAGTTTACGTCTTTAGTATTTGTTTCCTTCAATATTTAAATATAGTACTCTCCTCTGGCTTTCATTATCTTTCAAAAGAAATCTGCTGTCATCGTTATCTTTGTTCCTTTGTAGGTAATGTACATAATTTGTATCTCTGTTTACTTTTAAAAGTTTCTTGTGATTTCTTCTTAAAATCTCAGTGATTTTAAACAATATGATTATCAAATGCCTTGGTATACCTTTATACATGTTTATTGTTTTGCGATTTTTTTTTTAGTTTATTAGATTTTGGGGTTTATAGTTTTTATCAAACCTGAAAACTTTTCATTATTTCCTCAAGTATTTTTTTATCCCTCATTTTCCCCTCTGCTTTGTGGTTCTCATATACATTCATAAATTTTTAAATGTCTTTGCCTACAATCTCTATTATCAGTGTCATGTGTGTGTTTTATCCTCATTATTGATCCTAATTTCTGCTTTTTTACAAAATTGGTCATTGTGATTGGATGGAAGACATTTTGAATTTTACTTTGTTGAGTGCTAGATAGTTTTGTATTTCTATAAAATATTATTGGGATTTATTCTTCAGCATGGGTAAGTTTCTTGAAAATAGTGGCATTTTTTTCAAGTCTTGCTCTTTTTAGGTGAGATCAGAGCAGTTTTTAGTCTATAGCTTATAATGCCTCATAACCTGGACAAAACGCTCTTAAGGTTTTTAGCTGATGTCCCATGCTTTATAAAGTTTTTCACTCTGAATAGAGGAAACAAGAACTATCCTCAAACCCATGTAAGCTCTGGAGATTTCTCTCTGTACCGCTTTCTCCTCTTCATTATTTTGTTCTGCAAATTTTAGTCTCCCTGTCCTCTAAATTCTACCTCCTCAACTCAAAAAACATCAAGGCTTTCCTGCTGTGTACTCTGCCCTCCAGGCAGTAAGCTAAGGAAATTTTAGGGCTCACTTTATTTTCTATCTCTCATCGCTCAGAGATCAGTTATTTGTTTCAATATGTACAGTAAACTGAAAATAGTTGTGTTACAAGATAAACTTAGAAAAATTAAAATTGTAAAGAGTTTATTTCAGCAAACAGCAATTCATGAATTGGGCAGCATAAAACCACAAGTGGTCCAGGGCTTCACCAAAAGGGCATGAGGGCAGAACTTTTATGATGTGCATGCAGAAGCAAGGCAAAGAAAATATTTTTTTTTTGGTTTAGGTGGAGCTGTAGGGCCAGGAGCAGTGGCTCATGCCTGTAATCCTAGCACATTACAAGGTTGAAGTGGACAGATCACTTGAGGTCAGGAGTTCGAGACCAGCCTGGCCAACCTGGCAAAACCTCATCTCTACTAAAAATACAAAAATCACCTGGGTGTGGTGACACACACCTGTAATCCTGGCTATTCAGGTGGCTAAGGCATGAGAATCACATGAACCTGAGAGGCATAGGTTGCAGTGAGCCGTTATCACAACACTGCACAACAGCTTGGGCACCAGAGTGAGACCCTGTCTCAAAAAAAAAAAAAGTGGAGCAGTAGTCTTAAAGCCCCTAGTTAGTGGTTGTTTGGTGGTTTCTGATTGGCAAAGCCCCTGTTAGAGGTTAGCTGGCCAACTTTGGTAAAGTTTGTTTCATTTTTCCATTTGTATTGAGTAAAGTTTCAGTTTGTTTACATAGGAACTCAGGGTGCTAGAGCTGCTTCAGTCTTATGGCCTCCCAATTAATTATTTTAACAAGTGTGTGCAGTGATTCATGATTTTCTTGATACTTCTCTTCATGCATATTGTTCAGTTTTTCCACTATATTCTTTAACATGTCGATATGGTTTGGCTGTGTCCCCACCCAAATCTCATCTTGAATTCCCACGTGTTGTGGGAGGGACCCGGTGGGAGGTAATCAAATCATAAGGGCAGGTGTTTCCCCTGCTGTTCTCGTGATAGTGAATAAGTCTCATGAGATCTGATGGTTCTATGAAGGGGAGTTTCCCTGCACAAGCTCTCTCTCTTTTTGCTTGCTGCCATCCATGTAAGATGTGACTTGCTCCTCCTTGCCTTCCACCATGATTGTGAGGCTTCCCCAGTCATGTGGAACTGTAAGTCCATTAAACCTCTTTGTAATCTTCCCACTCTCGAGTATGTCTTTGTTGGCAGTGTGCAAACGGACTGATACACATATTAATCACAATTCTTTTCAAGTATCTTTGTAATGTAGTCAGCAGTTAGGTCATTTCTGAGTCCAGGTCTGTTTATTGCTTTTCTTCATGAAAATGAGTTACTAGTTATTAATTTTTTTGTATTTTATAATTTTTATTGAATGCCAGTCCTCATGTGTAGAAGAACAGTAGAGGCTGAGGTAAATAATATTAATGCATGTAAATTGGAATGTATCTTATTCAGCTAGGTTGTAAGTTTGTGTGTGAGGGAAGTGTGTGGTCAATTTCTTCAGTAGTTTAGCCGGGTTTAGGCTTTGTTTTTGCTATCACCTTCAAAGTCTCCCAATGGTGATCTGTCTCTACCTGTGTGCAGAGTGAGGTCTATCATGTGAGAGTGTTATATCAGAGTTCCTGCCCCCTCTTCAGCTTTTATGAGCTCAGTAGGCTGCACCCCAGAGAGGCTCTCTACTGATGCTCTTTCCTATTCTTCACCACAATTCTATGTGTTGTCAGTTTGCTTTCTTTTTTAAAAAAATACATGTACCATAAATTTACCACTTCAAAAGTATGATTCCATCATTTCACTATTTTTAACTATTAATAAGTTGTGCCATATCAAATTCCAGAACATTTTCATTATCCCCAAGAGAAAACACCTCCTCATTAACAATCACTTTCCGTTCCCTCTTCTTCTAGCTCTTGGCAGGAATTAATCTACTTTTTGTCCATAGATTTTCCTATTCTGGGAACTTCATAATAATGTAATCATACAACATGTAGCTTTTTGTGTGTGTTTGTCTTCTTTCACTTACCATATTATTTTTAAACTTCATTCATGTGATAGCGTGTATCAGCACTTCATTTTTTTAAGGATGAATGACATTTCATTGTATGTATATACATTTTGCTTATACATTCATCTCTTGATGGACATTTAGGTTATTTCCACTTTTTGGTATTATGAATAATGCGTCTATGTGCATTCATGTACAAGTGTTTGATTATTTGCTTTCAATTATTTTGGGTGTAGGACTAGGAATGGAATGGCTGGGTCATAAGGTAACACTCCATTCTTAACTTTCTGAGGATCTTCCAAAATGTTTTTCATAGCAGGTGCATCATTTTACATTTCTAGCAGTAGTGTATGAGGATTCTAATTTCTGTATATCCTTAGAGATACTATTATTGTCTGTCATTTTTATTTTTGCCATTCTAGTGTATGTAAAGTGGTATCTCATTGTGATTTTGATTTGTGTTTCCCTGATGACTAACGATGTTGAGCACCTTTTCATGTGCTTATTGGGCATTTATGTATCTTCTTTGGAGAACTGTCTATTCAAATCCTTTGCTCATTTTAAATGGGGTTATGTGTTTTAATTGTTAAAATGTGACTGTTCTCTTAATATTCTGGATATTAGATCCTTATCCCTATGATTAACATATGTTTTCTCCCATTCTGTGAGTTGCCTTTTCAATTTTTTGATGATGTCCTTTGAAGTATTTGAGACAACTTGCTCAATTCCTCTAGTGAATTCACTTTCTCACTCTGCAAAAAATCTATTTCGAATCTTCTCAAATCTCCAAAACACTCCAGCCTTCAACAGTATCTGATGATTTTCCTTTTTCTTTCTTTCTTTTCTCTTTATTTCTTTTCTTTCTCTTTCTTTCTTTTCTTTTCTTTTTTTTAATTTTATTTCGACAAAGTGTCACCCTTGTTGCCCAGGCTGGAGTGCAATGGCATGATCTTGGCTCATTGGAACCTCTGCCTCCCAGGTTCAAGTGATTCTCCTGCCTCAGCCTCCCGAGTACGTGGGATTACAGGCACCTGTCATCACACCCGGCTACCTTTTGTATTTTAGTAGGGATGGGGTTTCACCATGTTAACCAGGCTGGTCTCGAACTCCTGACCTCAGGTGATCTGCCCACCTTGGATTTCCAAATGTTGAGATTACAGGCATGAGCCACCACACCCGGCCAATTTTCCACCTTTCTGATAAGGCAAACGAAAGCTATTTGATGGCAGTTCACTCTTTATCTCGCCTCTGATGCCACCAATATGCCTGCATTCTCTGTCATTTCTTTTCTGACAAAAGACAAAGCATTCCAGCACTATCTAAGAGCCTAGAATGGACTCTTTCTCAAGCATTTTTCTCTTGAAATTGTCTCATTTTTTCTCTTTTATTAGCTAATCCTTGCTCTTTACTGGATCGTTGACACCTAAAAATAATGTGACAATTTCAACTTTCAAAAAATGTCTTCCTTGAGCTCATACTGTGGCTAGGTTGCATTTTTCCCTCCAATTTATAGCATAGTTTTCCCCCACAAAAACACAAATTGATAAACTAGATTTCCTCAAACTAAAAACAAAAAAAAAACAAAAAACCTTTTTGTGCTCTAAAAGGCACCTCTAGACAGAGAGACAACCCACAGATTGAGAGAAAACAGTTGCAAGCTATGTATCAGATAAGAAAGTTGTATCCAGAATACATAAGGAACATTTACAATACCACCATATAATGACAAACCATTAAAAATGAGCAAAGAATATGAACAGAAATTTCCCTAAAGAATATCTACAAATGGCCAAAAGAACATGAAAGGATGCTCAACTTCGTTAGTCACTAGGGAAATGCGAGTCAAAACCTAAATGAGATACTATTTCATACTAACTACAATGGCTGCAATAAAAATGACAATAATGTGTTGACAAGGTGGTAGAGAAATTAGAGCCCTCATACATTGTTGCTGGGAATGTTAAATTGCAAAAAAGTGCATCCACTTCAGAAAGTGGAAAGCAGCTCTTGCTATGTGGTATGATTTTGTTGGCGGAAGATTCTGAAAAGGATCCAGTCAGGACATCCTGCCTGATTCCACCTGACTAATGAACAGAGGACCCTGAATTCAGTGAGTCACAGACTCCCTGAGGCAGAGGCACAAAGAAGAAACACCACGTCTGGATTAGCACATGGGGACATGCACAGGAGTCTCCTGTGAATCTTGTTGATATGTAGGTTCTCACTGCTTAGGGCTGAGTGGGGCCTGAGATGCTGGTTCCTAACTAGCCCCCAGGTGATGCGGTTGGAGGAGCATTGCCTGGAGTCCAGAAGCACTGTTGTAGGACAGAGTGGAAGAAATAAGTCAGACTGGTGACAACTGACCCTCAGCATAAGCAAATTTATTTCCTGGAAGAGGAGAGAAAGGTGAAGTAGAGAAAAAGCAGTCAGGGCAGGGCTTGGGCTTCCTCCAGGCAGATTCTCGGTGTGCCCTGGTGGTCATTCAGAAGGTGCTGGGTTTGATCAAGTGGCCCTGACCTGAAGCCCTGCCACATTAGGCTTCTTAAAGATTCACTTAAGAGATGGTGACAAGCAGCTTTGAATTGGTCTTTGTGTGTAGGAAAGTATCTGTGTGTAAAGTCACGCATGGGATGATGGTTGGTTGGGGGTGCTGGTCTGGCTTATGCCCTCCACTGTGATGTACTTTCCTGAGATGGCAGGAGAAGAATGGGATGGCCTCCTAGGGATGACCTGGGGCAAATCCGAGGGAGGAGGGGCACTGCTTCAGGTATAGGTCTTCTTCCAGACTCAGGATCCAAGCTGGTGGTGCCCTGCTGACTCCTGGTAGTTCTCAGTCCTAACCCACCTCACTTCCTGTCTGACCAATGCCAAGGCCATCTGACTGATCCCCGCAGAAGGAGTCATAGGGTCTGGGTTGCTGGCTCCTCCTGCCACTGCTGGCCCTGACACACGTGCATTTGGAAGCTTTTACATGGCTTCTGGCCCTAGCATTTCCTTCAAGTACTGTCCCTCTGCTCGGGCAGGTCGAAGCTGACACCACTCCTACTGCTGTACCTTCCATCAAACACTGCAGCAAGCACTCCCTGGAGACAGCATGGAAGAAATAGTATTTTCCGTGGCCACTGGCATCTTCACTGCTCTGTCCATATTCACTATCTTGTTGTCCTCTACGTGTTTCTCTGGTTAATCTTAAGGAGTGTGGACCAAGACTGCAGATAGAACAGAGCCTCCACTTCAATGGGCCCCACTCCTGGGACCTCACTGTGTGTCCCCACACCTGAAATCCTAAGACCCTTTCCTGACCCCACATCCTCTGCAGACCCCAAGCACCACACCCCTTGACCCTGTGCCCTCTCCCTATTCAACACCCTCCTGAGGACCCCACATCTCTTCCCTGACCTCACCGCCTCTCTCCTCAAATTTCACAACCATCCCTTCATTACATTCTTCTCACTTGGCACCCTCCATCATTACCGATTCACCCTCTCAGGGCTCCTCACAGAAAGGAGTTGTCATGGTCTTGAGTCTCCTTCCAGTCTTTTCCTGCTACGTGCAAGGCCCCACAGTTTTTGCTCTTCCCAGGCCAGCGGCAGCCCCATTGTAATTCGCCTGGGCCTATGAGTCTGAGAAGCTAGCAACTGAAAGGCAGTGGAGAGGTCTTTTCGAGGCTGATGGACGTCCTGCAGTCCTGTACCCATATGGAAGGTCCATGATGCCCCTGAGTCTTTTTGACATCAGATGCTTTCGCCCCTACCAGGGGTAGGGGGTTCCTAGGGGTGGGAAGGCTAGGAATTCAGGACTCCTGGCTGGCTTGAGGCCTAAGGAAAAAAAAATGGTTTTGTGTGCCAGGCCCAGGGCCTTGCTGCTTTGTGCAATCTCAAAACTTGGTGCCCTGCATCCCAGCCATGGCTAAAAGGGGCCAATGTACTGCTCAGGCCATTGCTTCAGAAAGTGCAAGCCCCAAGCCTTGGTGGTTTCCAGGTGGTATTGGGCCTGCAGGTGCATGCTGTTCTCATGATACTGACTGAGTTTTCACAAGATCTGATTGTTTTATAAGGGGCTCTTCCCCCTTCGCACTGCACTTTTCTTTCCTGCCACCTTGTGAAGACGGACATGTTTGCTTCCCCTTCTGCCATGATTGTAAGTTTTCTGAGTCCTCCTCAGCCACGTGGAACTATTAATCAATTAAACCTCTTTCCTGTCTAAATTACTCAGTCTTGGGTATTTTTTTATAACAGTGTGAAAAGGGACAAATACAATCAATGTCATCTGCAGATAGAGATGGTTTCATTTTTTTCTTTTCCTGTCAGTATGTCTTTAATATCTTGTTCTTGCTTTATTACATTGGTCTGGACTTTCACAGAGATGTTGGTAGGATTGGTCAGAATTGACATCCCAGCTTTTTATCCAGTCCATCATTAAGTATGATGTTAACTGTAGAGGTTTTCTTTTTTTTTTCATGTCCTATATCAAGTTGAATTATTTCTTTTTTAATTCGACTTGTCTAGACTTTTTATCATAAAAATTTTTTAATCATTTGAATATGATCAAATGCATTTTCCTTTAGTCTGTTGATACAGTTAATTACAGAGATTGATTTGTGAATATTGAATTTCTGAGACAAATCTCAATAATGATACATTCTCCTTTTAATATTGTTGGTAAAGGCAGTCATGTCCTGTCTGTTGACCAACCTGCTCAGCTGCATAAGATGGGCCTTGTACCTGGAACATTTTCTTCTTGGGAGATAAAGAGCCCTCACAGCCTGTGCTGGGCTTATTGTCTTGTGAGACAATATATTTCTTTGTTCCAGGCTTGATGCGTACCTCTTTGTTCTGATTAAATGCATGAGTTGATGGCCCTCAGGCTGCCACCCAGCTTTCTGGGTATTAAACTCAGCATGCATTAGCTATTTTTCCTGTTGCTCTCTTTCCCTTGCACCACCGACAGGCCCCATTGTATGTTGTTCCCCTCCCTGTGTTTTCACTGTTTAGCTCCCACGTATGAGTGACAACATGTGATGTTTGGTTTCCTGTTCCTGCATTAGTTTGCTGAGGATAATGGCTTGCAGCTCTATTCATGTCACTGCAAAGGACATTATCTCATTCCTTTTTATGGCTGAATAGTATTCCATGGTGTACATGTACCACATTTTATTTATATAGTCTATCATTGATGGGCATTTGGGTTGATTCCATGTCTTTGCTATTGTGAATAGGCACTCATTTTTCTATTATTCCATTTTATCTTCATTGTTGCCTAATTATGTATATCTCTTTTAGTGAATTTTTTGTGGTTGCCCTAAAGTTTACAATGTAATCTCTACTTAATCACAATCTACCTTCAAATAATATATTATTTCGCATGTCATGTAAGTACTTAACAATTGCACATACCCAATTTCTCCCTCTTGTCTTTTGGGCAGATCTCACAAAGTCTTTGCTAGTCCAATTTGGAGCTCTGAAGCAAAGATTGCTTGGAGGAGGGGTCCCTTTTATGGGACTTTCTAAGCCATTTTACCCTCGACTTGCTCAGTCATTGGCTGGTGGCCTTTCTGAGAAGTGTATGTTCTTGACTAAAACTGCATTGCCTAATCATTGATTGGTGGCCACCCCTAGAAGATTGTGACTTCAGCTGTAAAGTTAGTCCCTGAAAGAGATATTAGGCTGTCAGATAAGCACACTTATTGAAGCTGTGCAACAAAGTATTTATTGAGGGGTATTTTATAGTCTCTGATTGGGTTACCCATGCTGACTTGTAAATCTATGGTGTGGCACTGGTAAGCACGTATGTACAGGATTGTGTTCCCAACTTGAGAAGGCAGCCCATCTAAACTCTTCCATTTGGCAGAGGTAGCCATTGTTCATCTTTTGGAGTAGTTTTTTTATTATTATTTTTGATGTAGCCTGTTCAGGCACAGCTGTAGTCCTGTATTAGTCCATTCTCACACCACTATAAAGAATATTACCTGAAACTGAGTAATTATAAAGGAAAAAAGTTTAATTGACTCACAGTTTTGCAGGCCTAACAGGAAGCATGGCTAGAAGGCCTCAGGAAACTTTCAATCATGGTGGAAGACTAAGGGGAAGCAGGCACCTTCTTCATAAGGCTGCAGGATGGAGGGTTTGCGCAAATGAGGAAGTGCTACACTTTAAAACCATCTGCTCTCATGAGAACTCACTCACTATCTTGAGAACAGCATGGGGGGACCCTCCCCCATGATCTGATGACATCCCACATGGTCCTTCCCCTGACATGTAGGGATTACAATTCGAAATGAGATTTGGGTGGGGATGCAGATCCAAACCATATCAAGTCCTTGGAATTTAATGTTTATTATAGTTTAGATATGTTTAGTTATAAGCTCAGAAGAGATTCTTATTTTCGTGCTTTATAAATCAGTGTTTTCTGGTTAATTGCACAGTACATCTGGTCTCTGGAAGTGGCAAAATAGGGTCATCAACATGTCTCTCTAAAACTGTGCAATCAACAATGCAAGCTAGTGCACTTGAACTATGCGATGAGCTGGTGTTCATTTGTACATGACCATGTGTGTATATATATCTTCATTATCATTTATGTCAAAATATTTTCTAATTTCCTTTGTGATTTTTTCTTTTGCCCGTTGGTTGTTTAGGAGTATGTAGTTTAATTTTCACAAATTTGTGAATATCTGAAATTTACCAACGTTATTAATTTCTTTTTTTTTTTGGAAATTTAAATATGTTAACTTTTTTTTTATTGTACTTTAAGTTTTAGGGTACATGTGCACATTGTGCAGGTTAGTTACATATGTATACATGTGCCATGCTGGTGTGCTTCACCCATTAACTAGTCATTTAGCATTAGATATATCTCCTAAAGCTATCCCTCCCCCCTCCCCTGACCCCACAACAGTCCCCAGAGTGTGATGTTCCCCTTCCTGTGTCCATGTGTTCTCATTGTTCAATTCCCACCTATGAGTGAGAATATGCGGTGTTTGGTTTTTTGTTCTTGCGATAGTTTACTGAGAATGATGATTTCCAATTTCATCCATGTCCCTACAAAGGACATGAACTCATCATTTTTTATGGCTGCATAGTATTCCATGGTGTATATGTGCCACATTTTCTTAATCCAGTCTATCATTGTTGGACATTTGGGTTGGTTCCAAGTCTTTGCTATTGTGAATAGTGCTGCAATAAACATACGTGTGCATGTGTCTTTATAGCAGCATGATTTATAGTCTTTTGGGTATATACCCAGTAATGGGATGGCTGGGTCAGATGGTATTTCTAGTTCCAGATCCCTGAGGAATCGCCACACTGACTTCCACAAGGGTTGAACTAGGTTACAGTCCCACCAACAGTGTAAAAGTGTTCCTATTTCTCCACATCCTCTCCAGCACCTGTTGTTTCCTGACTTTTTAATGATTGCCATTCTAACTGGTGTGAGATGGTATCTCATTGTGGTTTTGATTTGCATTTCTCTGATGGCCAGTGATGGTGAGCATTTTTTCATGTGTTTTTTGGCTGCATAAATGTCTTCTTTTGAGAAGTGTCTGTTCATATCCTTCACCCACTTTTTGATGGGGTTGTTTGTTTTTTTCTTGTAAATTTGTTTAAGTTCATTGTAGATTCTGGATATTAGCCCTTTGTCAGATGAGTAGGTTGTGAAAATTTTCTCCCATTTTGTAGGTTGCCTGTTCACTCTGATGGTAGTTTCTTTTGCTGTGCAGAAGCTCTTTAGTTTAATTAGATCCCATTTGTCAATTTCGTCTTTTGTTGCCATTGCTTTTGGTGTTTTAGACATGAAGTCCTTGTCCATGCCTCTGTCCTGAATGGTAATGCCTAGGTTTTCTTCTAGGGTTTTTATGGTTTTAGGTCTAACGTTTAAGTCTTTAATCCATCTTGAATTAATTTTTGTATAAGGTGTAAGGAAGGGATCCAGTTTCAGCCTTCTACATATGGCTAGCCAGTTTTCCCAGCACCATTTATTAAATAGGGAATCCTTTCCCCATTGCTTGTTTTTCTCAGGTTTGTCCAAGATGAGATAGTTGTAGATATGCGGCGTTATTTCTGAGGGCTCTGTTCTGTTCCATTGATCTATATCTCTGTTTTGGTACCAGTACCATGCTGTTTTGGTTACCGTAGCCTTGTAGTATAGTTTGAAGTCAGGTAGCATGATGTTAATTTCATATTTTATTCCATTGCAGACAGATAAAGTACTTTGTACAATCTCAATCCCCTTATATTTATTGAGACTTGTTTTGTGGGCTTACATATTGTTTATCCTGAAAGGTGATCCATGTATACTTGAGAAAAATATTCCGCTGTTTTGGGTGCTGTGTTCTATAATTGGGGGTTAGGTCTGGCTGGTTTATATTGTTGTTGAAATATTCTATAGTCATGGCGACCTTCTATCTTGTTATACCTTTATTGAAATTAGGGTTTAAAGTCTCCAATAATTATTGTTGAATTATTTATTTCTCTCTTTAATTCTTTCTTTCTATATTTTGGGGTCTGTGTTATTAGGTACATATATGTTTATAATGTTTCATATTTTTGATAGACTAAAACTTTTATCATCATTATAAAATATCTTTCTTTTTCTCTAGTAACAACTTTTATTTTAAAGTCTATTTTGTCTGGTATTAGCATAGCCATTCCAGCTCTCTTTTGGTTACTGCTTGTATGATATATCTTTTCCCATATACTTACTTTCATCCTATTTATGTATTTAGATGTATACATCTATATAAATCTCTTATAAATAATCAGTATATAGTTAGAACAGGATTCCAAAATATATTTCCCCAATCTCTGACTTTAATCGAGGTGATTAATCCATTTACATTTAAGATTACTGGTAAGGTAATATTTCTGTGTTGTAGTCAGTGATTTACTCTTTATATTACATATGTATTTTTCCTTCTTTATATTTTCAATGCTACCTTCCTTTGTGAAAAATATATGTTTTTCTAGTCTACCATTTTAATCCCATTGCCATTTAAGGTATTATTTTCTTAGCAGTTGTCCTGGGGACTACAATTGATAGTTTAACTTGTACCAATCTATTTAAATTAATACCAACTTAATTAAAATAGTATACAATGGGTTTGTTCACATACAGTTCCATTCTCTCCCTACTTCTTTGTGTTGCTATTGTCATACAGTAACTGTTAAGAGGCTGGAATGTCCAGGGTTGAGGATTCCCACAGGATAAGAGCAGGCCTAGACTAGAGCAATGACAAGCAGATGGAGAAAAGGGGCCTCAGCTTCCTCCTCTAAAATGACCTCAGTTGTGCATATCAGGGCTGGTCACAAATATTTGGTTCTCTTCTTTCTGGGCACATAAGATTGCCTTTATCTGCTCCTTTAAATTTAAGATAGGGAGAAAAGAAAATTGACAACATGTTAGGCACAAAAAGAGATTTATACTTGGAAAGTAGGTAACTCTAGGCTTTTTCAAAATACAAAAACATTTGTGCAAGGAACAATGTACTTTTTAAAATAACCATTGAGCCATCCCAATGAAGTGCAAGCAGTGGTGTGGAGAATTTGGAATGTGGCTCTAGTACTCCTCAGAGATGTGAACCTGGGCAGCCAGGGTCAGGCACAGTGTGGGACCTTTTCTTTGGCATTCAGTGTGTTCACCTGGAGGACTCTCCCTTGCAGAGCTCTGGGGTGTGAGATTGGATGCAGGGAGGGTGAGCCTGGAGGAATTCTTCAAAGCAACTCTCACAGACCTATGTGTTGATCTAGGTCCTGGTTCAATAGCCCTGGTTATTGCCCCAAGCAGGACTAGAACAAGTTATATCATGTCTATACAGCTCAAAGATGTGGGATTAAACAATCCAAGGTAACAGATTTTCAAGGGGAAAAGAAAATAAATGCGTTAATTAATGCACATGTGGATCATAAGACATATACAGGTTCAGGAATATTAAAATATGGGGGAAGGTACATCATGGGCACACAATAATAATAGCCACTTATTAATGACCACATTATTAGGGCCAAACATTTTACATACAAGTGGCATGTTATATGATGCTCACATAAACACTCTGAAGTTGTACTATTATTACTCCCATTTTACAGATGAAAAAACTGAAGTACATAAAGGATACTTGATGTATGGGCTTATAAGCGACAGAGCTAATATTCAAACTTACTTTCTTATGGGTTCAAAGCCCTGTCTCTGTACTGGGTTGAGCTGCAACCCACAAACAAGGGAGTGCCAGCCATCTTCCACTGCTAACTATTGCCCTATCAATATGCCCCTAGGACTGATCTTAAAGGAGCCAAGTGGTGGTGCCAGTGAAAGCTTGAAACAGAATCCTACCCAATGGCCTCTCTCCTGTTCTATCCATATGACATGGAGACAAATGCTGTGGAGGAGAGGTGGGTCCTAGGATAAAGGGTGTGAAGATGGACAAGTTTCTGCATTGAGAGCTCCAGATGGGCTGCAGTTCAGAACCGCGACCCCTGCAATGAGCTTGTGCTCCATTAACAGAACACTGGGGATCCAGAGGGGAATGCAGATGAGGTGAAGACATTAAAGAGTTAAGTGGGATTGAGAAGGGACTTCGCTCACTATTTTCCTCCCCCTTTTTTTCACTCCTGCTTCATTCAGAAAATATTTGGAGCAGGCTACAAAGAAGTACGTAACACAGCAAGATAAAATGCATTACACACAAATAAAACAAAGGGATCCCAGAGATAAATCAAGTGAGAAGATGGTGGAGCCTGAAGCAGGCTTAGAACCTCAAATATATGCCAGGAAGTCCAGCCTCCAGGAAGACTTCCATTGACCTTTAGGGTACCCTGGCAGCTCATGGCCCAAGTGCAGTTGCCCAGGCTAAGCTACAGCAACCATTTGACATGGATATCAGAAGTCCAGTCTTCCAGAGGCTGCTATTATGTCCAGACATGTGCCCTGCCTTGCTGTGTACCTGCCTGGCCTGGTCTCTTTTATTCTCAGCAGATTAGATGACTCAACAATTTCCTTCGAGCCAACTCCACTGAGCAGGCTGGCAACCAGATACATGGTGGGGCAAGTAGGACGGAGCGCAGTGCTCATGAGACATGTGGACTCTCACTGCATCCACGTAGGTGTCAGTGTCTGCAGGGCTTGTTTGCACTGACCCTCAGTCTGAGTGATGGGCAACCTTGGCTTTGTCCTCTGATGCTATTTTGTGGATTTCCCTTGGGACATAACAAGCATCCTGCCACTAGCCCCCGCTATCCCTATGTTCAGCTCCAGCCCTGGGATCAAGGATAAAAGGAGACCCAGGACTCCTTATTTGCTCAGGAAAAGCTGACAGGGTAATTGGCACAGGGAAGAGCTGGTGATATGGTTTGGCTCTGTGTCCCCACACAAATCTCCTTCTGAATTGTACTCCCATAATTCCCATAATTCCCATGTGTCGTGAGAGGGACACGGTTTGAGATAATTGAATCATGGGGGCAGTTACCCTATGCTGTTCTCGTGATAGTGAATGAGTCTCACGAGATCTCATGGTTTTTACAAAATGAGAGTTGCCCTGCACAAGCTCTCTTTGCCTGCCGTCATCCACGTAAGATGTGACTTGCTCCTTTTTGCCTTCCGCCATCATTGTGAGGCCTCCCTAGCCATGTGGAACTGTAAGTCCAATTAAACCCCTTTCTTTTTTAAATTGCCAGGTCTTGGGTAAGTCCTTATCAGCAGCATGAAAATGGACTAATACAGCTTTCAAGAAGCATGCAGGAGGTCAGCCCCTTGCCAAGGAAGCTGAAGTTAAGTGCAGGGTTTCAGTCATAGCTGGTGGAACAGAGAGGTCTCTTAGGAGAGCAGGACCATGGCTGACAGGCCTCACATCAGTCCCTCAGTGGGCAGGCTCAGGACATCTAGAGACAGTCAGGACCTTCCCATGTATGGGCACAGGAAGGCCCCCATCTGCTCTGCCCTACCCTGGTCAGGATTGCCTCCATCCTCTGTGGTGTGTAACCACACAGGAGGCTGCTGTGGGATATGCTAGACCCTGGAAATGCCTCCAGAAGAGGCTGTTGGTGGGGTGCTGTGAGACCCCCTAGCTGCTCTAGCCCTGCAACACTTAGGCATCCTAGAGTTAGCATTCTCCCCATCCGTCGTTTCTCTCCAACAAAGGGCACTAAGTGTCACAGTTGTCATCCTGGAGTGCGACAAAGCAGTCTGCTCTGGAGTTCTTTCTGGAAGCACTCGGTTCATGACATCTTGCAGGGCTCCAGCTCACCTCCAGTCCCATTTTACTTCTACATTCCTCCCGTGGCCAGCCTAAGGCACTATAGATGGATCCAGCAGGTGATCCTTCTCACACTTTTCCAAACTCATCACAGCCTATGCCCTTTGGTAACAAGAAAGCCTTACCCTTCCTGGCTCCTTTCCAAATCCTAATTTGACCTGAGGATATTCTGGGACCTGGAGGAGTATACTAATGACCACAGACCTCACAGTGGGTTTCACCCATTAGTCTTCTTAAACTTTTTGGGGGTACACCGAGATCCTAGATGGCTCTTTGGGTAGCTGACAAAACAGTTCGGCATCACCTCTCTGGATCAAGTTTAGAAAGCAAAAACTCATAGGCGCCTTAACGAGGTGATTAGTTTAATTAATGTGTGGGCATTACATAGGGGATCATTTGAAAAGTAAGTCATCATTATAGTGATTTGTCACTCATTCACACAGCATTCTTTTATTATTTACCAACCCCTAGGAAACTCACCAAATGGCTACCTCATCTTCTGCCAGTTCTATCTGAACCATAATACTTTGGAAGGGGATTTCTAAGTAGAGAATTTTAAATAAAAGTTTAACTGTTCATAAGCCTCAGCACTGAGTCTTGAGTAGTTGTATTGGAGAGCTGCAATTCCAAGCCCCAGTTGGGAAGACTGAAGTCAGATACGGGAGACTGTGGGCAAGTGTGGGCACTGCAGCCAAGGTGATGGGGGCTCAGAGATGGGCCTCAGGAGAAGGAAACCCCAAATCCCAACAGGTACAATTAGGCTGTTAGATTCCACCTTGCAAGGACTACTGTGTTAACTTGCATATCCAAACAAGATGGAAAAAGAAACAGGGCATCAGGGAAAGGTCACAGCTGCCTCCTGACAAGAGAGAGTGTTCAGATAGCCCTGGGTGGCTAGAGCCCTGCCATGCTCACTTACCCAGGATGTGAGGAGCACAAACCAGAAGCTGGGAAAGCAGGCCTTTGGAGTCCCTTTAAAACTCAGATGCTTACCTGGTCCAGGAGCCAACAATTAGAAGATAGTGGGAGCATTCAAACTTTGGCTGTTGGGTGTTTGGAAAGATTGAAAATTCCATGAGACTTTAGTACCAGAGAAGCTCCAAATACTAGGACCATAGAACTGGCAGTTCTTTATTCATTCCATAAATGAATACTGAGCATGTATTGTGTGCCAGGCACTGTCCTGGGCTCTGAGGATACAATATTGAACACATTTCCTCCCTAGGTGGAACTTACATTCTAGTGAGGTAAAGGGTAGGCACACAATAAATCATGAAACAAACTTAAAGGTGCAGTAGATTTAATGGTTAACTTCCAAATCACCTTTGGTAGGCTTCCAAATGAACTCACCTGGGGGAGGTCTTGTGATTTCTGTTGCCATCCTGTCCCTCAGTAAAGTGTCTTATCCTGCATTCCACAAATTGTTTACATATGGATTAATATGTAATGTACCAACATTGAAAAGTTTGCTGATTTATTTTTAAATCATGAAATTTTACTGGTTGTTTTGCACATGGACATTTTAGTCTGTATGTTGCAATTTGGTACAATGATTCTAACCTCCGTATTGTATCCTCTAATAAAAAACGACAACTGCCATATAAAAAGTTCTCTCTTGTTCTAAACTCTCATAAAACCCTTCCAACTTGTAAGACTCTCCAGAACACTCCCAACTTTGTTGGTTTCTCCTCCCAGGTCAGTCCTCACATTTGGCTTCCAATAAACATTTATCCTCTTATTTTTGCCTAACCAGTCTTAATTTTGGTTGACATGGTGATAAATACTATGGAAACAAATTGAATCTAGAGAACTGAATAAGTGTTTGGGATGAGTTAAGAGGGAGGATTGCAATTTTAGAAAGGGTATTCACTTTTTAATGAGGTTATTTGTTTTTGTTTGTTCAATTGTTTAAGCACCTTATAGATTCTGAATATTAGACCTTTGTCAGATGCGTAGTTGGGGAATATTTTCTTCCATTCTGCAGGTTGTCTGCTTACTCTGTGGATAGTTTCTTTTGCTGAGCAGAAGCTTTTGAGTTTAATTAGGTTAACTTGTCAATTTTTGTTTTAGTTGCAATAGCTTTTGAGAACATAGTCATAAATTATTTCCCGAGGGTGATATCCAGAATGGTGTTTCCTAGGTTTTCTTCTAGGATTCTTGTAGTTTGAGGTCTTACATTTCAATCTTTAATCCATGTCGAATTAATTTTTGTATATGATGAAAGGTCAGGATCCAACTATTGGGTACTATGCTCACTACTTGAGTGACGGGATCAATAATATCACAAATCTCAGCATCTCACAATATACCCATGTAACAAAGTTGCACACGTACCCCCTGAATCTAAAATGAAAGTGAAATTACAAAAATAAATAATAAAGACACAAATTCTATGAAGAAAAAGAAAGGTTATTCATAGAAGGCCTCACAGAGAAGATATTTGGAGAGAGACCCAAGGGTGTCTGGAAAGCAGTATTAGCTAGCAGTATTATAGGAGCATGTGTCTAGAAGAGAACAAAGGCGTGCAGTACCTCAGGACCCTGGAACAGAGAGTAGGAGGTAGGGGTCTAGGGAGGCTGGTCTATTGAAGCCAGACCCTTTTCTCTGAGCCATAGGCTGTCTCAGAGCCAGGTCAGCTGCACTGTACCATGAACTGGCTTATTGGATCCAGTATTCTATCCAAGGTTACTGAGTTGGTTTACATTATTCCAGCATTTGAGACGTGGGGTAGGTAGAAGTATAGTTGGAAACAGATTAGTAATGGATTGAAGATTTTTGATGCTGAATATCAAGTATATTGGGTATATTATACTATACTATTTTACATGTCTGACACTTTAATAAAGTTATTTCATCATAATATCATGCCATTAAATTTGAAATCCTAAGTGAAATGAACTATATTTTATAAAAAAAAAAAAATGGCCCGGCGCAGTGGCTCACGCCTGCAATCCCAGCACTTTGGAAGGCCGAGACAGGTGGATCACGAGGTCAGGAGTTCGAGACCCGTCTGGACAATATGGTGAAACCCCGTCTCTACTAAAAATACAAAAATTAGCCGGGTGTGGTAGCGCACACCTGAAATCCTAGCTACTCAGGAGGCTGAGGCAGGAGAATTGCTTGAACCTGGGAGGAGGAGGTTGCAGTGAGCTGAGATTGTGCCATTGCACTCCAGCCTGGGCGACTGAGCGAGACTCTGTCTCGAAAAAAAAAAAAAAAGATCAAATTGGTCCATAAAGAAACAGAAAACTTTAATCAAACATTACAAACTAAAACTGTATTCTCAGTTCAAGCCACCCACAAATGATCCAGGAAAAGAAAGTTTCAGAGGCCAGTTTTACCAAATAATTAGAACTCATTGCCATCCTAAGCAAACTCTTAAAAACCATACAAAAAGATGGGCAACTGTGGAACTCATTTTCTGAGACTAGTGTTCTTTGTTTCAAATACCAGAAGAGGACCTCACCATGAAAAGAACACTTAAACCAAAGTTACTCACATAGCAACAAATATCCTAAATAAATTAATAGCCAATTCATTAGGGCAGTGTACTAAATGGAAAAACGGGATATATCCAAAGAATGAAAATACAATTTGACATTAAAATATACCTTCAGTGTGATTCCCTATATTAACAAGATTATAGAGGCAAAACATATGATCATATTAATGGATACAGAAAAATATTTTGAAAAAATTAGTAATCATCCATGATAAAAATAACTAGAAAATTAAGAGTAGAAGGAAATTTTGTTTCATCAAATTGATAGCAAATATACTTAATTGTAAAATGTTGGACGCATTCATGTCAGGCACAGGTCATAAATGTATGCTATCATTGCTATTTTTCAAAGTTGTATTGGAATACAAAGCCACAGATATGGATACCAAAATAAATAAGAGGTATGTGTATTGGAAAGAAAGAGTGATATTTGGTAGGGTAATGCAACAGTCTATCTAGAAAATTCAAAAAAATGCACACTTGAAATAGTCAAATGAATAAGAGACGTGTGAAAAATAGCGAACAGAAGATCAATAAAGCAAAATCAAAAGATTTGCAAAACAGACAATAACTATTAAGAACAGGTCATAGAAAATACCCCATTCACAATAGCAACAATATCCAAAAATTACCTAACAAGAAGACTAACAAAAGCATGTATGATTTTTACTGAGGCAACTATACAAGTACTGATATATCCAGTTCAAAGAGCACCCAAATAAACAAGGCAGTATATGATATCATTGATAGGGAACAGAATATTGCAAAGATGGCAATTCTATTTTTTCAAAAATTGACAGACGTAATTCCTTAACCAGCCAAGATGACTGTCAAGCTCAGGCATCTGTTGGTTTTTGATTGTTTGGTTTGGTTTTGTTTTTTTGAGACAGGACCTCACTCTATTTCCAAGGCTGGAGTGCAGTGGTGTGAACACAGCTCACTGCAGCACTGACATCCTGGGCTCCAGTGATCCTCCCACCTTAGCCTCCCTACCAGCTGGGACTGCAGTCACACGCCACCACACCCAGCTAATTTTTCATTTCTTTTTTCTTTTTCTTTTTCTTTCTTTCTTTTTTTTTTGAGATGGGGTCTTGTTATGTAGTTCAGATTAATCTTGAGCTACTGGGCTCAAGTGATCCTCCTGCCTTGGCCTACCAAAGTGTTTGGATTACAGGTGTGAACCACCGCGTTCAGTCTTGGGCTTCTATCTTAGACTCCCCAAAACAACCCGGGAAAACTAAAGAATAAAAATAAATAAATAAAGGAACAAGCAAACAATATCAAAAAAGAAATCTAAACAAAAAAAACATGAGAGAGCCCTGAGAATTTCATTGTATTTTGAAGGAATACTTGTGATTGGCGGGGAAGAGTGGCAGGGAAGTTGGGGTGGATAGGAAGAAAGAAATGTTTAAAATTCTGCCCCTACTTCACTGTGGAAAACTCGGGTAGGGTCTCAGACCACAGGTGCCAGTAGTCATGGGGTAACTTCAGGACATGAGGAAACACTGGTTGATTAAAGGAATACGGCTGGAATTTGTGCTGATAACCACTAAAACCACGTCAGTAAATAAAGATTGGCTTTTTAAAAATTATCGTTTTAATTGAAGATAAAGAATGGATTAAATTAGAGTATTGACCATTAGAGTGAAATAGGCAGTTAGGTTAAGTATGATTTTTGACACTGAATGAGAATTAAAAAATGAAAATCACTAAAATGAACTATGAAGTGTTAGATAAATTCTAAACGCAGGACTTCCGCAAATTTCTTGCAGCCACTCAGCCTCTTCAGTGTAAAAATAAAGCTTTCAGGGCAAAAGTTTGCAAAGTCTAGATCTGGCTGGGGAGGAGCCCCCGTAGGAAGGTGTGCATCTTCTCCCAGAGGTCACTACAATCACGGGTACTGAAGCCACATGGAAGCACCTAGCCTGGGATCCGCAGCTATTGTCTGCAAGGGGTGCAGTTGGGCAATGCTCAGAGGTGAC
Source organism: Homo sapiens (assembly GCF_000001405.40). Taxonomy (NCBI): domain Eukaryota; kingdom Metazoa; phylum Chordata; class Mammalia; order Primates; family Hominidae; genus Homo; species Homo sapiens. The sequence goes on from NC_000023.11 coordinate 149,711,566, forward strand.
AGAAACAGAGCATCTCCCACCCATCACTTCATGAAAGAACCAGTAGCCAAGAGGAGGACCCTCCTGAGTGAGGACTGACGGTCCACCCTCCCCACATAGAGGGGCCACAGAATCCAGCTCGGTCCCTCCTGTCAGCCCCGGAAGACCTTGGCAATGTTGTCCCCCGACCTCACACCTCCCGCTCACTGCCACCTCAGGGGACTCAGAGTCAGAGACTTGGTCCGAGAGGAGCAGACATCATTGGCAGAGGACGGAGCTCCAGGCTCTGCAAGGAATCAAGGTCAGAAACCTGAGGGAGGACTGAGGCACCCCCATGACCCTCGACCACATCTGCACCCCTCGCCACTACTTTTCCCCCTGCCCCACCCCGCCCCGCCCCGCCTCGCCTCGCCCCGCCCCGCCTCGCCTCGCCCCGCCCCCACACGGGCAGAATCGGGTTCGCTCCTGCTGTAAATCCAGGGAAGCTCCAGGCGTGGGGGCCGGATGTGACCTCCATTGGCTTCCGCCTCTGGGATCTGAGAGAAGCGAAAGCGTCTTTCTGAGGGGTGTCTTGAGAGTGGCAGAGGGCAGCGGGTCCAGGCTCCATGAGGAGGCAAGGTGAGAGCTGAGGGAGGACTGAGGAGTCCTCCTACCCAGATAGAGGGCCCCAAATAATCCAGCGCCAACCCTGGAGCCAGCCCTGAAACAACAGGGGACCAAATTATCAGGCTGAGACAATCCCCCTCCTCAATGCCCAAGGAGACTCTGCGAGTCTATGGTGTGACCCGGGCAGAGGCAGTTCCATAAAGGGTGGGGCCCCGGCCTTTCCAGGCATCAACATCAGGACTCTGAGAAATTATGGAGAGGTTCCACCCCATCCTGATAGAGGGGCCACAAAGTCCATCCTTGTCCCTGCAGACAACGCAAAGGACCTCCGGGCTTGGTACTGCGGAGTTGCACATTAGGGGGTCAGAGAGAAGTGATAGCCCGGTTCTGAAGGGCGGCTTGTGACCTGCTGAGGGCAGCGGGCCCAGGCTCTGTGAGGAGGCAAGATGAGATGCTGAGGGAGGACTGAGGATGCTCCCTACCCAGATAGAGGACCCCAGATAATCCAGCACCGCCTCTGCTGCCAGCCCTGGATCACCCCATGGGGATGGACTTCTCAGGCTGGGCCGTCCCCTCTGACACCCCCCTCGGCTTCTGCCCCCCGCCGCTTAAGCCTCAGGGGACTGTGGGGTCAGAGCTTGGTGTGACCAGGGCAGGGCTGGTTGGGGGGGGCAGGACCCAGGTTCTGCCAGGCATCAAGGTCAGGACCCCGAGGGAGGGCTGAGGCCCCACAGAGCAAGGCTCCCTCTCTGCTGTCAGTCCTGGGAAGTTCCTGGCATTGCTGCCAGGCAAGTGGATCCTGATTTCCGCATCCTGGGCTGACAGAGGGAAGGGGCTTGGTATCATGAGAAAGACCTAGGGGGAGCACAGACAGGGCTCAGTCCCTGCTGGGAGGTGAGCAAGGCCTGAGGGACAACTGAAGGGACCCAGCACCCCAGAACAGCCCCCCCCCATAGTCCCGCCGTCTCAAACTGAGGTGCCTTTTCATTCAGCCTTGGGAATCTGAGGGATGGAGACTCAGTTCCGCAGAGGGGGTCTGGGGTGCAGCCCTGCCAGCATCAAGAGGAAGAAGAAGAGGGAGGACTCAGGAGACTTTGGACTCCAGGTCAGTAGGGACCTTGGCCCTTGGAGTTCCAAGGCACGGTGGCCACATGTGGTGCATCCTCACTCTGCCTTTGGGGTGTCAGCAAGGAGTGGGTTGTGGTCTGAGGAGTGGAGCCTCAGGTCAACCCAGGGAGGAGTCCCAGAGGGAGGACTCAGGCAACCAATTATCCCTGAGGTAGAAAACCTGCCCCTGCCATCGGTCCTTGGAGGCCCCAAGCAGGACTCTAGGAAAGAGAGGCAGCTCCCCACTTCCTAGTTGGGGTTCTCTGGGAGATGGTGGTCGTGGCCTGCAAAACTCATCCACAGTTCAGCAGGAGAGACATGGATAGGCCTTGTCAGGAGTAAATCTGAATACCTGGAGGAAACCCAGAGAGAGGAGGCACCCCTGAAATCTGCTTCATCTGTCAGCCTTTGGCATCCCATGAGGGGTGTCCATGTAGTGCCCCTTCACTTTCTGCCTCCCATATCTCAGAGAGGTGGGGCCCTTGGTCTGAGGCAGGTCCTCAGGTCAGCAGAGGGATACACACCTGGTCAGCACAGGGTGGAGTCCAGGATCTGCCAGTAGTCAAGGAGAGGAAAATTGATGAAGACTGAAGGTAAGAATGTACCCTCCCACATGCCAAAGAAAAAGGGACCTCACCAATCCTTGCTTCCTCTGTTTTCATCCCTCGGAGGCCCAAGTTGGGGAGGCATGTGCCATGCTCACATTTCTGCCACGAGGTTGGGGGTGGCACCTTGCTCAGGGAGGTGAGCACCTTGTTTCAAGGGGGTGATGACAGGTCAGCAGGTGGAGCCACACCTGATCAGCAGAGGGAGGAGTCCCAGGATCTTTAGGACTCAAGGTGTATGTGTCCCCTTGGTGAGGACTGGAGATACCCACATCCCATAATGAAGGGATCCCACAGAGTCTCTCTGTCCCCTGTCCTTGGCTGTGTGGGGACCTCATCACGGGTGGCCCCAAGTGGCAAGGTCACTTGTACCACAGGCAGAAAGTTGGGAAACCTTCAGGGAGATGAGGTCTTGGTGTAAAGGGATATGTCTGCTCATCTCAGGGGTTGGGAGTCAAGGAAGGACAGGCCCTGGCAGAAGTAAAGATGAAAAACCCACAGGAGGACTTTGGAATCCCCAGAACCGAAGGGTCCAGCCTCTGCTGTCAGCCCTGGACAACCACATGATGGGGTGATGGGACGTGGGGCCCCTTACTTCTGTTTTGGAATCTTGGGCAGGTGAGCACTATGTTCTCAGAGGACGACTTCCAGTCAACAGAAAGAGCCCCATATGGTCCACAACTACAGTGGTCCCAGGATCTGCCAAGAGTCCAGGTGAGAAACCTGAGGGAGGATTGAGGGTTCCTCCTGGCCAGAACACAGAGGGCTGCTTAGAAATCTGCTCTGCCCCTGCTGTCTCCCCAGAGAGCATGTGCAGGACTATGTGCTGAGACCCCTCTCTTATACTGGGATCATTGGTCTCAGGGAGCGGGAGACATTGGTCTGAGAGGGCTGCACTTAGGTCAGCAGTGGGAGGGTCCCAGGCCATGACCAGAATCAAGGTGGGGGCTGACGGGACAGCACTTACCAAAAACATGGGACTCAGCCCTTCCCTGCCCCTTCTGTCAGCTATGGGAAGTCCCTGGGACCATGGGTGTTTCTATTTCCCTGATTTCCTCTTCTGATATCTCCTGGAGGTAGAGCTTTGGTTTAAGGAGATGGCGTCAGGTCAACAGAGGGAGGGTCCCAGGCCAAGATAGGCATCAAGATGGGAACCAAACAGGCTCCTTACCCGAGGACACATGGACCCTGCTGACTGTCACCATCTCTTGCTGTCCTTCCTGGGTAGCCCTGTGTACATGTGGCCAGATGTGTATCCCCACATGTCCTCTTTCATATCAGGAAAGAGCTATTGATCTGAGAGTTTCTCAGGTCAGGAGAGCTGTGTCTTCCAGGCCCTGGCAGGAGAAAGGTGAGGGCCCTGAGCACAGAGGGGACCATCCACTCCAAAAAAGTGAGAAACTCACAGAGTTTGGCCCACCTTTCTGACAGTGCTGGGGTGCCAGGATGGGTGCTTGCAGTCTGCAGCCTGATGGCCCCATGATTCCTCTTCTAGAAGCTCCAAAAACTGAGCAGTGAGGCCTTGGTCTCAAGCAATGTCTTCAGATCTCAGAACACAGGAAGCCTAGGCAGTGCCAGTAGTCAAGATGAGATGTTCACCCTTAATCTACAAATGGCCCCACCTGCCCCAGTACAGAAAGGGACCCCCAGCTTGCAACCTCACCTGCCCTACCTCAGTCCTGGAGCCTCCTGCTCTGATGTCCAGCTGCATCTTGAGCAGCCTTCTCACTTCCTTTTTCAGGTTTTTAGAGAACAGGCCAACCTGGAGGACAGGAGTCCCAGGAGAACCCAGAGGATCACTGGAGGAGAACAAGTGTAAGTAGGCCTTTGTTAGATTCTCCATGGTTCATATCTCATCTGAGTCTGTTCTCACGCTCCCTCTCTCCCCAGGCTGTGGGGCCCCATCACCCAGATATTTCCCACAGTTCGGCCTGCTGACCTAACCAGAGTCATCATGCCTCTTGAGCAAAGAAGTCAGCACTGCAAGCCTGAGGAAGGCCTTCAGGCCCAAGAAGAAGACCTGGGCCTGGTGGGTGCACAGGCTCTCCAAGCTGAGGAGCAGGAGGCTGCCTTCTTCTCCTCTACTCTGAATGTGGGCACTCTAGAGGAGTTGCCTGCTGCTGAGTCACCAAGTCCTCCCCAGAGTCCTCAGGAAGAGTCCTTCTCTCCCACTGCCATGGATGCCATCTTTGGGAGCCTATCTGATGAGGGCTCTGGCAGCCAAGAAAAGGAGGGGCCAAGTACCTCGCCTGACCTGATAGACCCTGAGTCCTTTTCCCAAGATATACTACATGACAAGATAATTGATTTGGTTCATTTATTGCTCCGCAAGTATCGAGTCAAGGGGCTGATCACAAAGGCAGAAATGCTGGGGAGTGTCATCAAAAATTATGAGGACTACTTTCCTGAGATATTTAGGGAAGCCTCTGTATGCATGCAACTGCTCTTTGGCATTGATGTGAAGGAAGTGGACCCCACTAGCCACTCCTATGTCCTTGTCACCTCCCTCAACCTCTCTTATGATGGCATACAGTGTAATGAGCAGAGCATGCCCAAGTCTGGCCTCCTGATAATAGTCCTGGGTGTAATCTTCATGGAGGGGAACTGCATCCCTGAAGAGGTTATGTGGGAAGTCCTGAGCATTATGGGGGTGTATGCTGGAAGGGAGCACTTCCTCTTTGGGGAGCCCAAGAGGCTCCTTACCCAAAATTGGGTGCAGGAAAAGTACCTGGTGTACCGGCAGGTGCCCGGCACTGATCCTGCATGCTATGAGTTCCTGTGGGGTCCAAGGGCCCACGCTGAGACCAGCAAGATGAAAGTTCTTGAGTACATAGCCAATGCCAATGGGAGGGATCCCACTTCTTACCCATCCCTGTATGAAGATGCTTTGAGAGAGGAGGGAGAGGGAGTCTGAGCATGAGATGCAACCAGGGCCAGCGGGCAGGGAAATGGGCCAATGCATGCTTCAGGGCCACACCCAGCAGTTTCCCTGTCCTGTGTGAAATCAGGCCCATTCTTCCCTCTGTGTTTGATGAGAGAAGTCAGTGTTCTCAGTAGTAGAAGGCACAGTGAATGGAAGGGAACACATTGTATACTGCCTTTAGGTTTCTCTTCCATCGGGTGACTTGGAGATTTCTTTTTGTTTCCCTTTGGTAATTTTCAAATATTGTTCCTGTAATAAAAGTTTTAGTTAGCTTCAACATCTAAGTGTATGGATGATACTGACCACACATGTTGTTTTGCTTATCCATTTCAAGTGCAAGTGTTTGCCATTTTGTAAAACATTTTGGGAAATCTTCCATCTTGCTGTGATTTGCAATAGGTATTTTCTTGGAGAATGTAAGAACTTAACAATAAAGCTGAACTGGTGTTGTGAAACAGAGAAATAAAAGGAGAAGGTCATTAATTCTTGTCTTCTTATCCATATTAATCTGTTGTTCTATGAAAGTACACACCCATACACACATGTACACCCCCCTCCCCCCACATACATATTCACCAAGGAAATGCAGTTTCCTACTGAGTTGCAGATTCTCTGAGATGTCCTGGACAATAAAAAATATTCCAAAGTAGAGAGTGGTAGCACCTGGGGTCACAGTAATACTAGAAATAGCTGTCAATCATTAAATATCCAGTACATGCCAGGCATCATCCCAGGTGTTTTAATACATTTTATACATTACAACAGTCCTAAAAAAATGGTCTATCAAACCCATTTTCTGGATGAACCTGAGTCTCATGGTGCTTGGTAACTTTCCCAAGATCATATCACTGGTAAACCACAAGGTTGGCCTGAATTCATCTAGAGCCCATTCTATTCTCACTCTTTGCAGCCTGAAGTACACCTCTGTCCCTTAATTCATTTGTTTTCTCAGTACTGCATAATGTCTCTCAAGTGGCCAAAAGAAGGACACTGTGGACGTGGTACTGAAAGCGGGCCTACAAAAGGAAGGTGACAATGAGAATGAAACATAATCTGGGGATAGTCTGTGGGCTTTATTAACCTAGGGTCCTCCTGCCTGAGCCCTAGGGTTCCTGAGAGCTGACTCTACCCAAGTGCAGGAATTTCTGTCCAACCCTAACACTTTCTCGCGCCACAGAGGCCTTCCCTTGGTCTCCCTCATGTGCCCTTTCTTCCAATTGGAATCTGGCCTGCTTCCTGCTCCTCCCTGCTGCTTGCTGTGAAGGCTAAGCGGAATCACCTGCCTTCCCCTTTACACATCCTGTCATCCCAACTGTGTGTCTAAATACACCCTCGAACTTTTCTAAATAGATGGTGAGTGGAATGTGATTAGCACATGATATACTATTCTTGAGATACGAAGTTACAGAGAGAGAGTTTTTTAAAGCCATTTTGTTATTCGTAATAGGAATTTAATGGGGTGTTTTATTTGAAACTGGTCACTGAACACATACAAGGATGAATGACCTTACCTTGGTGGTGAAAATCTAAACTCTCTCGCATAAGCTGGAGATGAGGAAAGAACATGGAAATCACTGTGGAGTCAACATCTACTGAGGCTGAACTAAAACCCCAGAGTCTCCCAGGAGGTGAAAAATGCTGCCTTGGTGGGAGTACTAGCTCAAATTTTAGTAGAATAATTAACCAAGTTTCTACTTTCTCTTGTCTAGTACTTGCCCCACAGGAAAATATGTGCTTTCATTGTGTCTAAAGGCACCTGACAGGTGTTTAGGCATGTGAAGGGTAGCAGAAACTCACAGGTTAAAATTTTGACCAGGAATCAAATGGAGGAAAAGTTCAAAGCCTACTAATTGTTTAAAGGGTATTATAAAGGGAAGATTCCCTGATGAGCCTTCCTGCTGAGACTTTCAAAGTTCTTGGACAGTTGTGATCTTACATTTCAAAGCATCAGTCACGTAGCAGGCACTTGAAAATGTTAGAGAACTTCAAGGCAAATGTGGGCTTCTCAGAAACTCTAGCAATGACAAGGGTTGTGTAATACCAAATTATCATAATTGCTTTTTTTGAGCACCTCCTACATAACAGTTTATGGGGGAGACTATACCACTCACTCACATTTTGTCTTTGTCTCCTTCCCGGACACATGGGAACAGTACAGCCCACTTGCAGTTAGGAAGGGTCATGTGACCACTTGTTACCACTGAAACATGAGCAGAAGTGTTGTTTGTCACATCCAGGCATTTGAGAACCAGTGTGCCATTTCCAAGTTTTCTTCCTCCATCCAACAGTAAACATGGCAGTTTCATTTTGAGATGATGGAATCACAAGGTGGAAGCAGCCTGGATCCCTGGGTCATGTGAGAGTGGAGAGCCCCTGCCAAACCGCATCAGAACTTATGGGCACATAAAATAAACTTTTCTTGTGTCAATCCATTCAAATTTTAGGGTTTGTCTGTTGCATCAACTAGCGGTTATTTTTACTGACTAATACACAGCAACTATTTTTGCTGCTTTTCTTATTTAAAGAGTCTCATCACAAAAATAGCAGTGTGTATATGTATTCTTGTTGCAAACAATCTAAATATACAGATATATTGTAATTTCTCCCTTTCCAAAGTCCTTCCACAATTTAAGCCCCATCACAGAGTTCACCATAATTATTAATCTGATATGTATTATTTTAAAGCTGATTTTAGGCTTCTTATATATAGATGTGCTATGCAAATACTAGCATATTGGTCATTTTGATAATGATGTATATATTGATATGCTACTTGCCTTTACCACTTAATAAAATGGATACAGAATCTTACCATGACAGTATGTATGTATCTCCCTCGATTTTGTAACCACTCTCTAGAATCTTAAAGCATTAATATGCCATAATCAATTAAACCATTCTATACCTGACAGATAAATAAATTGTTCTCTACTTGTTATGATTAATAGAACTAAAATCAACATCATTGAACATGAATTATTGTGCAAATGTGCATTTTTTTTACTAAGAAATACTTAACAATGTGAACATGAGGTTAAAGAGGAAAGGGTGGAAACAGTTTACAGTTTTATAAATATTGCAGACCTTTCAATCCAAAATCTGAAGCAATTCATGTTCTCACAGATTAATGTGTAGGAGATCAGTCAGGGTAGTGAGAGAAATTATAAGAAGGAGTTATAGGAAAAACACAAACCTTCTTGGAAGGCCAGGAGGTTTTGCAAAAGCTTCGAAAGATAATTTGGCTGAAGGCCGCCAAAGTCTCTTATCCAGAGCCTGAGAGCAAAAGGGAGATAAGAAGGAAGTGTAAATAAATTGATCTAGATAAGCTAGTTTACTTAGGCCTCAGAACCTGGTCTTTAATCATCCATGCACAGGACTGCTCTCTCTGTGGGGGGCAACCATGTTAATTACCCACAAGATGTATTGACTCAAAGGATCTGTACTGAATACTTGCCTGCAGCGCTGGCTTGTTGGGGCCGAGGCTGCTACAACTCTTTCTGTGAACAGCCCAGTCCCCTAGCCCCCTGTTTCACTGGATACCTGTGTGTGAGTACATTTTTTCATCTGTCGCTTGGTCAGGGTCTGCCGGTCAGACCCGGCAGGTGGTGCCCCGTGTGAGGAACACTGCAACGGATCACAACGGAACCCTCGAAAACGAAGGTGAAGAGACTGCGCAGTCATTAAGTCAATAAGTCATAGGTGCCCGCTCGGGATTTCTAAGTTCGAAGGAATTGTTCAGGCTAGGGTTTCATCATCGGACAACAGGTATCAGCGCAACAGCAACAGTATATAAAAGTATTGAAACAGCTGCTTAAAGCTAGCAGAGCCTCAGTTTCGCAGGCTCAGTTAAGGGACCTAATGCAAACTGTTGCTTCCCATAACCCATGGTTCCCGGAAGAAGGTACGCTAGACGTAGAGCTCTGGGAACAAGTTGGGAGAAATCCTAAACAACATCATGCACAAGGGCAGCGGGTCCCAGTAACATCTCTAACGTTATGGGCTTTAGTTAGGGTTGCTTTGGTCCCGCTATACACAGAAGAGCCTAAAAAGGGGAGGGAGGAGGAACCATCACCTACCTTACCACTTCTATCTCCCTCAGCCCGGCTGTTTCTGGGCAAATGTACCAAAGAGGTTTTGCCTAAGCCCTCTCCTCCAATAAATTGGAAAAAAGACAAGGGATACGCTACAGCTATAGGACCCTATCTTAGGCAAGTGGCATTTGAAGGGGAGCTCTTGGCCTGCCTGGTAATGCAAAATCAACAAGGCAATCGGGTATATGAACCCATTTCTTTTAATGCTTATAAAGAGATAAGAAAAAGCATTAAAGAAAACAGAGCCACTAGCCCATTTGCAAAAGGAATAATTGAAGCCATGTCAGACAACTTCTGTATGACCCCATGGGACTGGTCAGTGCTAGCTAAAACAACTTTGGGGCCCAGCCAATACCTCCTCTGGAGGGCAGAATATGCGAACAACAAGCCAACCAGAATCAATTGGCCGGGCAAAACATAACAGCTGCTATGCTCCAGGCGAGGGGTCCCCATGCTGATGCACAACAACAACTAAATTTTGATCCCCAGGCCTATGCACAAGTGTCTTTGTGCACTCTCAGGGCTTGGGACTGAATTCCCGAGAGCAGAGTTCAACAGGGATCTTTTATAAATGTTTGACAAGGGCCTCAGGAGCCATTTGTTGAATTTATCAATCGGTTAACCCAGGCAATTAAAAGACAAATTAGTCATGCCCAGGCCGCTGTTATCTTATTGTTGCAATTGGCTTATGAAAATGCTAACATCGACTGCCAGCAAGCAATGCAGGCAATCAGAGGAAAGGCAGCCATAGTTGGGGAACTTATACAAGCGTGTCAACTGGTGGGGACTGAAACACACAAAGCAAAAATATTGGCTATGGCATTAAGGCCTCCTAAAGTGAAAAAGGAGAGAAACCCAAATTGTTTTCTATGTGGAGAGCCAGGCCATATGAAGCAGGAATGCCCCAGTAGTAGAGAGCAAGGTAATTCAGGAAAAGAACCCCCTTCTATATGCCACTGATATAAAAAGGGGAAACATTGGGCAAATCAGTGCGGGTCCAAATTTGATAAAAACAGCAACCCCCTAAGTAATCAGGCGGGAAACTTCATGAGGGGCCAGCCCCAGGCCCCGCTCCAAACGGGCAATGCCAGCGGCTTTCTTCAGTCAGATGGAAAGCCCACAGTCCTCTCTCTCAGAGCAGCCACCACTGGGAGCGCAGGACTGGACTTAACTCTGCCCCAACGAATTAGTGCTAAAAGAAAGAGAAGACCCTAAAAGGGTTGCAACCAGGATCTGGGGCCCACTGCCTCCGGGAACAGTGGGATTAGTCCTAGGGCAATCAAGGCTATCCAGTCAAGGGATTAATGTGCTCACTTGAGTAATTGATAGTGATTATCAAAGTGAAATATTAGTTATGATGGAACGTAAAGGTCTGCATATTCTTCTCCCTGGATCAAAGATAGCCCAGTTAATACTCTTACCATACTGGGTCCCCAAAGCCCAGGGAAAAGAAAGGGGAAAGGGAAGTTTTGGAAGCACGGGAGCCACAGGAGTATATTGGAACCAATTAATCGCTTATCAGAGACCCATGATTACCTTAAAAATTGGAAATAAAAATGTTACTAGCTTATTGGACACAGAGGTGGATATTTCAATCATTAGCGATCAAAACTGGCCAGAAACTTGGCCTTCGGTCACTCAGAAACGAAAAATTGTCGGCATCGGGGAAGCGCACACAGCCAAGCAGAGCACACGCCCCCTAATATGTTGCGATTTGGAGGGAAGAAAAACAGTTATACAACCTCTAATCATGTCCATCCCTGTTAATCTTTGGGGGCGGGACCTATTAGCCCAATGTGGGGATCACTCTACAGACCCCTTTCTAATAATGGCCACTGTTGTAATTCTTCCCCTACCCCTCACGTGTCTCTCTCTAGATCCAGTTTGGGTAGAACAGTGGCCTTTAAAGGGAGAGAAATTACAAAGAGCCCATGAACTAGTTGAGGAGCAATTAAAAGCCAGCCATATAGAACCATCAAATAGCCCTTAGAATTTGCCCATTTTTGTCATTCCCAAAAAGTCTGGTAAATGGAGACTTTTGCATGACTTATGTGCTATTAATGCTAATTTGTAACCTATGGGGCCCCTTCAACAGGGGCTCCCTTCCCCCACGGCGATTCCTCAAGATTGGCCTACAGTTGTTATTGACTTAAAAGAGTGCTTTTGTACTATTCCCCTTGCAAAACAGGGCAGAGAAAAATTTGCGTTTACAATACCAGCTATCAATAATGAAAGGCCAGCTTGCAGATTTCATTGGAAAGTGCTTCCTCCAGGAATGCTGAACAGTCCTACCATGTGTCAGTAACATGTAAATCAAGCTTTGCTCCCCAGTAGAAAATAATTTCCTAATTGCAAGATTATTCATTTTGTGGATAATATTTTACCAGCAGCCCCAACAGAGCCAGTACTTTTAAGTTTATATTCCTCTGTCGTAAAGAACACGCAGTTAAGAGGTTCAATCATAGCACCTGAAAAAGTACAAATGTCCTCTCCTAGGAAATACCTTGGGCACATACTAACTTCCCGGTCAGCAAAACCTCAAAAGGTTAAATTAAATACTAGCAACTTACACACCTTAAATAATGACCAGAAATTACTAGGCAATATTAACTGGCTTCGCCCCACCTTAGGCATAACTACTTATAAGTTCCAAAACCTGTTTTCTATATTAAAAGGCAATGCTGCTCTAGACTCTTCTAGGCACTTAACTCCTGCAGCATAAAGGGAAATTGAGGGAGTAGAGCAAGCTATTTCTCACAGGCAACTAGATTGCATAGCTCCATGATATTCAGTTCAGTTGTTTGTTTTTCCCACTAAACATTCCCCAAGAGGATTAATAGGACAGATGGGCCCAGGGCTGCACTTTCTAGAATGGGTTTTTTGCCCACATAATAGGACTAAAACACTCTCTCTATATATCCAGCTAATTAGTAAAGTCATCCATTCAGGCCGCAGACAATGCAATAGGTTGCTAGGTTATGATCCTGATGTCATCAGAATTCCTTTGAGTAAAAAGCAATTCGAAGCAGTATTGCCTTTATCTTTAGGCCTGCAAACAGCACTCTCTGATTACACAGGCCATGTAGAGCATGCCCTTCCTGCTGATAAATGACTTCAGTTCTTATCTCATACTTCTGTGGTTTTGCCTGCAAAAATAGCTCACTCCCCCATACCTAACATTTTAACACTGTTTACCGATGGCTCTGGTAAACATGGAAAAGCGGCTATTTGGTGGAGACCGCATAATTCCCTCATTCATTCTGGATTTACTAGCACTCAGAGAGCTGAAGTTGGAGCCTTAATATTGGCCTTCGAGAATTTTTTCGCTCAACCCATCAATATTGTTAGTGACCCTGCTTACTCTATTTATTTACTGCAGAACCTTGAAACAACCCTCATTAAGTCCACTCTGGAGCCCACACTGTGTGCACTTTTTGTTCGACTTCAGCAATTGCTAGATCAACGTACACATCCTATTTTTATCACATATATTCGAGCCCACAGCTCACTGCCTGGCCCACTGGCTTATGACAATGAACAAGCAGACCTACAAGTGGTGACATCACGGCTTAACCAATCCACCCAATAACATCAATTTTCCCACCAAAATTGGAGAAACTTATCCAAACGATTTCAACTTATCCAGAGAGTAGCTAGACAAATTATCCTGCAATGCCCAGATTGCCAGCTCACAGGCACATCCCCTCCTTCTACAGGTGTTAACCCTAGAGGACTAGAACCTAATCAGTTATGGCAAACAGATGTTAGACACATCCCTGAATTTGGAAAACTAAGATATGTACATGTGTCCATTGATACCAATTCTCATGTAATTAGTGCTCATGCCTTTCCTGGAGAGTCCACCCGATATGTCATTAAACATCTTCTTTTAACTTTTGCATTTATGGGGCGGCCCACAAAGAATAAAACTGATAACGGTCTGGCTTATGCCAGCTCACAGCTTCAACAATTTTGTCACATGTGGAACATCCAACATTCCACAGGCATCCCGCATAACCCCCCAAGGACAGGCCATAGTAGAACGTGTCCATTTCACCTTTAAAAATATGCTCAAAAAAACAAAAAAGGGGGAATATGAGTTAAGGACACTGCAACACTATTGGCACAAGCCTTATTTACCCTTAATTTTTTAAATTTAAAGATAAATTTCCATCAGCTGTAGAAAAGCACTTTGCTAAAACCTCTCAAGACATAAAACCTGCTGTTTTACAGAAAGTTGTAAACAGTAATGTATGGTATGGTCCAAATGAATTGCTTAAATGGGGGAAAGGATATGCTTGTGTTCACACCCCCTCAGATCCTCTTTGGATTCCAGCAGGATGCATCAAACCATACCATGGCATGACTAGGACCCAACCCATACCAGAAATGAAGAAAATGACCCTGCAGGACCCGCAGCCCCAGACAATACTGCTTCCTCGGATGACACAAGCCCCAGACATTACCTGGGGGATGCTGAAGAAGACAACTCAGGAGGCCGAGCGAATCCTGCTCCGGACACAGACACCATTCACTCCAGATAATTTGTTCCTTGCTATGCTCTCTGTTGTACATTGCAACTCATGTAGGGCATTGATCCTTTTTATGCTCTCGCTTTGTCTGCAATCTGCACCTGCTGCACTCTATTGGACTCATCGCTTAGATCTGCCCTTCTTCTGCCCCATCACCTGGGCAGACACCCCCTTCCCAGCCTCTAATAACATAACTGCTTGGCTGGGAGAGATAGATTTACCCCTAGTGGGGTCCCTCATTAATGGCACACAGTGGACTAAGGTGCCAGGTAACACTACATATCACTCCACTATCCTCCCACTGTGTGTAAGTTATAAAAGTTCTAACCCTTACTGTGTACCTGCTCAAACACAATTTTGGCTACATTGTGGCAAAGGAAATGCTTTAACAGTCTTAGTAGCAGGTAGCCTCAAACCAGGCAATGCAATCAATGCCATTTTCCCAAACATTCCTCCCTGTGCTAAAGAACAAAGCTGGGAAAGTAATGGATTCCACTTTAGCTGGGAGGTCTGTCACGGGGAACAGGCCTGTAGCCTCCAGTTAAGCAATTATAACATCTTAGACTGGAGTCCTCCCAGCCATTTGCAGGGCGATCGTATTGATGTCCATGTCTATCTTGGCATCAATGGCAGTTTTGTAGCCACATCCCGTTCCCCTATAATTTGGGCCGATGGGGGGAGGGATATCCCAGACCCCAAGTAGAGTCCATGCCACCCCAAGACACTTTATGGCACCTGGGACATCTTAGCACTTCCCTTAACACCTGGCATGGGACATATCATAATTCCAGTCACAATTATACTATGACCTTTTTTCATAATCACACCGATCAGTGCCTGATTTGCCTGATTTGCACTACCCATCCATATGTTTTCCTTATGGGAACCAATATTTCTATTACACCCCAAAACTCCACGTTTGTGACTCGAATGCAGGGACAGGCTTGGTTCATCTCTTGTATCACTAATTATAATATATCTAATTTAAATATTGCTAGTGTCATGGTATTGAGGAGACAATCTGAGGCTTTCCTACCGGTCAATTTAACATGCAATTGGCAAGGTTCCTCTGCCCTTGCCACCTTAGAATGTGCCCTGTCCCAGGTCAGACGCAAAAGATTTATAGTTACACTTATAGCCTTTATGGTCTCAGCCATAGTCATCCTAGCAACTGCTAGTGTTGCTGTAGCATCTATTACTGAATCAGTACAGACAGCTACTTTTGTAGATAATTTGGCCAGAAATGTGTCTGATGTACTTCTCTTACAGCAGGGTATAGATCAAAAGATTCTTGCACATCTGCAAGCCCTTGAGGCTGACTTGGAATATGTAGGGGAGCAACAAGATGCACTTGCGTTCCAACAGCAATTAAACTGTGACTGGGAGCTTAGGCACATCTGTGTTACCTCTCTACCTTGGAATCAATCAATACATAGTTGGGATAAGGTGAAACAGCACCTCTGGGGAACCTTTCGTGATAATTTAACAGCAGACGTAAAGCAACTTAAAACTAAAATTCTAGAATCCCTAAACGCCATAGACCTACAAGCCCAACAAATAGCCATACGGAAGGGTATGAGAGAACATCTCTCCTGGATAGATCCCCACTCCTGGGGGTCACTCCTTGATTGGAAAAGAACGTTGTGAATTATACTCATGTTTGCCTTATGTTATTTACTAATTCTAGGATTCAAAGCCAGAATATGAGTTATAACCGCTGTGCCAGACAAACATGTTGCTGTACACATCTGTGCTCTTCAATCAACAAAATCTGATGCAAAAAAACAGAAAAGGGGGAGATGTAAGAGATAGGTCAGGGTGGTGGGAGAAATTATAAGAAGGAATTATAGGAAAAACACAAGCCTTGGAAGGCCAGGAGGTTTTGCAAAAGCTTCAAAAATTTGGCTGAAGGCAGCCAAAGTCTCTTATCCAAAGCCAGAGAGCAAAAAGCAGATAACAAGGAAGTGTAAAGGAATTGATCTAGATCAGTTAGTTTACTTAGGCCCGAAACCTGGCCTTTAACCATCTGTGTGCAGGACTGCTCTCTCTGGGGGGCGGCCATGTTAATTACCCACAAGATGTGTTGACTCAAAGCCTTTGTCATTAAATCTGTAGTGAATATTTGCCCGCAGTGCCGGCTTGTTGGGGCCATGGCTGCTACAACTCTTTATGTGAATGGCCCAGTCCCCTAGCCTTCTCTTTCACTGGATACCTGTGTCTGAGTACATTTTTTATCCATCGCTCGGTCAGCGTCTGCCAGTCAGATCTGGCATTAATGTATGTGGACATTTTATACTCTCGTGAACATTTTACTATATTAATTTTAAAATTTTGATCAAAAATATGAGTGAAAAATATTTTCTCAATGTTACTTTAATTTGTGTCTCTGCATTTTCTAGCTAGGTTAATTAGAACACTAAGTTAATTTCTTACCCATACGAAGCTGGATTTATGCAGTGTTCTAAGTAAGACTATTCCTCTGGGCATGATTTAAAATTTAAAATTTTGAAATGTCAACATATGTTTTTCATTTGAGGAAAAAAGATTCAGTCAGACTGACCAGGAGGCACGGAAGGAGAGCAGACAGGACATGCTCAGCCCGTGAGGGGCATTGGGTGGATCCAGGGGAGAGCAATTGTCAGAGTTCATGAGTGAGACCACATGCAAAACCAAGTCCACAGAGCCCCAGGCAGGCTGGCACTCAGAGCTCTGAATCCAGAGTTCAGCCCACTAGGGACAGGGACCCTGGAACCCAGGGGAAAGAAGCCAGAGGGGGAGGGAGTATACGACAATGTACAGGAGTAGTTTTGAGAAATCTGAGAAGAACAATCATCAGCTGGGTTGGCATTTCACTGTCTTGATGGTGTCCTTTGAAGCCCAAAAGTTTAAAATCTTTGTGAAGTCCAATTTATCTATTTTTTTTCTGTTCATGCTTTTGGTGTCATATCTAGGAATTATTTGCCTAATCTAAGGTCATGAAGATATACCCCTATGTTGTTTTCTGCAAATTTTATAGTAATAGCTCTTATATTTAGGTCTTTTGTTCATTTTGAGTTAATTTTTGTATATACTGTGAGGTAAGGTCAAACTTCATTCTTTTGTATGTGCTTATCTAGCTGCCCCAGCACCATTTGTTGAAAAGATCATTCTTTCCCCCATTGGGTTCTCTTGACACCCTTATTAAAATCAGTTGTCCCCAGAGACATGAGTTTATTTCTGGACTCTCAATTCTATTTCATGGATCTATACTTCTATCCTTGTACCACTACTGTCTTGACCAGTTGCTTTGTCATAAATTTTGAAATCAGGAAGTGTGAGTCTTCCTATGTTTTTTCTTTTATCAAGGATGTTTAGACTAAAATGGGTACCATTAATATTTGACAAGGAAAATCAATTGTGGGAATAGCATTTTTAAAACATTTTATGTGTCATTTTTAAAGAATTCTTACTTTTGTGGGTACATAGTAGTTGTACATCTCATAAGTACATGAGATGTTTTGATACAGGCATGAAATGTGTAATAATCACATCATGTGAAATGGGGTACCCATCCCCTCAAGCATTTACTCTTTGTGTTACAGACAATTCAATTATGTTCTTTTAGTTATTTTAAAATAACTAAAAACTATTGACCATAGTCACCCTGTTGTGACTTAACAAAATGATCTCCAGTTCCATCCATGTTGTTGCAAATGATAGAATCTCATTCTTTTTGATGGCTGAGTAGCACTCCATTGTGTATATGTACCATATTTTATTTAGCCATTCATCTGTTGATGGAAATTTAGGTTGCTTCCGAATCTTGGCTGTTTTGAATAGTGCTGTAACAAACATGGGAATACAGATATCTCTTTGATATACTGATTTCCTTTCTTTTGAGTATATGCTCAGCAATGGGATTGCTGGATCATATGGTAGCTCTATTTTTAGTTTTTGGAGGACCCTTCAAACTGTTCTTCATAGTGGTTATACTAATTTACATTCCCACCAACAGTGTATGGGAGTTCTCTGTTCTCTACATCCTTGCAAACATTTGTTGTTGCTGTCTTTTGGATATAAGCCATTCTAACTGGGGTGAGATGATATCTCACTGTAGCTTTGATTTGCATTTCTCTGATGATCAAACAGGCAGAGCACTTGTTACATGCTTGTTTGCTATATGTATGTCTTCTTTTGAGAACTGTCTATTCAAATCAATAAGGAATTCTCTATAAATACATATACGTGAATATATTTCTAGACTCTCTCTTTAGTTCCATTGACACATTTCTATTGTTATGACAATACTACACTCTTCTGATTATTGTGACTTTATAATAAGCCTTGAAATTAAGTAGTGTAACCCATGCAACTTTTGTTGTCTTTTTTTTTTAACTTATTACACTTTAAGTTCTGGGATACATGTGCAGAACGTGCAGGTTTCTTACACAGGTATACACGTGTTGTTGTCTTTTTAAAAGTTATTTTGGCTACTCTAAGTTCTTTGTACTTATACATGAATGTGAACACCAGCCTGTCAATTTCTATTTTTAAAAAAGTCTTTCAGGTTTTTGATATGGATTTTATTGAATCTATATATGAATTTGGAAAGAATGTACATCTTAACAGTAGTAAGTCTTCCAACTCATGAATAAGATAGCTATCTCCATTTATTTAGGAGACAAATACCAAAATAAACTTTATTTAGGCATTTATCCTTCATTAATTTATCACTGCAATATTTCTTAGTTTTTGGTGTACAGATCTTCTACATATTTCATCATAGTTATGTCTATGTATTTCATGTTTTCTAGTGTTACTTTTATTTTATTATTTTATTTTGAGACGGAGTTTCGCTCTTGCTGCCCAGGCTGGAGTGCAGTGGCGAGGTCTCGGCTCACTGCAACCTCCATCTCCCAGGTTCAAATGATCCTCCAGCCTCAGCCTCCCATGTAGCTGGGATTACAGGTGCCCGCCACCACACACTGCTAATTTTTGTATTTTTCATAGAGACGGGGTTTCACCACGTCGGCCAGGTTGTTCTCGAACTCCTGACTTCAGGTAATCCGCCTGCCTCGGCCTCCCAAAGTGCTGGGATTGCAGGTGTGATCCTTCACGCCTGGCCTAGTGTTACTTTTAAATCATACTGTTTTTAATTTCAATTTCCAATTTCTCATTGCTAGTATATAAAATAGAATTAATTTTTGTGTATTGATATTTTATCTTGTGACCATGCCAAATTCAATTATTAGTTCTAGAAGCATTTTTATTTTAGATTTGTACAGGTTTCTGCATAGACTAAAGACGGTTTTGCTTTTCCCTTTCCAATCTGGAGGTCTTTTTCTCTCTTCGTTGCACTGAGCAACAAGTATAATGTTGAACAACCACTCCACCTCTGTGAACTCAAATGTCTTAGGTTGTAGTTTCCTGCATGCAAACACCCCGCACAACTTCTGGCAAATGAATATCTCCCTCATCCCTCCTGTTAAAACCCAAATCTGGTACTACACAGACTGAGATGAACACAATGCCCATAGTTGAAACAAGACTAATAAGATACTCAGTAGAACAAGGCTGTTTACAGCATGAGAGCCTGACAGCCTGAAGGCAGCGATTTCAGATTGGAAAACAGAAAACTGAAGGGACCTCTATGGACACTAGGAAAAGAATGCGGGATGGAACTTTTCCCTGACAGTAACCAAGAAGTGAGTGGTCTTCAAGTTACATAGGATAAATTTTTAGGAGGGAAGTGGGATGATTCACATCTCTGCATACAGCTAAATCGGCCATATTACCTTGGAGGGATTTTTGGTAAGATGTACAAAAATTAGATAATCGTGAAGGGTAGGAGAGAATGGAGTGAGCCACTCAATGAGGTGGCCATGGGGGAAGGCTTGGAGGGAACACTCTCTCCCCACGATGTGACCCACCAGAACTTAATATGGGGAGATGGAGAGGGTAGCAGGTTAGTTTGGATGGCTGTATAGGGTTGCTAATGAAATGCTACGTTTCTCCAACCAGAGCATCTTGGCCCCCTCACTGCCACCCCTCCCCCACCATCACCACAGAGGTGTCAGGTTGGTGCTTTGTATATTTAAGCCTTCCAGAGCCACCACTGGATGGGTAGTGGCTCTCTGACTAGTCAAAGCTTAGGGATGTGGTTCGTCATTGTCCTGGGAGGGGTATATATGGGGAGGCCAGGTGGCCTGGAGTAGACCATTGAGAGACGAGGACAAGGTGAAGATGGCCAAGAAACCATAAGCCTCCAGCCCAGTTGTGGAACAACCACCTGCCAACACCAAAGAGGCGAGGAGGAGGAAGACCCCTTCTCAATCAAGGTCCAGAAGCCCTATCAAGGTGAGGAACCCACCCAAGCTCCTCCTCGTCTTCCCCTTGACTCCTCCCTCCCAAGACTTCTACCCTATCCTGGCCTGACACAACCCCCCACCCCAGCCTGTATCCCTTCTCATGAAACCCGTCTTTCCATCCCTCCTCCATCCACTTCCCCAAAACCAATGCCTTTCTGTGATCTCCTTGTTGTCCTTTCAGGTTCCCAAACCAGCAAGGGAAAAGAAACACTTTGATGGCGTTCCAGAAAAGAAGCCTCTCCCAAAATGACCACTGCTTGAGGAAAACTCCAGGAAGGGAGTAGGCCAACACTACCAGGCCACCGTGACCAGCTGAATGAGGAGCTCAATCAAAACGAGCCACAGCGGGACCAAAACCATCTCCAGTGTGTCCCCTGGGCAGCCAGTAATTTCAGGGCAATACCAGAGACCTGAGATCTATCTGCAAAGTCACCAGAGGTCTAGTCCCCAGAGAAATAGCCAACAAGGTCTAGGGTACATTTTATACCCAGCAGGGCATGCTCCATGGTGATGAAAATTAAATGACTCATAGAACAGAAATATATAAAAATATATGTTGAATGTTAACAGGTATTTTCACAGGTTTGACTTGTTTCTTGATAGTTATTCAGACACTAGGGGAAGGTAAATAAAAGTAAATGAAATAAGCAACTAAATGAGACCTAATAATTGGCCTTTGATTTTAAATATTTAATTTGTTATTATAAACCTTATCAATAACAATAAATCTAAATCAAAAAAGAAAACTAAATGAGTCTGTTGTAAACTGATATGTGTGTCTACATGTTCTCCGATGGTGGGGAGAGAGGAAGGAGGGAAGAGGTAGTGTGTGGGAAGAGATGGAGGTGGGTGTTGCCCGGTTGGGGTCACATGGGCAACCCCAGCCAGGTTGATTCACAGTTAGCCAAGCACATAGGAGAAGGATTGGGTCGGGGCTGAATTCTGGAGACAAATTTCCTCCTTAACACATTGGCCCATGGGAGAAGAGGAAAAGGTTGGTATATCCGTGTGTGCTTGCAGGGCTGTGGACCCAGCTGGGGAGAGGAGTTATGTGTATGGTTCCAGCGTCGCCCCCCATAAAAGGCACACAAAGTAATTGCCCTCATAAAAACCAAAAACCTTCCTACTAAAAATCATGAACAGCACTCTGAAGCACTAAATTAATGGTGTTTGGACATTGAAAATCCAACACTGATTCAGCAACACTCTCGCTTAAAAAATACCTTTGGAATGGAGCAGTTGGCTACCAAGGATGGGGTGTGGGAGTGGCTCCTCCCCCGTGCAGGCAATAAAGGGGAGCATTGTCTACATATTATTATTCAAGTTCAATTTTTATTTGAGACAATTGTAGACTCACATGCAGTTGTAAGAAATAATACAGATAGACCCTGTGCACCCTTTATGTACCTTCCTCTAATGATAACATCTTGCAAAAGTGTAGTACAGTATCACAATTAGGATATTAACTTGATACAGTCAAGACATAGAACAGTCACCACAAGGGTCCCTCATGTTGCCCTTTTATAGCCACAGCCACTTTCTTCCTACACCACCTTCTCCTCCTCAACCCCTAGAAACACCACTCATCTGTTCTGTATTTTTATCATTTTATCATTTCAAGAATGTTATTTGAATGCAGTCATACAATTATGTAAGCTTTTGGTACTGGCTTTTTAAAAATCTGGCATGACTGTCTGGCGATTCATCCAGCTTATTGTGTGTATGAACAGTCTATTTCTTTTCATTGCTGAGTAGTATTCCAAGGGACCTGGATGAACCACAGGTTTTGTTTGTTTGTTTGTTCGAGATGGAGTTTCGCTCTTTCACCCAGGCTGGAGTGAAGTGGCGTGATCTCAGCTCATTGCAATCTCCGCTCCCCGCCGGGTTCAACTGATTCTTCTGCCTCAGCCTCCCAAATAGCTGGGATTGTAGGTACCCGCCACCATGCCCGGCTAATTTTAAATTTTTAGTAGAGACGGGGTTTCGTCATGTTGGCCAGGCAGGTCTCAAACTCCTGACCTCAGGTCATCCACCCGCCTCGGCCTCTCAAAGTGCTAGGATTACAGGTGCGAGCCATCGCACCCGGCCAGCAGTTGTCTTTTAAACCATTAGTCTGTTGAGGGACATCTGGGCTGTTTCCAGTACTTGCTTATTAATAAAGCTGCAGTGAACATTCTTGTACAGGATTTCGTGTGAATATAAGTTGTTAGTTTTCTAAAATAAATTCCCAGGTGTGTGATTGCTGGGTTGTTTGTTAGTTGTATATTTAGTTCTAGTTGTTTTTTAATGAATAGGCTTTATTATTAGAAAAATTTTGGACTGGTAGAAAATTGAGGAGATAGTACGTTTCCCATATACTCCTTTTGTCCCCTGTACAAAGTTTTCTCTATTATTATCCTCTGCTAGTATGCTACATTTTTCACAATTAATGAACTAGTATCATTATTGATACATTGTTTTTAACTAAAGTCCGTAGTTTACATGAAGGTTCACTCTTTGTGTTGCAAGGATCTTTGGGTTTTGACAAATGCATAATATTGTGTATCCACCATTACAGTTTCACCACCCAATGAATATGTGTGCTTCACCTATTTATCCCTCCCTTGCTGCCTCCAAAACTCTGGTAACCACTGATCTTTGTAACTGTCTCTCCAGCTTGCCTTTTCTAGAAAGTCATGCAGTTGGAATCACACAATATGTTGTCCTCTCAGACCGGCTTCTTCACTAGGTTCCTCCGTGGGTTTTTTGTTTGTTTGTTTATTTGTTTGTTTTTATCGTTGTTGTTTACAGACAGTGTCTTGCTCTGTCACCCAGGTTGGAGTGCAGTGGTACCATCACAGCTCACTGTCCATAATAAACCTTGAACTCCTGGGCTCAAGAAATCCTTCTGCCTCAGCCTCCTGAGTAGCTGTGACTACAGGCACACACCACCACGCTCAACTATTTTCTTAAATTTTTGTACAGACAGGGTCTCAGTATATTGCTCAGGCTGGTCTTGAATTCCTGGCCACAAACGATCCTTCCACCTTGGTATCCCAAAGTGCTGGGATTCCAGGTGTGACTCATCGTACCCGACCTGACTTATTTTTATTGATAACATTTCATTGTCTGTAAGTACCACCGTTTATTAATTCATTCACGTATTGAGCACCTCTTGGTTGCTTCCAATTTTTGGCAACTATGAATAAAGGAATTTCCACTAAAGGAAAACGCTTGCTCACAAGTAGAGATAGAATCCAGGCAAAAATCTAGTCCACTACTAGTTCATGCAGCTCCAGAGGCAAAGAGGAAATGCGGTTTGTGGACAAGTTACTGTTGGAAGAATGATGGTTTTTGATGACAGCTGCAAGGTACACAAGCCCATTCTGTGATAATACCTCAAATGAATGCATCACTTTGTTAGCTTCCAGCTGCAGATGCTGAGCCACAGCTTCTATAACCCCCACCCAGAAACCTGCTCCCCAGAGCTCTTCTGTAAAGCTGCTGGCTCCAGGCATGTCCCTCATGCTTCAGGGTGTGGAGGCCCTCCAGGGCTGGCTACACCGGGGTCCTGAGTTGGCCTAAGCTTGTGGAGGACCAGAGAGGTTGTGCCAGGCAGAGGCTTAATATCACCTTTCAAAATTAAACAAGAAAATATCTTTTTATTGGAAATTTCTGGTTTCTGGTCTGGCATATAAGGAGCTTAGAAGTCATCACTCTCATCCTCACAACAAGAACAGAAACTGAGCAAAGCAGAAATCAGTAACTCTTCTCAGATTCATCGGAGAACTAAGGTCACAGAGCAAAGCAGTGCCCCCAAAACTGGAGAGCTAGACAGGTGGATACAGAGAATCACAGCTTACTGAAGCAGAAGCCCAGAAACAGAAATCACTTTTGGAGCCAGTAATGGTGCAGAAAACTTAAACTGTAACTGATGAACTGCTGGAGGCTCAGTGTGGACAAACTTGAGAGTTAAAGTCTTCAAGGTTGCCCAGTCTTAGGTTGTTGGGTTTTTTCAAACTTTATTGATGTATAATTTACAAACCACAAAATTCACCCATTTGAAATGTACAAATCAATGATTTTTTACTAGAGTTACTAGGTCATGCAACCATCACCACAGTCCTAGTTTTAGAACATTTCCATCACACAATAAGATTCCTATGCCCACTTATAGTTAATTCACGTGCCCAGCCCACTCCATGGCAACAACTAATCCACTTTCTTTCTATCTTTAATGATTTGCCTTTACTGGAAATTTCATATAAAAGGAATTATATCACATGGCTTATTTGTTTAATCCATGCTGTACCATGTACCTGTAGCCCTTTCCTTTTTACTGTTGAACAGCATTGCAAAGATGCAGCATATGTTGCTTATCCATCTACTAGTTGATGGACATTTGGATTGTTGTAACTTTTCAGTTACTGTGAATATGCTTCGATGAACATTCCTGTACAAGTCTTTGTATGGACGTATGTTTCCTTTTTTTTTTTTTTTTTTTTAATAGAGTCTTGCTCTGTTGCTCAGGCTGGAGTGCAGTGGTGCAAACATGGCTCACTGCAGCCTCAACCTCAACCTCCCAGATTCAATGGATCCTCCCACCTCTGCCTCCCAAGGAGCTGGGACTACAGGCGCGTGTCACAATGCTGAGTTAATTTTTGTATTTTTAGTAAAAAGGAGGCTTCACCATGTGCCTCAGGTTGGTCTCGAATTCCTGGGCTCAAGCGATCTGCCTCAGCCTCCCAAGTGCTGGGATTGCAGGCATGAGCCACCAAATCTGGCCCATTTTCTTAATTGTGACTTTTCCAGTAAAAAAAGTTTTAAATTTTGATGAAGTACAATTTGTTGATTTTTTTTCAAAAGTGTGCTTTGCTGATGTTAATAAAACTTTGCCTAAGCCAAGGTAATGAAGATTTTCTCCTATGAGTTAATTTTTCTAAGGTCTGCTATAAAGGTGCAAATTCATATTTTTGCAGGTGGATATTCAATTTTCCCAGTGCCATTCGTTGAAAAGACTATTCCTTCCCCCGTGGAATTAATATGTTAGCACCTTTGTTAAAAATCAGTTGATCACAAGGATATGTGGGCTTATTTATAGACTTTTAATTCTGTTACATTGATCTGTATGTCTACTCCTATACCAAAACCATACAGTCATGATTACTATATCTTGAATCGGCAAGTAAATGTTCTCCAGCTTTTTTTTTTTTTTTTCCAAAATGCGTGTGGCTATTCTGGGTCTTTTGCACTTTAATATAAATTCTAGAACTAGCTAGTCAAGTTCGACACAAAGATCTGCTGGAATTTTTATAGGTATCATGTAGAATCTACACATCATTTTGGAAAGAACTGACATCTTAACAATATTGCATCTCCTGACTCATGAACACAGTGCATGCATCTCTCTCATTCAGATTCCCTTGCACTCCTCTCAAGAATGTTGTTTAGTTTTTAGTGTATAAGCTGTGCACTCATTTTGTTAGATTTCTTCCTAAGTATTTTATTCTTAATGCAATTATTTTCTTAATTTCACTTTGGGTTTATTCATTGTTAGTATATAGAAATGCTACTAATTTTTGTACTGACCTTGTATCTTGTGAACTTGCTAAACTCATTGAATAGTTCTAATACTTTTTGGTGGGTTTGTTAGAATTTTCTGCATACAGGATCATGTCAATGAATAAAATCAATTGCACTTTCTTTCTTCCAAGTTGGGTTAACATTAACAATTCAGAGTTCACTGACTGCACTCACTCCTGCATGACACGGGGTCTCTATCCTCTTGTAAACATGACTCAGTTGTTTTTTTTGTTTTGTTTTGTTTTGTTTTGTTTTAATTTCTGGAGCTGCCGCATGTGTGTTCATGAATAGCGCTCTGGTGAAATTTATACTTTCTCCCCTAGTCCAGACCCTGGGAAGCCATGGGAGGTCAGGGCCCACAGCATCACCTGTGGTCAGTGAATTCTGGAGTTGGTGCTATGCAGATGCTGTCTACAGAGTCTCTATTTCTTGCAATTTCACCCCAAACTGGAAGCTTTGGGCCACCTGCCCCTTTGACTACGGAAGTGGCACTTAAATTTCAAAAGCAAGATGGTCACAATGATCATAATAAGCAGGAAACTTGAGTGGCAAACAGGGAATCTCATCTGCAGAGAGGAGCAGACTCTGTTAACAGAACACAGTGCTTTTAGAGCCAAGATAGAAGAACAGACAACAAGTATGTTGCTTAACTTATATACCCACATGAAATCGAGGCTCAATAAGCAGTAGGCTGGGTAAACTGCTCCAATAAAGTTTTAATCCATCTCCCAGTTTCCAGACCTGAGCCAATTCTCAGACACAGAATTTATTAACTGAACATAACACAATGGTAGAGTCCTCTTGAGGAAACCACCTGCAATACTATGGCAAGTTGATACAATAGTGGTTTTCCAAGCCCAGTTTCCAAAGGAACCTATGTCTATTCACCTCAGTAACTGAACACTGGGAAGGGGGAAAACACTCAAACATTTCAAGGACCGCTGGACACAGAATCTGCATTGACACTGACACCTAGGACCTGAAGCTTCATCATGGCCCCCTGTTTGTTAGAGTGGAAGCAAATGTGGGCCAGGAATAAATGGAGTTCTTGCCTAGGTCTGACCCAGAGTGCCCATTTATCCAGTTTCCAAATGGGAAATTGAAATGGACTTCCTCGATAATGGGCACAAACCCTGACTGGGTCCGTGGCTGTTAGTAGAAGAGCTAGCAGAGTAGAGAAGGCCAAGTGCACTTCCTGCACCTTGGCCATGATAGTAAGTAATAAACAATATTGCATCCTGAGGGATGGAAAATGTTAATGACACCCTTAATACCTAAAGGATGTAGGGGTGGTGATCCCCATCATATCTTAATTTAAGGTAGCAGCCTGGCTCCTACAAGAACCTGATGGGTCACTGGGACTACTGCAACTTTGCACTACTGCAAGCTCAATGGCAAGAGCCTTTAACAGATTTGTTATCTTCACTAGAACAGATCACCACGGCCTCAGGCACATGGCATGTCGCTACTGATCATCATGAGCTAGGTTCTGTCAGACCCACAAAGTCAGGTGATTCCAAAAGTAATCTGTGATAAGATAGAAGTAGCATATCCAGGACCAGATACCAGCACGGCCATAGATTACAAGCAGGTGACCTAATCCCCAATGTCATCTGCCACTGTTGTGTCTGTGTCTCTCCTTCAGCTCTTTTTTATTCCTATAGATTAATGGACCAGGAAGTTCTCTTATGACCAGCTGCTGGAGGAGTAGAAGTGCTGAGCTTAGATAATAGATGGTTTGGCCGGATTTAGAGCGCAACCTGAAAATGAACTTCTGTTGTAATACTACCTCAATCGTATGTGGTCAAGAAATACATTGTTGAGCAGAAATCCCCAGGTGGCAGAGCTTCAAATGGTGCATCTGATGATCCACTTCATATCTAAAAAAGAAGTGACCCAAACTACGAATGGACTTATGGACAGTGAAAAATAAATTGGACAGCTGCTCAGGGACTTAGAATGAGAAGTAGTGACAGATTGCAATAAGCAGGATTGGGGACGGAGGTTTATTGATGGACGTATGAGAAGGGACACTATATGTGAAGATATTTGTATCACGTCTTAAGGCTCAAGAGAGCATTCACCATGGAAGAGACACTAAACGTTTAATCAAGAAAAAAATGACCTAACTAGTTGACATTAGCCAGCCTCAGTCGCTGGCCACATTAATGCTACACAATGGCCTTATGTGTGCAATAGCCACGGTGGAAGAAGTGGATGCTATGCATGTGTTCAACAGCATGGGTCCCCATTCACCCAGGCATATCCAGCTATTTTTGCCAAATGTTCAAACTGCCAGCAACAGAGGCCAGTGCTGAATACCCAGTAGGGCACCATTACTTAAGGAGACTAATCAGCCCCTTGTGGCTTGTTGATTGCGTCCAGCAAATTCCATCCTGGAAGGAGCAGAGATTCATCTTTACTGGAATTTGTACACATTACAGGTATAAGTTTGACTTTCCTGCTCACATTTCTTTGTCGGGCACCACTAACACAGGGCTTAAAGAATGTTGGATACACTGAGCCAGGATACTCCATACGATCAGCTGGGACCAAGGGACCCACATATAGCAAAGGAAGTGCTCAGTGGGCACATGACCGTATGATCTAAAGTTGTTATCTCATACTGCGCCACCCAAAAGCCACTGGTCTACTGGAATAATGGAGTGGCTTCTTCACAGTGCAAATGAGGTGCAAATTTGGAGATCACAGCCTTGAGGATGGGGTGTCATTCTCTACTGTACTGTATATACCCTAAATCTATTACCATTCTCTTCCATCAATAGATAGAATACATGATGCAGATACCAAAGGGTGGAATGACCTCACTTACTGTCACTCCCTGTGACCTGTATGGGAATTTGTACTTTCTGCTACATGAGTTTAGGTTCTGTAGTTCTAGAACTGTGCTTTCCAATAAGGTGTCACTAGCCACATTTAGCTATTTGCACATAAGTTTACACTATTTAAAATTAAATTTAAAGTTCAGGTCCTCAGTCACACTAACCAGGTTTGTATACTCAATGGTCACATGTGGCTGCTGGTTACCCTATTGGACAGTGCTGGCTAGATATATTGGTTCCCAAAGTAAGATTACTTCCACCTGGAAAAAAACAATTTAATGGGACTCTTTCCATTAAATTTCAAGCTATTGCTCCCATCTGGGCACTTTGAGCTTCTCATGCTATAGGACCAGCAAGCATAAAAAGGAGTTGCCATGCTTGCAGGGATATTGGCTCTGATCATCAGGAGGAGGTAGGGCTGCCCTTATACAATGGGAACAGAGAGGAATGTTTGGCTCTCGAGTGACCCCTTGAATGTGTCTTCGTAGTCCCCTGCCAGATTTCTATAGTATAGGGACAATTGTAAGTGCCACAGCCTGAGAAGGTCGTGGAGGACCAGGAGCCCAGAACCTTCCGGGATGAGGGTTTGCACTACTCTATTGGGTAAGTAATAGAGAACAGCAAAGATTCTGGTTGAAACCGACAGTACTCTAGAATGGATAGTAGACAAGGAACAGAATTATCATCAGTTGTGGCTTAGAGGCCAGCTGCCACAGAGGGCCTATCGTTTGTACACTCTTCTTTCTCATGTGAACTTCTTTAGTAAGGGATCACCAGAATCCTTGAGGAGTTGTGCTCAAATGAGGTGAACTTTCTACATGAAAAAGTAGGGTTAATCCACTGCTTGGCATATACCCAAAAGAAAGGAAATCAGGATATCGAAGAGATATCTGCACTCCCATGTTTGTTGCAGCACTGGTCACAAAACCCAAGATTTGGAAACAACCTAAGCATCCATCCACAGATGAATGGAATAAGAAAATGTGATACATATACGCAATGGAGTACTAT
This sequence comes from Homo sapiens, assembly GCF_000001405.40. NCBI lineage: Eukaryota > Metazoa > Chordata > Mammalia > Primates > Hominidae > Homo > Homo sapiens. The sequence goes on from NC_000023.11 coordinate 149,741,172, forward strand.
TCAGCAATAATAAAGAATGAGATCCTGTCATTCACAACAACAAGGTGGAACTGGAGGGCATTATGTTAAGTGGAATAAGCCAGGCACAGAAAGACAAACTTTGCATATTCTCACTGATTTGTGGGAGCCAAAAATGGCAACAATTGAACTCATAGAGACAGAGTAGAAGGATGGTTAACAGAGTCTGAGAAGGGTAGTGGAGTGGGGGGGGGGGGAAGGATGTTTAATGAGTACAAAAATATAGTTAGATTGAATGAATCTAATATTTGATCATACAACAGGGTGACTACAATCAACCATAATTTATTGTACATTTTAATAACAAAAAAGAGTATAATTGAAATGTGTGTAACACGAAGAAAGGATAAATGCTTGAGGTGATGGATATTCCATTTACCCTGATGTGATTATGCATTGCATGCCTGTCTCAAAATATCCCATGTGCCCCATAAGTATATATGCAGCTACTATGTACCGCAAAACATTATAAATAAAAAAAATAGAAAAAAATGTAGGTTTAACTGTTGCAAGAGAAGATGGACTGTAGTGGATGGTATAGTGCTACCAAGATCTTTGCTTTATAACTGAGGCGCTCATTCCCCCAAAGGTATTGTTTGTTGATGACCGATAACCAGGGTCCTCTCCATGGACGGCCCTCAGTTGTAGGAAACTTCCTTTCCGGGGTCAGCTTCCTTCTAGTGACTAGTCAAGGAATCAATGGGAGGAGTACGAAGCCCCCATCCCCCTGCTTCGTATGGGGTTACTTCTTCAAGGCTATCCTGGTTGCTTTCTGTTTTCAAAAATTACTGTAACTACTGTGCTCCGAAATGACAGCAGAATGAAGTGGAAGTTAGACCCTGAGATATCACCACTATTGGAGGCTTAAGCCATGGGCAGGGGCCATCCCTGTCCGCTGTCGGGAACTCTAAAAATAGACTCCTCAGGAATTTGACTTGGGCTCAATCAAAAGCCAGAATCTCAAGCCTACTGTGTCCTGTTACTTGTTTCAGCAAATGAGATAACCTCTGTGGCCCACTGAATAAACTGTAAAGTACTAGTGAGAGGATGCTATTATTGCTGTCACAGCAATAGTTCTGCATCCCACAGTAAGCCAGTGTGGTGGATAAGAACTGAGCTTTGAAATCAAAACACCTGTTACTTGAGAGCTCCACTGAAAAAATGCCTGTGACCCACCCCGGGCTGCCCAGCACTGCACAATGATGGCAGAAGCCATTCAGGATGTGAAGGGGCTTCACCAGGACTGGACACTAGGAGGCTGCAGAAAGTAAGAACATTTGACAGATGCAACAGCACCCTCTGGAGCACCCGAGGATCAGGGGAAGCCTTAAGGACGAGGATAACTGTACACAGTTGACAGATCATTTACTGTGCCAGGCAGTGGGATAAGTGCTTCAAGTTCCTCACAGCCCCGTGGAGGACAAGTTTCGGCCATATTTTACCAACCTTCCACGAGCTGTCTTACTGGATCCTGAAGCCGCACACACACCAGTGACTACTGAGGTCAGGAGTTGCTGATTTAATAAACACTCCCATGACACTTACTATGTACCAGGCATTGTTTATGTGCTTGACAGATATTACCTGATGCAGTCCTTATATGTGCTTCGTGAAGTACATGCTACTGCTATTCATGTTTGACAGATGAGGGAACTGAGATACAAGGAGTTTGGAAGCTCGCCCATGATCACACAACTAGGAAGTGGCAGCGCCAAGACTCATATCCAGGCTGGCTGGGTCCAGAGCCCCTGCTTCCAGCTGTGTCCCTTAAACCTAAGTCCGGCTAAACTATTCTCACTTGGAAACAAACATGTTTCTAATTGTACATTTGTGTCCTACACACACCTTGGCTCTTCTGAAACCATGCAGAAAGAATCTACTAACCCAGCCACATACCCCTATTAGATCGTGAGCACCTCAAAGCAAGGTTTGAATGCCATGTTTGGAACTACTGGTGCCCGTGATAAGCCTTAGCGCCCACTGGGAGATCATGATATATTTATTAAATAATGGTTTATTGAAAAATCAAATAATCTTCTTGGATCAACTTTATCTGGCTTCCAACACATGCAACAGGCTTGGGCCCTGGTATGTCAGCATGTAAGGATACGGGTGAGGATGTTGGATCCTGGAAATGACTCCTGAAAAGGCCGTGCATGTGGGAGATGGGGAGGTACCTGGGATGTCCTTAACTGCCTAGGGCACCACTCTCCACACCCACTGGCTCCCTCCAAGAAGGGACATGTGATGTCGCTGTTTCCGGTAATGTCCTGTTCCATCCTGGAGCGCCCACAGGGGTCTGACCCAGGCCATTCCTGGGAGCACCCACCTAATGACCTGGTCCAGGGTTCCAGCTCACCTCAGCCTCCTTCTGCTCCCATGTCCCTCTCCCCACAGCCGGCCCAGGGCAGTACAGCTGGACCTGGCAGGTGCTTCTCCTCACGCCCCTCCTGGGGTGGCTGATGCTCAGCACAGCCTAATCCCTCAGGACCCCAAAGCCCTCTCACACCCAGCTGCTTTCCAAGTCCTAACGTGGATCTGGGAGTATTCTGCGGACTGCGGAGTGTCCCGATACTCAACGCCCCCACCATCTGCTACAGCCTTTAGTCTTCTTTAGCTGCCTGTCTGGGGATACCGAGGCCCTAGCTGCCTCTGCTAGGACACCCCAGCCCCACCTCTCTGGATCATCAGCCTGAGAAAGCAAAACCTCATAGTCACCCATTTAAGGTGATCGGTTAATCAAAAGCCAGACATTACCTGGGGAATTATTTGAATAATATCTCCTAATCATCGTGATTTGTCACTCATCATGTCAGAATGCTTATTATTCACTAGGAGCCTCCCCAGAAGGCTTCATCATCTCCTGCCAGTTCTGTCACCACAAGACCTTGGAAGGAGATCCTTACCAGGGAATTTATCACAATGATAATCGCATATGAGCATCAGCTCCAGGTCTTGAGCAGTAGTTAGTGGGGAGAGAGGAAGCGCAAAGCCCCAAGCTGGGCAGACTGAGGCCCGATTGGGGCAGTGTGGACACAGCAGCAGGGGACATGAGAACACAACTATGGGCCCCAGGAGAAGGAAACTTGCAATCCCAACAAGGGCATTTGACTGCTGGCTGCCAGCCTCCAATTCAAGGACACATCGTGGCTCTTAAAATACTGATGGGTCATGCTTCAGGGCCCAAAGGGTGCAGATGGCAATGCAGGAATTCCTGCAGTCAGCTTCCTACGGGGTGTTGCTTCCTGTGAAGACCTCCATCCCTGCCCAGGGCCTTCAAAGTACAGAATCTGGCATCTCGCATAGAAGGGAGCAAATGTGTATGACTTAAGTCTCTGGATGTGTTCTCAGGATGTGAGAATGAAACCCAAAGCTCCCGAGTCTCCTTCTATGGAATCTGCCTCACATAGCTTCATGAGCCCCAGCTTCTTGCCTGCCATCCCCTGAGGACCTGGTGCCAGTTCCCCATCTGTGTCACTCCTCTCCTCACCTGACCAGATCCTGTCACATGGCTAAAGGAAGGGGAAGAGAATGCTTCATCTCAGAAGGAGGGTGAGTAGTGTGCTCTTCCCATGGAGGTCATGTCATTCTTGTGCAGCCTCAAACTCCTGCACTGCTCCCCTGACCTCTCCCTGGAGGGTTCTGCCCACTCCACAGTCCCTCCTGCTGTGCTCCCAAACCCCAGTGTGTATCTCCAGAACATGTCTGCAAGGACCTAGGCCTCCAACATACTCTTCCTTCTTCCCCATCTTGGCATCAAATCTGTCTTGGAGGACTCTAGGAATACTAGTCTGATTTTTGTAGAACATCCCTCAGTTTCAGTGGGTCTAATGTCTTCTCACGATTAGAAGGGCATGCATGATTATGCATTATTAGGAAGAACACCACGGAGGTGGGAAGCCCTTTTTATAGTGAATACAGTATCTCCAGCACTTAGGTCAGTGCCTGGAGCATATGAGGAGCTGGATAAATATTGAATGAATGAGCGAATGAAATCATGTTATGTTACCTCTTGGAGAGTGTGTAATGATTCCTCAAATAACTTCACGCAGCAAGGAACGGTGTGTACAAAGGCAGGGATGGCACCTGTCTACTGGCATTGGGGAGAAATCATGATGGAGCATTCTCCAGATGAATGCAACCTTGCAAACCACGTTGGCCACCCTTCCTACTTTCTCCAGGGAAGTAGCATCAAAGTCATTGGCGAACATGGGACTTCTGTCTAGAGCTTGTCCAGGAATCAATGGGAAAGTGTTACTTGAACTGAATGTTACATAAATCCCTTTAAGGCCCAGCTGAAACCCAGAGACATGTGAGACCTTGACATTGGCTGCTTGCAGACCCAAACGACCAGAGAGAGGAGCAGGGAATTGGGACAAGGGCCACAGCTGCCTACTGGCAAGAGAGAGTGCTCAGATAGCCACTGATGTTTGTAGCCCTGCCTTGCTGACTTCCCCAGGATGCCAGGAGCACAGACCAGGCGCTGGGGCAGCAGGTCTCTGGAGTCCCTAGAGCTCAGTTGCTTACCTGTTCCATGACTCAACAATAAGAGGGTGCTGGGATGCATTTAAACTTTGATTGCTGGGTAATTGGGAGGACTGAAAATGCCACGAGGCTCCAATGCAGAGGCTGCGAATACTAGGACCATGGAGCTGTAGTTCTTCATGCGTCCCACAGCTGAGTACTGAGCATGTACTGTTTGCCAGGCACTGCTCTAAGCTCTGAGGATACAGCATTGAACAAATTCCCTGCTTCTGTGGAGCTTATGTTCTAGCGGGAGGGGAGGGGCAGGCACACAATGAACTGCGGAACAAAGTTACAGGTGAAGTAGGTTTTATGGTGACAAACGCTATGGAAACAAATTGAATCGAGAGAGCTAAATAAGGAGTGCTGGAAACTGGGTGGAAGGAGGGATTGCAATTTTTACAATGGTATTCATAGAAGGCCTCACAGAAGAGATATCTCGAGAGAGAACCGAGGATGTCTGGGAAGGAATGCTAACAGTATTATAAGAGCAATCGTCTAGAAGAGAACAAAGACATGCAGTCGCTCGGGGCCTTGGAACAGAGTGTAGAGGGCAGGGTCTAGAGACACTGGTCTGGTGAGCCAGGTAAAGGGTATTCCCTGATCCTCTGAGCCATGGACTGCCTCAGAGCCAGGTCAGCTGCACTGTACCATGAACTGGCTTCTTGGATCCAGGTTTCTATTCCAGGTTACTGACTTGACCTGAGGACTGGGTACGGAATACAGGTCTAGGTGTCCAGAAACCTTTCTCTCGGGATAAAGGGGATGGAAGGCACCATTGGCATTGAACAGGCAAGGCTGTTGGCCTGCTGCTGTGGCACTGCTGCGGCGGGCAGGACAATGGTGCACGTGTAAAGACTGGGTGCAGAACAAAGCAGAAGGCTGTCTGGTGACACCTAGTGCTCATTCCAGAGTAGACTCTGTGTCTTCAATGAGGGGCCAGATGTCTTAATCCAGGACTGGATTTCCTATCTTTCAAAGTTCACCTCAGGTGGAGGCCAGAAGCAGGTTTGGCTTTTTGTTGGGGGGGAAGGTACACATAGGAGGCTCTTTGTGCTTCCTACTGTACTCCAGCAGGAGGCATACAACTTCTGGCTGTTCAACCCTTGATCATATTGGCTCTGATCAGTGGGCTCAGGTGGAGAGGTGGAGACAGCCTTGTTCCTCCATTGCAGAGTGCGTCATCAACCCTTCAACAATGTTTCATCCATTGATTAGCATGGATTGCATCAGTTGCATTGCTGGATATTGCAAATACTTGTTTTCCTTTTCTCTCATATGTTGCATTTTCCTCAGCTGGAATTCTCCAGTAAGGAAGAAACTTTCCTCATCAACTGTAGCTATTGTGTCATCCTGAAATACAGTTAGTACAGGAAATGCAGGATAAATGTTTTATTCTCTCTCTTGCAGAGCCAATTCTCAATGTGAGGGGTGGTTATTCTTGTTCCTTCCAATGGGGTCCAACAAGTCATTCTTTATTAATGACTTTTTATTTTAGAAAATGTTTAGGCTTACAGAATTATTGCAGAGATAGTACAGAGAATTCTCATATACCCCACACCCAGTTTTCCCTATTACCATCCTCTTACATTAGCATTACACATTTGCCACAATTAATAAAACGGAAGACAAAAACAAGGACACTAGAGGAATCTGAAGCCTCTGGCATCTATAGGTATAAGAAATAAAGCCCAACTCCCAGCCAAATTGACATACATCCTCACTGTAGAGATCTAATTGCCTCTGTTCCTATGACCTCATACAACACGTTCACTCTCAACAAAAGGATTGCAAGGGACACACGCAAAAGAGTAAGAAAATACATAGTCTGAAGAGACAAGACAATCAACAGAACTGGACTCTAATATGACTCAGATATTGGAATTAGGAGGCAGATAATTTAAAATGACTATTTTTAAAAATTTAAGAGGCTTTAATGGAAAAAGTAGGCAACATGGAAAAACAGATAGGTAATGCAGGAAGAGAAGTATTGCGCTCAGCAAAATCCAGAGTATGGGAAACTGGACAGAACACAAGGCATGTCTTCATTTTCAACAAATGAGTTTCAAAAAAAGGTAATGTGGGGGAATCTATAAATTACTTAAGGTGGCTATTAAGAACATAAACACAATGTATAGATCATATTTGCAAACCGATTCAAAGAAACTGCATTTTAACAGGAGCATATGTCCACCAGATACATGTGACAAATAAGTGAACATTTCATTATATTAATGACTTGCTTACATGTTTAGGAAAGATAATAATGTTGGCTTTATGTTTTATAAGAGAGTAGTTATCTTTAGAAATGCACTCTGATGTATTTGGAGATGAGATCACATGGTGTCTTGGATTTGCTCCACATTATTTCAGTTTCTGCTATGCGGAGTAGGTAGGGGTATAACTAGAACCAGATTGGCCATGAGTTGAAGATTATTGATACTGAAAGTCTGGTATATTAGATTAATTATAGTATTTACCCTATTATTAGGTGTATTTGAAAATGCTTGTAATGAAAATATTTTTGAAATAAATATGATATTTAATTTGAAATCCTAAGTGAAATGGATAATATTTTAGGAAAATAAGTACATGAACAAATTGATACAAAAAGAAATTCAAATCTTTAACCAAACAATAAAAAGTGAAACTAATCTAAGCTCAAGCCATCCTCAAATGTGGACAAGGCAGCTTCGGAGGCCAATTCTACATTGTTATCAGGTAAAGCTCAAAGCCACCTTAAGTAAACTCTTCCAAGGCATACGAAAAGTTGGGCAATTATTCAAATTATTTTCCCAAGCTAACCATTCTTCATTCAGGTACCAGAGGAGGACAGCACCGTGAAAACACTTGAGCCAAACTTCACTCACACAGAGGCAAATATATTAATTAAATTAGTAGCATATTCAACATAGAAGTGAATTAACGGATTGTGTCCAAGGAACAAAAACATGATTTAATATAAAACAATTTTCAGTTGTGATTTCCTACGTTATCGAATTAAGATTTTAAAAAGTGATCACTTTAGTAGGTATAAAAAAGCTTCTGGATGAAATTCTATACAAGTTAATGGTCAAAACATTTAGCAAAATAAGTTTAGCAGCATATTTTCTTTTCCTGAGATCAATGGACAACATACTTAAGTATGAAATGTTAGAAGAATTCTTGTCATGGACATAGGCTATAACCTCTATCTTTGGAAACTGCATGTAACATAAGGCAGGAGATATGGATATCAAAAGAAATCAGTATGAATATTGAACAGAAAGAGTTAATATTTGGTATGACAATATGATTATCTAGAAAATTCAAAGAAATGTGCACATGGAATAGTCAAATAACAGACTTCAGAATAATAGTATACAGGTTACTACAGTAAAATCAAAATCCTTGCAACCCAATGAAATAACCACTCAGAACAAGTAATAGAAAATACCCCATTCACAATGGCAACAAAATCCAGAAATTGTCTAATAAGACAGACAAACCATACAAGATCTTTATGGAAACAACTATGCAAATACTGATAGATTCGGGTCAAAAACTTCCCAGATAAATAGAGCCATATTCCATATCCCTTAATAGGGAACAGGCTATTGAAAAGATGTCAATTTTTCTTTATCCAAGATGTACAGATATAACGCTTAAAATTTAGCTGGCAATATGAACGTCAAGCTTGGGCTTCTGTCCTTCACTCCCAAAACGAACCCTGGAAAACTATAGAAGGAAGAATAAAATAACAAACAAACAGTATAAACAACAAAATCTAAACAACAAAACATGAGAAAGCTCTGAGGGAGAATGAAGACTGTATTTAACTGGTACCTGTAATCGAAGTGGCCAGAGTGTCAAGGAAGTTAGGGAGAGTCCATAGCTGGCATAGAAGGAAGATGACAGGATGTGTAGAAGGAAATGTTTAAATTTTTGCCCCTATTCCAGTGTGAAAATGTCAGGTGGCACCTGAGACCACAGGTGCCAGTAGTCTGGTTTCATTGAAACAGTAGTAGCTCCAGTCTGTGCTAATAACCACCTAAAACCACATTAATAGGTGAATTGGCTTAACTGAACATAAAGAATGGATTACAAATAGAGTGTTGAGCATTAGAATGAAACAGGCATAATGAGGTTAAGTATGATTTCTGATGCTGAATGAAAGTTTAAAAATGAAAATCACTGCACTGAGCTATGAAATGTTAGATAATTCCAATGGCAGAACTCCTTAGATTTCTAGCTGCTGGTCAGCCTACTCAATGTAAAAATAAATATTTTAGGGTAAAAGGTTTGCAAATTCAACCTCTGGCTGGGGAAGAGCTGCCCTGGGAAGGTGCGTGTCTTCTCCCAGAGGCCACTACAATCACAGCTCCTGCAGCCCCCCCACGGAGCACCTGGCCTGGGACCCGCAGCCATTCTCTGCAAGGGGTGCAGCTGGGCAAAGGCTCAGAGGTGACAGAAACAGAGTATCTGCCACCCATCACTGCATCGAAAGAGCCAGGAGTCAGGAGGAGGATCCTCCTGAGTGAGGACTGAAGGTCCACCCTCCCCACATAGAGGGGCCACAGAATCCAACTCAGCCCCTCCCGTCATTCCCTGGAAGACCCTGGCAATGTTGTCGTCCCGACCACACCCCTCTCCCGACTGCCACCTCATGGGACTCAGAGTCAGAGACTTGGTCTGAGGGGAGCAGAGAATGGGGGTCCAGGATCTGCCAGCCATCAAGGTCAGGACCCCGAGGGATGACTGAGGGTCCTCCACCCCCATTCCCAAACCCACCACCACCAAGACCTAAGCCCTGGGGGTCCCACCCCAATCCCTCCCCCTACCGCCCCCAATTCCTCCCCCTAAACCCCCGCACCCCACATCTTAACAACCACCCCCACCCAAATCCAGGCAGAACCCGTTTCTGCCCATGCTGTCAACCCAGGGAAGCCCCAGGTTGGGGCTTCTAAGGTTATTCTTCACCTTAGAACAAATATCTGGACAGGCCCCACACCACTGGACCCCTAGAAATTTTACTGAGGTAGGGCCGGGCACAGTGGCTCACGCCTGTAATCCCAGCACTTTGGGAGGCCGAGGCAGGCGGATCACGAGGTCAGGAGATCGAGACCATCCTGGCTAACACGGTGAAACCCCACCTCTACTAAAAAATATAAAAAATTAGCCAGGCGTGATGGCGGATGCCTGTAGTCCCAGTTACTTGGGAGGCTGAGGCAGGAGAATGGCGTGAACCCAGGAGGTGGAGCTTGCAGTGAGCGGAGATCGCGCCACTGCACTCCAGTCTGGGAGACAGAGCAAGACTCTGTCTCAAAAAAAAAAAAAAAAAAAAAAAAAAGGAAGAAATTTTACTGAGGTAGAAGGTCCCTGAATTTTAGTCGGATTTATTTCCCATCCTCTGGCATGCAAATGTCTCACTACTAAGTCCAGTGTGTTTTCTACTTCTTGCTCACTGGATCCAATTAGCATAATGTCATTAATGTAATGGACCAGTGTGATATCTTGCAGAAGCAAAAAGCCATCAAGGTCTCTCTGAATAAGATTATGACACAAACCTGGAGAGCTGATATACCCCTGAGATAGGACAGTAGAGGTATATTGCTGGCCTTGCCAGCTGAAGGCAAATTGCTTCCAGTGGGCCTTATGGACAGGAACAGGGAAAAAGGCATTTAGCAAGTCAATGGCTGCATACCAGATACCAGGAGATGTGTTAATTTCTCAAGCAATGAAACCACATCTGGTACAGCAGTTGCAATTGGAGTTACCACTTGGTTAAGCTTACGATAATCCACTGTCATTCTCCAAGATCCATCTGTCTTCTGCACAGGCCAAATGGGAGAGTTGAATGGGTATGTGGTGGGAATCACCACCCCTGCATGTTTCAAGTCCGTAATCTCCGCAATCCCTCCATGGATGCAATATTGTTTTTGATTTACTATTTTTCTAGGTAGAGACAGCTCTAATGTCTTCCATTTGGCCTGTCCCACCATAATAGCCCTCACCCTACCAGTCAGCGAGCCAATGTGGGGGTTGTGCCAGCTGCTAAGTATGTCTATGCCAATTATGCATTCTGGCACTGGTGAAATGTCCACAGGATGAGTCTGGGGACCCACTGGGCCCACTGTAAGTCAGACCTGAGCTAAAACTCCATTAATTACCTGACCTCCATAAGCCCCTACTTTAACTGGAGGATCACAATGACATTTTGGGTCGCCTGGAATCAGCGTCAGCTCAGAGCCAGTGTCCAGTAGTCCCTGAAATGTCTGATTGTTGTCCTTTCCCCAATGCACAGTTATTCTGGTAAAAGGCAGGAGGTCTTCTTGGGGAAGGATAGGAGAACGATTCACTGCATAAATTGTCGGTAATGTAGTGGGGTCCTTCCTTAAGGGGACCCAGCCTCCACTTCATTCAAGGTGTTCTGGGTCTGTAAACTGGCTCATGTCTAGAAACTGATAGAGGGGTCGTGATTCTCTGTTTTTATAATTCAAATTAGTCTTTTGACAATTCTAACTAGAAGTTTTCTGCTTGTATAAATTAAGTAGGAATGCGTAGGCTTTCTACCAACTTCACTTCTGGGAACACCATGATTTATTAGCCAGTGCCATAGGGCTACACAAGTAAGATTATTCTGATTGCCGCTTTGCCTTTGCTGTCCATTATGGTAGTAGCTATGCCCACCTTGCCTTTGGCGGTTTAGTGCTGCCACTTGGCCCCTGCCACCTCGGGATCCAATTATACCCATTGTATTTAAATTTTGTAGTTTAGTTACTGCACTTCCCACCATTAGATCTGACATACAGAAAAGAGCAATTACAAGTCTCTTCAAAGATGTAGGTGCTGCCTTCACAAATCTATTTCACAAGTCAGTCTTCAAGGGCATATCTTCTGGACCCTCCCAGCTGGGATGAGTAGGTCTAACATGACTAATACACTCCACCATCCCAATCTCCATTAGCCTTTGGATCCCTTCCTCTACATTAAACCAAGGTAGATCAGGCATTTCCAGCTGCTCACAGTGGGCCATCTTTTAATCCATATTTCAGCTATCCAAGCAAATAAGCAACTACAACCTTTTTTAACTTCCCAAGCTGCAACATTAAAAGCAGAGTATTTACTTAGTGGGCCCAAATCAATAAATTCTGCCTGACCCAACTCTATGTTCCTTCCATCATTATCTCATGCCATTAATATCCATTCTCATGCCTGTTCTCCAGATTTCTCTTTACAGAAATTAGAAAACTCAAGCAGTTCTTCTCGGGTGTAGTGCACCTCCTCGTGGATCACACTCTCAACCTCACCTCCAGGGGCCTGCCGGGACTTTAGTCTAGTTATAGGTCTAGAAGTAAAAAGGGGTGTTGGGGTGGCACCTGAGGAGAATCAACATTATCTCACCTGGCAACTGCCTCAGAGGAGGCCACCACTGTTGCCTCAAGAAGCACAGGGTTTATCTCCTCAGACAAAGGTGGAAGGGCTGATGGCAGCATGGGTCAGGGAGGGAATGTTGCCACTACTGGGGATGGGGAAACTGTTCTGGCAAAAAAGATTCATCAGAGTTTACAAACTCAGCGTCCCCAGCTTCATCAGGGTCCTTCCACACGTCCCCATTCCAAGTTGCAGGGTCCTATTCTTTTCCAATCAATGCCCTCACTTTAACAGTACCCCCCTGGTGAGGCTGTGCATGCATCTTTTGTTGCAGGTCAGCAACTCACATGATAAGACCTTGGGTCTGTTTTCCCACAATTTTAGCTCTTTCTCTACAGGAGATAAGACTCTCACTCAGGGCAATCTTAGCAGATTTGAGGCTCAGTATCTGCTTCTGAAGCCGGGAGACAGAATCCCTGAGTTCATCATTTTCTTTCATCACTTTGTCCACTGAACTTAGGAGCAACTAACCAGCTTCATTATGTTCTTTGATTCGCCGCATATGGCCAAAGGTATTATGTATAGAGTCACTAAACTTCTTGCCTCTCACAAGTGCTGAATCACGAATGTCGAATGCATTTATTTTAAATAACTCTCTAAACAGTTCATGTCAAAGGCTAAAAGTGTTTTCCATACTATTAGAAGTAGAGTCCTTAGCATTTTTGGGGTCTAATCATATTAGGCAACCAACTCCAGAAATGCCCAAACCAACAAAAGAACTCAATCTTTAATATTCTCTTTCTCTAGAACCACTCCTGGTACCAAAAATCTGTATTAGTCAGGGTTCTCTAGAGGGACAGAAGTAATATAGGATATATATCATATATTTTATATATATATACATATATAAATTATATATTTAACTAGTACCTTTAATCGAAGTGGCCAGAGTGGCAGGGAAGTTATGGGGGGTCCAGAGCTGGCAAAGAAGGAAGATGACAGGATGTGTAGGAGGAAATGTTTAAACTTTTGCTCCTATTCCATTGTGAAAATGTCAGGCGGCACCTGAGACCACAAGTGCCAGTAGTCTGGTTTGATTGAAGCAGTAATAGCTCCAGTCTGTGCTAATAACCACCTAAAACCACATTAATAGGTGAATTGGCTTAATTGAACATAAAGAATGGATTACAAATAGAGTGTTGAGCATTAGAATGAAACAGGCATAATGAGGTTAAGTATGATTTCTGATGCTGAATGAAAGTTTAAAAATGAAAATCACTGCACTGAGCTATGAAATGTTAGATAATTCCAATGGCAGAACTCCTTAGATTTCTAGCTGCTGGTCAGCCTATATTATATTATATCTATATATAGATATAATAGATATATATATATACCTATTACTTCTGTAATAGGTATATATATATATATATTCCCCCTTCCCAGGACTTCTTGATTTTGCTTGCTCTGGGTTGTAGGGGTTTGTTGTTTGTTTAGTGACTTTTCTGGACTATATTTTAAAGTCTACATTCTTTGTCATGTACAGACACTGCCATCTCTTAATTTATTAGCTTAGCGGCCACCTAGTGATTTGATAGAGATTTTCTTAAATGTATGGAATTAAAAAAAAAATCCCAGTATTTGTAGATGCTATGCGTGTGTCTGTGTTGGAGCACATAATACCTCAAAAGATGAGCTAGTCTATCTTCACTTTGGCCAATTTAAGAGTTTTTCATGATGATAGCAATACCTTGAATATCCACATAGTATCATTGTGGAAAATAGTCATACTTTATATAATAGTACATTTTCACAATGGGCAATTTTATCCTGGTTAGCCCCAAGGGCAGCTTGAGAGAATCACAATTGTGATAGTCATACTTAGCCATGATGCATCACCTTTCTTCTGAGAATGAAAAAAAAAAAAGTCATAAATGGTAAATAAGCTTCCCAACACCTACTGGGGAATGGATATTATTATACAAGCTAATTTTAAAGATGAGTAACCGAAATCAAGTTTTCATCTGCTGAAGCATTAGGACCCTGCCTCAGATGTTTGGGTCCAGCTTCCTTTCCCATCCTCTGGGTAAAGTCCAATGTGTAGCCCAGAGGTGGTTCTCAATGAACACTCAAATACAGACGAGGAACTAAGGCACAGAGAAGCTTGTGTAACAGGTCCTGAGCCACCAAGCAAGTAAGGGTGGAGGAGCACAGATGCAACTCAGGGTCTAGCTGAACCTGCAGCCCATACTGTTAGAAAGAGGTGCTTGCCAGTGTTCCTATCGGACAGCAACATCTTTATTACCAGTGATCATGCCCAAAGCAGGCATGAAGGGGGAGATGGCTTGTCAGTTCAGACACTTGAATAACAGGCACCATTGCCTTTTCAAGAGCTTCATAGATGGAAAGCACTCAAGCTCCTCAGAGTCTAGAGCCTTGAGAGCAGACGCTATTTTAGTGAGATCCAGGGAGTCCTGGAGCTGAACCACTGCTCTGCAGGCCCACAAATTCAGTTTTAGCAGTCCTCCCAGAGTTGTCCAGGCCCCAGAGGCTATCTAGCAAAAGCAACATGACACTGACACACAAACCAGTTGTCAACCTCAAGGTTTCTTACTATTAAGTAAAAATTTCCAGACAGACAAGGAGAGGAGGCTGTAATGATCTCTGCGATAGCAGATTTGAGTTAGAGATATTAGGAAGAACTCACTGTTGACTTAATATTCATGCAGATCATTGCATCTAGAAATATTTATAGATATATTAACAGGTTACTATACACACATATAATTTCTTGCTCTGTCAGCAGATGCCACCAACACCCCAGTAGGAATGAGCATACCTAATATACAGATCTAGATTTCTAATACCATTCTCCAATTTTAAAAAATGGGCTCAGTGGAGAAATTGCTGATGGTTGAAGCAGATCAGGAAATATGCAGTCTATTCCTGGAACATCTTATTGTGCTTGACAGTAAAGAAATACTAAAAAAAAAAAAAAATTTAAACACATTGACAAATGTATAAGAAAGACATGTACAAAGAGAACTAAGAGAAAGTGCTCCCAGTGGCCAAACCTGGAGTAATTTTAACAACAGAACATATAAAGTTGTATTGGATTTTCCACAAAGTGTAAAATTAGTATCCGTAAGTCCACATCGAGATAAATAAATGATTACTTAAATGCAAAAATGAGGGTGAACAGACAAATTTCTCATGGGAAAGAGTTCCAAACAATTTATGCAGATACTCTCACTCTCACAAGAAAGCAGAATGTGATTCCCCACTGCTCATAGTGTGGGCTACACAGAGTAACTTTCTTCCAAAGAGAACACTATGAAATAGGGGAATAAAAGAGAAACTTTACAGTAACCATACTTCGCGAGCACTACTTCAGCCAGGTGTTCAAGGTAAACATCATTAGTAATAAGTCATGCTGATAATATGTAGCCTTGATGTGAAGTGATGAGAATGGCATTTCTCCTTTATTGTCTTCTTCCCCAGAACCCATAACCCCAGCCTAATCATGAGAAAAGTACCAGACAAACCACAACTGAAGGTCATTCTACAAAATACCTGACCAATACTCCTCAAAACTGTCAAGATCATCCAAAACAAGAGAAGTATCACACCCAAGAGGAATCTAAAGGGACCTTACCACTAAATATAATGTGGCATCCTGGATGGAATCATGGAGGACCAAAAGGACAGTAGGTAAAAATGAAATAAATCTCAATAAAGAGTGACCTTTAGTTAGTAACACGTAACGCAACAATTGTAGCAAATGTACCATACTCATGTAGGATGTTAACAATAGGGGAACCTGAAACTGAAGGAGGAGGCATATAGAAACTTTGTACTATCTTTGAAAATTATTTTCAAGCATAGAATACCTCAAAATAAATAAAGTCTATGAAATTTTAAAAATGGAGGTAACAAAAGGAAACTTTGCAGACTGATGAATTTAATTTTTATAAAAGAAACCATACACAAGCACAGAGAACTAGGAAATGTGACGCCAACCATTTCTGAGTTGTCCTCAGACCTTTCCTCCCCTGAAGCCTCTAAGCTGGACTCGCCCACAAGACCCGCCTCTTCCCCCTGTGCGATACCTCGGAAATCCATCCCTCATCTCCAGCCTTTCAACCACTGCCCTAATTTGGCCTCACAATTCCTCTCACTTGGACTGTGACCAGAGCCCCCTAATAAGGCTAGATGCTCTGGGACCCCATACTTGCTCAAGAAGGGCTATAGAACACTTACCAGGGGTAATTGCCACAGAGAAAGGCTGGCAAGAGCCAGGCAGGAGATCAGCCCCTTGTCAAGGAGGCTGGAGTTCAGAGTAGGGGGTTTAGCCATGGCTGGTGGAACAGGGAGGTTTCTCAGGGAAGTGAGACCATGGCTGAGAGGTCTCTCACCAGCCCCTCAGGGGGCAGGTTTGGGGCACCTGGAAACCCTCAAGACCTATCCACGGATGGGCACAGGTATGCTCCCATCTGCTCTGCCCTGTGATGTTCAGAATTGTCCCAGTCCTGTGTGATGTGTGTCCATACAGGAGGCTGCTGTGGAGGATGCTGGACCCTGAAATGCCTGTAGGAGAGGATGTGGGGTGCATGGAACGTCCTAGCTGCTGCAGCCCTGCAGTCCTTAGGAAACACAGGGTGAGCATTCTCCATATCCCTTTGCTCTGTCCAATAAGGGACATGTGGTGTTGCTGTTTCCACCAATGTCCCCTGTGGGGTCCAAGGGCCCACCCTGAGACCAGCAAGATGCAAGTTCTTGAGTACATAGCCAACGCCAATGGGAGGGATCCCACTTCTTACCCATCCCTCTGCGGACCTGAGTCTCCATCCCTCAGATTCCCAACGCCGAATGAGGAGGCACCTCAGTCTAAGATGGGGGCGGGGTGGGCCCCCTGTCCTGGGGTGCTGGGTCCCCTCAGGCCTCTCTCATCTCCCAGGAACTCATAGCATGCAGGATCACTGCCAGGCACTTGCCGGTACACCAGGTACTTTTCCTGCACCCAATCTTGGGTGAGGAGCTTCTTGGGCTCCCCAAAGAGGAAGTGCTCCCTTCCAGCATACACCCCCATAATGCTGAGGACTTCCCACATAACCTCCATGGGACGCAGTTCCCCTCCATGAAGATCACACCCAGGACTATTATCAGGAGGCCAGACTTGGGCATGCTCTGCTCATCACCCAGTATGCCATCATAAGAGAGGCCGAGGGAAACAGAGGAAGCTGGGATTTGTGAGATCCCTTTTTCTTGGCATGTGAGAGGGTACCTTCTTACCTTCAGTCTTCACCAATATTCCTCTCCTTGACTACTGGTGAGAGGTGACAGCATGCTGGCAGCCCTCACAGCCCTTGCTCACTCTCGGCGCCTCCTCTGCCTGGGCTCCCACTTTGGCAGCACTTGAGGAGCCCTTCAGCCCACTATTGCACTGTGGGAGCCCCTTCCTGGGCTGGCGGAGGCTCCCTCAGCTTGCGGGGAGGTGTGGAGGGAGAGGCGCAGGCGGGAACCGGGGCTGCGCTCGGTGCTTGCGGGCCAGCACGACTTCCGGGTGGGTGTGGGCTGGGCAGGCCCGCACTCAGAGCGGCCGGCTGGCCCCCCCTGCCCGGGGCAGTGAGGGGCTTAGCACCTGGGCCAGCAGCTGCTGTGCTCAATTTCTTGCCTGGCCTTAGCTGCCTTCCCGCGGGGCAGGGCTCGGGACCAGCAGCCCACCATGCCTGAGCCTCCCCCTCGCTCCGTGGGCTCCTGTGCTGCCCGAGCCTCCTGGACGAGCGCCACTCCCTGCTCCACGGCACCCAGTCCCATCGACCACCCAAGGGCTGAGGAATGCCGGCGCACGGCGCGGGACTGGCAGGCAGCTCCACCTGTGGCCCTGGTGCCCGATCCACTGGGTGAAGCCAGCTGGGCTCCTGAGTCTGGTGGGGACTTGGAGAACCTTTATGTCTAGCTAAGGGATTGTAAATACACCAATCGGCACTCTGTATCTAGCTCAAGGTTTGTAAACACACCAATCAGCACCCTGTGTCTAGCTCAGGGTTTGTGAATGCACCAATGGACACTCTGTATCTAGCTGCTCTGGTGGGGACTTGGAGAACTTTTATGTCTAGCTCAGGGATTGTAAATATACCAATTGGCACTCTGTATCTAGCTCAAGGTTTGTAAACACACCAATCAGCACCCTGTGTCTAGCTCAGGTTTTGTGAATGCACCAGTTGACACTCTGTATCTAGCTACTCTGGTGGGGACTTGGAGAACCTTTGTGTCCACACTCTGTATCTAGCTAATCTAGTGGGGAGGTGGAGAACCTTTGTGTCTAGCTCAGGGATTGCAAAGGCACCAATCAGCACCCTGTCAAAACAGACCACTGGGCTCTCTGTAAAATGGACCAATTAGCAGGATGTGGGTGGGGCCAGATAAGAGAATAAAAGCAGGCTGCTCCAGCCAGCAGTGGCAACCCACTCAGGTCCCCTTTCGCACTGTGGAAGCTTTGTTCTTTTGCTCTTTGTAATAAATCTTGCTGCTGCTCATCCTTTGGGTCCACACTGCCTTTATGAGCTGTAACACTCACCGCGAACTCACCGCGAAGGTCTGCAGCTTCACTCCTAAAGCCAGCGAGACCACAAACCCACCAGGAGGAACGAACAACTCCAGACGCGCCACCTTAAGAGCTGTAACACTCACCGCGAAGGTCCGCAGCTTCACTCCTGAGCCGGCGAGACCACGAACCCCACCAGAAGGAAGAAACTCCGAACATCAGAAGGAACAAACTCTGGACACGCCGCCCTTAAGAACTGTAACACTCACCGTGAGGGTCCACGGCTTCATTCTTGAAGTGAGTGAGACCAAGAACCCACCAATTCCGGACCCACTGGCAGATCCTGGACTCCACCCTGTGCTGAGCAGGTGTCTATCCCTCTGCTGACCTGACAACCTGCCTCAGACCAAGGGCCCTACCTCTCTGAGATGTGGGAGGCACAAAGTGAAGGGGCACTACACGGACAGCCCTGCATGGCATGCCAAAGGCTGACAGATGGAGCAGATTTCAGGGTGCCTGCTCTCTCTGGGTGTCCTCCAGGTATTCAGATTTACTCATGACAATGCCTGCCCCTTTCCCTTCATCCCCTGGAGGCCCCAGGTAGGGGAGGTATGTGCCATGCTCACATTTCTGCCAGGTGGTTGGGGGTGGGAGGTTTCATGGAGGTGAGCATCTGGTTCCAAGGGGGTGATGATAGGTAGGTCAGCAGTGGAGCCACAATTGGTCAGCAGAGGAAGGAGTCCCAGGATCTTTAGGACTCAAGATGTGAACCCCTCGTGAGGACTGGAGATACCCCCATCCCATAATGAAGGGATCCCACAGAGTCTCTCTGTCCCCTGTCCTTGTCTCTTTGGAGACCTGATCATGGGTGGCTCTAAGTGGCAAGGTCACTTGTACCACAGGCAGGAAGTTGGGGAATCTTCAGGGAGATTCCCTGAAGATTGGTGTAAAGGGAAGTCTTGGTGTAAAGGGATATGTTTGCTCATCTCAGGGGTTGGGAGTAGAGGAAGGACAGGCCCTGGCAGAAGTAAAGATGAAAAACCCACAGGAGGACTTTGGAATCCCCAGAACAGAAGGGTCCAGCCTCTGCTGTCAGCCCTGGACAACCACATGATGGGGTGATGGGACGTGGGGCCCCTTACTTCTGTTTTGGAATCTTGGGCAGGTGAGCACTATGTTCTCAGAGGACGACTTCCAGTCAACAGAAAGAGCCCCGTATGGTCCACAACTACAGTGGTCCCAGGATCTGCCAAGAGTCCAGGTGAGAAACCTGAGGGAGGATTGAGGGTTCCTCCTGGCCAGAACACAGATGGCTGCTTAGAAATCTGCTCTGCCCCTGCTGTCTCCCCAGAGAGCATGTGCAGGACTATCTGCTGAGATCCCTCTCTTATACTGGGATCATTGGTCTCAGGGAGGGGGAGGCATTGGTCTGAGAGGGCTGCACTTAGGTCAGCAGTGGGAGGGTCCCAGGCCATGACCAGAATCAAGGTGAGGGCTGACGGGACAGCACTTACCAAAAACATGGGACTCAGCCCTTCCCTGCCCCTTCTGTCAGCCATGCGAAGTCCCCGGGAACCATGGGTGTTTCCACTTCCCTGATCTCCTCTTCTGATGTCTCCTGGAGATAGAGCTTTGGTTTAAGGAGATGGCCTTAGGTCAAAAGAGGGAGGGTCCCAGGCCCAGATACACACCAAAGATGGGGACCAAACAGGCTCCTTACCCCAGCACACATGGACCCAGCTGACTATCACCACCTCCTGCTGTCCTTTTTGGGTATCCCTGAATTGTGGATGGGTTTTGCAGGCCAAGACCACCATCTCCCAGAGAAATCCAACTAGGAAGTGGGGAGCTGCCTCTCTTTCCTAGAGTCCTGCCTGGGGCCTCCCAGGACTGATGGCAGGGGCAGGATTTCTACCTCAGGGATAACTTGTTGTCTGAGTCCTCCCTCAGTGCTCTGGGACTTCTCCTGGGGTTGACCTGAGGCTCCACTCCTCAGACCACAACCCACTCCTCTCTGACACCCCAAAGGCAGAGCGAGGATGCACCACATTTGGGCACTGTGCCTTGGAACTCCAAGGGCCAAGGTCCCCACTGAACTGGAGTCCAAGGCCTCCTGAGTCCTCCCTCTTCCTCCCATTGATCCTGGCAGGGCTGAACCAGAGATCCCCTCTGCGGACCTGAGTCTCCATCCCTCAGATTCCCAACGCCGAATGAGGAGGCACCTCAGTCTAAGATGGGGGCGGGGTGGGCCCCCTGTCCTGGGGTGCTGGGTCCCCTCAGGCCTCCCTCATCTCCCAGCAGGGACTGGGCCTTATCTGTGCTCCCCCTAGGCCATTCTCATGATACCAAGCCTCTTCCCTCGGTCAGCCCGGGATGCGGAAATCAGGATCCACTTGCCTGGCAGCAATGCCAGGAACTTCCCAGGGCTGACAGCAGAGAGGGAGCCTCGCTCTGTGGGGCCTCAGCCCTCCCTCGGGGTCCTGACCTTGATGCCTGGCAGAACCTGGGTCCTGCCCCCCCCAACCAGCCCTGCCCTGGTCACACCAAGCTCTGACCCCACAGTCCCTTGAGGCTTAAGCGGCAGGGGGCAGAAGCCGAGGGGGGTGTCGGAGGGGACGGCCCAGCCTGAGAAGTCCATCCCCATGGGGTGATCCAGGGCTGGCAGCAGAGGCGGTGCTGGATTATCTGGGGTCCTCTATCTGGGGAGGGAGCGTCCTCAGTCCTCCCTCAGCATCTCATCTTGCCTCCTCACAGAGCCTGGGCCCGCTGCCCTCAGCGGATCACAAGCCGCCCTTCAGAACCGGGCTGTCACTTCTCTCTGACCCCCTAATGTGCAAGTCCGCGGTACCAAGCCCGGAGGTCCTTTGCGTTGACTGCAGGGACAAGGATGGACTCTGGGGCCCCTCTATCAGGATGGGGTGGAACCTCTCCATAATTTCTCAGAGTCCTGATGTTGATGTCTGGAAAGGCCAGGGCCCCACCCTTTACGGAACTGCCTCTGCCCGGGTCACACCATAGACTCGCAGAGTCTCCTTGGGCATTGAGGAGGGGGATTGTCTCAGCCTGATAATTTGGTCCCCTGTTGTTTCAGGGCTGGCTCCAGGGTTGGCGCTGGATTATTTGGGGCCCTCTATCTGGGTAGGAGGACTCCTCAGTCCTCCCTCAGCTCTCACCTTGCCTCCTCATGGAGCCTGGGCCCGCTGCCTTCTGCCACTCTCAAGACACCCCTCAGAGAGATGCTCTCTCTTCTCTCAGATCCCAGAGGCAGAAGCCAGTGGAGGTCACATCTGGCCCCCATGCCTGGAGCTTCCCTGGATTGACAGCAGTGGCAGTACTCGATTCTGCTGGGGTGGGGGCAGGGGGAAGAGTAATGGCGAGGGGTGCAGATGTGGTCGAGGGTCATGGAGGTGCCTCAATCCTCCCTCAGGTTTCTGTCCTTCATTCTCTGCAGAGCCTGGAGCTCCGTCCTCTGCCAATGGTGTCTCCTCTCCTCAGACCAAGTCTCTGACTCTGAGTCCCCTGAAGTGGCAGTGAGGGGGAGGTGTCAGGTCGGGGGACAACATTGCCAAGGTCTTCCAGGGCTGACAGGAGGGACCGAGCTGGATTCTGTGGCCCCTCTATGTGGGGACGGTGGACCCTCACTTCTCACTCAGGAGACTCTTCCTCCTGGCTCCCAGCTCTTTGATGAAGTGATGGGTGGGAGATGCTCTGTTTCTGTCACCTCTGAGCATTTGCCAACTGCACCCCTTGCAGAGAATGGCCGTGGGTTCCAGGCTAGGTGCTTCCTGGGGGTCTTCAGCACCTGTGATTTTAGTGACCTCTGGGAGAAGACCCACACCTTCCTACAGGGGCTTCTCCCCAACCAGAGCTAAAGGCTGGCCCTGTTGGTTCTGGGATGGGTGTACCAAAGTCCTCCTGTGGGTTATTCATCTTTACATCTGCTGGGGCCTGCCATTCCTCGGCTCCCAATCCCTGAGATGAGCAGACATTTGCCCTTTACACCAAGACCCCATCTCCCTGTGGGTTCCCTAACTTCCTGCCTGTGGTACAAGTGAGCTTGACACTTAGGGCCACCCGTGATCAGGTCCCCATAGAGCCAAGAACAGGAGACAACAAGATTCTATTTGCTAGATCATTTTTTTGTAAGACTGTTGTAAGAAATGTATTGAATTGCCTGACACAGTGCCTGGCATATATTGAATATTTAATAAATGGTAGTTTTCAAATATTATTTTTAGACCACATCTTACTATAACCTCCTTTGGGAATTACTTCTGTTGTTATCTAAAATATCTCAGAGAATATGCAGCTCAATAGAACATATAATATCAAATTAGTCAAAATTGAAGCTTTGTGAATAAAAGTTAGTAAAATTTCCCTCCGAGATGGCCTATTATTTAATTTGGGCGTATAAGAGTCTTCCCCATCTGGATGCAGCTCAAAGATCTTGAAAGTTGAGTGAAAGACCAACTCATTCTCTCCCTCCCAGCTGCTTTTCCATCCAAACCACTATTTTCATTCAATTTACTCCTATCCCAAACCTAGCCCTTGATTATCTGAGTTCTCCATTTCAGACCAAGGCCTTACCTCCCTGAAGCCCCACTCTCACCCCACTGCAGAAGTGAGAGCATGCCACAGCCAGCCTCTTGCCAGGGTCATCCTAGGGCTGACAATCGGCAACAGCCAGAATCCTGGAGGGCCCTTCTTTTCTGGAGTGTTGAGTTCCTTCTAACTTTATTCTTACAGGCTCTACTCACTTCCACAGTTACTTATGCCAGCACCTTTTCTCTTGATATTCATTAAAGAGGTTGTTTCATATCTTTGTAATATATAGTTATTCTGTTTTGTCATATTGTCCATTCTTTCCTGGGATATTCAGACCTCCTAAATTATTTTTTTATATTTGCATACTTTAGGGGTCACAATTGTTCTGAGCATTTTGACAAATGCATAGTGTTATATTCACCATTACAGTATCATACAGGATAGCTTCATCACCCTAATAAATCCCCTGTGCTTACCCTATTCAATCCTTCCCCCTCACCCACCCAACCCCTGGAAGCAACTGATCTTTTTACTGTCTCTATAGTTTTGCCTTTTCCAGAATGCCAAATAAATTGTATCATCATACACTATCTAAACTTTTCAGGCTGGTTTTTTTCACTTAGGGATAGGCATTTAATATTTATCCATGTCTTTGTATGGCTTGTGATGTGGTTTGGCTGTGGCCCCACCCAAATCTCAACTTGAATTGTGTCTCCCAGAATTCCCATGTGTTGTGGGAGGGACCCAGGGGGGAGGTAACTAAATCATGGGAGCTGGTCTTTCCCATGCTATTCTTGTGATAGTGAATAAGACTCAAGAGATCTGACGGGTTTATTAGGGGTTTCCACTTCTGCTTCTTCCTTATTTTGTTTCTCTTGCCACTGCCATATAAGAAGTGCCTTTCGCCTCCTGCCATGATTCTGAGGCCTCCCCAGCCATGTGGAACCGTAAGTCCAATTAAATCTCTTTTTCTTCCCAGGCTTAGGTGTGTCTTTATCAGCGGCATGAAAACAGACTAATATAGCTTGACAGCTCATTTCTTTTTATTGATTAATAGTGTTCTATTAAATGGTTGTACCACAGTTTGTTTATCCATTCACCTACTGAAGAACAACTTAGTTCAATCCATTACTGACAATTATAAAATAAGCTATGATACAAATTTATATGCAAGATTTTGTGTAGAATTAAAATTTCAAATTACTTGGATTAATACCTAGGGGTGTGTTCTCTGAATCACATGGTAATACTATGTTCAGCTTTGTAAGAAACTCACAAACTGTACTACAAAGTGACTGTACTATTTGCATTCCCACCAGCAATGAATGATTCTTTTTGCTCAGCATCCGTGCCAGCAATTGATATTGTCTGTTTTTTTTAACTTTAGACACTCTAAATATGAAATTAATGTAGCTATTCCAGCTTTCTTTTGTCAGTGTTAGAATACCTTTTTCAACCTCCTTACATTGAACTTATGTGAGTCCTTATAATTAAAAATGGGTTTCTTATAGACAATATGTTCTTGAGTATTATTTTTTATTAATTCTGACAACCTGTCTTTTATTGGTATACTTAGACCATTCAAACTGAAAGAGATTATTAATATAATTCATTAATATCTACCATGCATGTAACTGTTTTCTATGTATTTAATTTTTCTTTATTCCTCTTCTTTTTCTGTCTTCTTTCGCTTTATAAAACATTTAGTACATGTAAAATTACACCTTTTTTAAAAAAATTAGTCTTTGTCTTAGAGTTTATAATATATATTTTAATAACATGCCATAAAACAACACTATACTGCTTCATATGTACTATAGATACCTTATAAAAGAGTATACTCAGTTCCTTCATTGCATTGCTTGTAACATTACAATCATTTATTTCATTTATCCATATACACTAGTTGTCTGATACATTGTTACTATTATTAACTTAAATAAATAGTTACCTTTTAGGTCAGTTAAGAATAAGAAAGCATTTTATTTTACCTTTATTTATTTCTTCTCTGGTATTCTTTCTTTATCTAGACCTAAACTTAGGACCTATATAAGATTCCTATAATTGATAGAGAAAAGTAGAAAATCAGTAAGAGCAAAGAAGATCTAATGACCATTAAATGCAGAGTATCATTTGAAAATTTCAACACATTTTATTTTAAAAAATTCTCAGCAAATTAAAAATATATGTGAGCATTATCAATTCATTAAAGGAAATCTACAAAAAAACTAGAGCTAAGAATATGCTTAATGATGAAATACTGAATGTTTTCCATCTAAGGTCAGGATCAAGGCAAAAATAACGGATTTCATACTTCTCCTCAACTTTTTCTATTAGAGGTTCAAACTATTGCAATAGAGCAAGAGAAAGAAATGAAAAACATGATTCAAAAGGAAGAAATACAATGGTCTTTACTGCAAACAACATGATGGTCAGTGTGGAAAATCCTAAGGATTCTACAAAGAAAAAAGGAAAACTGCAATTAATAAGTGAATATACCACGGTTATAAGATACACATTTAATACAAAGAAATTAATACTATAGCTCTATACTAACAGCAAACACATGAAAATGACAAAAAGCAAGTGCTTTATGAATAGCAAAACATAAAATACTTTGGAATACATTTAATGAAAAGTTTGTAAGACCTGTACACTGAAAACTACAAAATATGACAGAAAAATTTGAAAACATCTAAATAAATGAAGAGATAATCCATGCTCATACCTGAGAAAAATCTAAATTGTTGTTTTATTCTATTGCTTATAATTCAGTACTACCATTATTTATATTGTTGCTCAAATTTTCCAGCTTTTGGGAGCCCTTTTAGTCTTTGGAAGCTCCTGTACCCTTTTTATATACTGCATCATTTCTTAAGCACGTCTTTATTTTCCTGCGCCACAAAATGCTAAGCTCACCTTGTATTTTCTATGCCCCAGTCCTAGAACCAAATAAATAAATAAATTTGGACTTCCTCAAAAATAAAATAAAGACAGGCCACAGACTGGGAGAAAATATTTGCAAAGCACACATCAAAACACTGACTTGCACCCAGAACATACAGAGAACTCTTAAAAACTCAAAACTGCAAAAAGAAACACCTAAAAATTGGCAAAAGAGTTGACAATTTGCGAAGGGGATATACACATGGCGAAAAAGCACAGGAAAAGATGCTCAACGCCATTACAGGTTAGGGAAGACAAACTACAACCAGGATGAGGGCCCGAAACACATGGCTTCAGAATGGTGAAACTCAGCAACACTGACGAGGCCACGTGCCTGGGAGGATGCAGAGGAACTGGGACACTCCAGTGTTACTGGCGGGAAGGCAGGTGGTACGGGCACTGTAGAAAATGGTTTGGCCATCTCTGATGCAGTTAAAAGCGCACTTCCCGTGGGACTTGGCTGCCCCACTCCTGGGTATAAGATTTACCCCCAGAGAAGTGAAAGCGCGCAGCCTTGTAGAAACCCACACACCAGTGTTTGTAGCAGTCTTGTTTGCATTTTGGATAGCGGCCTTGTTTGGTTTTCACAAACCACCCTCAGCGGACAGTCAGATAAACTGTAGGCATCCATACAATGGAATACCACTCAGAACTGAGAGGGAACGACCTGTGGATACAGGGAGGGAACAACTTGGATGAATCTCATTAGAGACATTATGTGGATGGCGGGAAGCCAGTCTCAACAGGTTACTTGTCTCGCGATGCCATCTACATAAAGTTCCAGCAGAGACAAAAGTACAGTGACAGAGAACAGATCAGTGTTTGCCGGGGCTAATGGTGGGGACGGTGTGATAGTGAAGGGACAGCACGGAGAGTTTTGCAGGGTGACAGACCTCTTCTGCATCCTGCCAACGGCTGTGCGAATCTACTTGTGTGAAGACTCAGGGAACTCACACCAAAGGAAGACGGTCACTTTTCCTACTGTATGATAGATAATTAATAAAAAGGGAGAACGGAGGAGTGTCGTCCCAGGAGGCAGGGCAGGAGGGCGAAGACGTGTCACAGGGGAGCCTGGCCAAGTGGCGCCCCCGGAACTCGTCCTCTGGGCTTGTGTGTGGATGAGACAAGGTCTACCTGGTACGACAGGGACATACTGGGAATGCGCCCTTGCCGTGGAGGCGGGGACCCGGCAGCGCTACGTATCCAGCATCAACCTGTATCCAGCATCAACCCGCCAAGTTCACTAACTTGGTAGGGGTGAGGTTAGGGATCCTTAGGAGCCCAGGCAGCCAGACTTTCTGGGGAGCCCATTCCCATTTGTGTTGCCAAAGTACCCCCAGCAGGTTGTGGGAATGTTGCCTGTGAAGAGAGTCTGTTGGGGTGAGATCTTGTGTGTGTGCACAGGGTGACAGTTGTGTCCCATTTCCCGGGAAGCTGTGATGGCAGCAGAACCTAGAGGAGCCTGAGAGAGTGTGGGAGAGTGGGCCTCTGGAAGAGTAGAGGCTGCGGAGCCAGGTGCAGGGCTGTCTGTCACCCAAAGGAAGAGGGACTGATGACTCACTGAGCGTGTGTGTCCCCTGGTGGCAGCAGGCCCCATAGTGAACATACCATACCTTTTCTGTCCTGAGCGATGCTCCCAGCAGTCCTGGGAGATGGAACGGTCCTTATTCGGCTCACGGGAAGGACCGCCTTAACTGGACAGACACAGCAAGGTGCTAAAGATGCCTTCCATCAGAGGCCAGGTTGGAAGCTCTAAAGAGACTTCTCTTGCTGTTCTCTCACCCACCCCCAGGTTGTGTGTGTCCCGCTGTGGATTCTCATGTCCTTTCTGTGCCTGGTGGTCCTCTACTACATTGTGTGGTCCGTCTTGTTCTTGCGCTCTATGGATGTGATTGCGGAGCAGCGCAGGACACACATAACCATGGCCCTGAGCTGGATGACCATCGTCGTGCCCCTTCTTACATTTGAGGTAAGCGTTCCACGGGAAGCCTCTTCAGCCCCTGAAGCTTGCGCTTCCCCTGACAGGATTCTGCACCCCTAGAAAGGCAGCCTCTGTCCCTCGAGCTCACAGTGAGCCCACTCCAGGAGAGGGGAGAGAACACAGCCATCTCCGAGAGGGAGCTTCGGTGAAAGGAGAGCATCCTTCCTTTCTCTTGGGGGCAGCACGTGGGGCTGGCAGGGAGAAGAGTGCACCTTTTTAGCCATGGTGCCTCTGTATGGCTCCAGTTTCCACTCTGGGGAAAGCAGAGTGGGATGTCAGATTTGTGTATTGGAGTCACGTGGAGAATTCTAGAATGGGAGCTGTTGACTCCTTAGAACAAACACCCGGAGGAGTTTGCCATAAAACTGCTGGCACTGGGAACTTTTCAAGTGGATAGGCTATTGCCGAGCTCTGAAGAGGGACATAAAAGCTCATTTCGAGCTTTCCCCAGGGATAGGTGGTTTCCTGCCTTTTTCTGGCGGTGCTGATGTT
Source organism: Homo sapiens (assembly GCF_000001405.40). Classification (NCBI taxonomy): domain Eukaryota; kingdom Metazoa; phylum Chordata; class Mammalia; order Primates; family Hominidae; genus Homo; species Homo sapiens. The sequence continues at coordinate 149,769,578 of NC_000023.11, forward strand.
CCCTCTTGTGGGAGCTCACGCGGGGGTGGGGTGGTGGGGAGGAACTGCCTAATGAAGTCTGGCTTCCGCCTCTGCCCATTTTCGGTGCTGGCATCAACCGGGACTATGTCTCTTTCTTTAGATTCTGCTGGTTCACAAACTGGATGGCCACAACGCCTTCTCCAGCATCCCGATCTTTGTCCCCCTTTGGCTCTCGTTGATCACGCTGATGGCAACCACATTTGGACAGAAGGGAGGAAACCACTGTATGTACTCAGCATTTCAGAAGTCCTTGGTGTGTGTCTGGGGGGGGACCAGGGAGTGGGGGGGGGGCGGATAGAAGTCTAGGAAGGGATGAGTCCCCGAGGGCCCCAATTTAGAAGCTTGTGTGGGAAAGTGAGGGCTGAGGAAATTCTGGGACCTTCTAAGGGAAGGGCATGCCGTAACTCTGGTGTTCTGCTGGCCTGCACCGGGACTTTTCTCGCAGTGCACGCTGCCATTTGAGGTAGAACCAGACACGGCAGGCAACCTCTCAGAGATCCCGTTCCCTCCTCTGCAAAATGGGGATCAAGACAGATTCTTCCCAGGCCCGGGAGGGTTTGATGGAAAATCCACATCTCCCACCCAAACCTGGGATTCATCCTAGGTCCCTGTTGGCCTCTCTGCCTCCCCCATATCCTTGCTGCCATCACCCGAGTCTTGCCTGTCTTGCCTTGCTAACACTCTATTCCCCTCCACCTGCTTGCTGAGGCAGACACTTCCAAAACGATCTCTGCAGAGGGTGCCTTCCTGGCAAGGCTGTGGGCTCCATGGCACGGAAGCCCAGAGCATTGCCCTTCGGAAAGCCAGTGGGTTTGGGGGCAGGGCCTCACTGCAGCCCAGCAGCCCGGGCTGTGCTTGCTGTTTGTGCCTCTGCCCCCTACCCCGCACCCGGGAGCAGGGAGGGCTTGCACCGAGCTGACACTCCAGTAGCCTACAGAGAGGAGTAGTGGGACTGGGAAAGTGGCTTTAAGGTGGCTCCATGAGTTCAGGCCCCCTCCTGGCCAGGACCCGTGCATGACTACCGCCCTCACGGATTCCAGAGGGTGACAGAAATCTTGTTCTTGGGTGGCACTGTCATCCATGAGTTTATCCTGGCTGGAGAAGATTAGCGGAAGACACCGTAGTCTGCGCACCACAGATATTTTGAGACTCACTGGAGCAGTAGTTCTCAAACTTGGGCATCCAGCAGAATCCCAAAAGGGCCAGGAAAAGGGGACCGCTGGAGCCCACCCTAGCCCGACTCAGTTTCTGGAGGTCTGGGCTGGGGCCCGAGAATGGCATCCCTAACTAGGCCCCGTGGACGCTGTCCCTGCCGGTCCGGGAACCCCACTCCAAGCACCACAGAGCTAGCATTTGCACTTCTTCCCCATTTTGGGTACTCAAGCCCTGTTCAGGCTTTGTGACTCAGGAGTCTGGATAAAGTATGTTATGACATTGTAGGAGTGAAACTTCTTGTTACGGAAAGAAAGTTAACAGGAAGGTCAGTTGAGCCTCGTGTGTGAAATAAAAAATTCTTATTTTTCAGGGTGGTTTGGTATCCGCAAAGATTTCTGTCAGTTTCTGCTTGAAATCTTCCCATTTCTACGAGAATATGGAAACATTTCCTATGATCTCCATCACGAAGATAATGAAGAAACCGAAGAGACCCCAGTTCCGGAGCCCCCTAAAATCGCACCCATGTTTCGAAAGAAGGCCAGGGTGGTCATTGCCCAGAGCCCTGGGAAGTATGTGCTCCCACCTCCCAAATTAAATATCGAAATGCCAGATTAGATGCCACTTCCGGGGACAGAGCTTAAGTGGACTGGGACGCACTCTCTCCGCCTTCCTCTGCCCCCTCGTTCACCCCGCAGACCAGAACCAGTACTGGAGCTGGGTCTCCAGGTACGTCCATCTCATGCCTTGTTTGCATCCAGCGCCTATCAGCCACTCACCACGACGGGACGCGGAAGTGGCAGGTGACGGGGGTGTGTGCCAGCAGATGCGGATGCCAGGAAGAGTGTGAGAACAGGGGTGGGATTACCGTCTGTCTGGGAGGGGCTCCAGGTACCCCTCTTCCCCGTCAGACCCACTGGGAGATGGCTGCTTGCCAGGCCCCCAGAAGGAACATCTGTCTATACGGTGCTGAAATCCCAATCAAAAGTATTGTTTAGAAATGTATTTCTCCACAGGGCTGACCTCCTGCAGCTCGCTGAGCACTCCCAGGTCCTCAGCACTCCCAGGTCGTGGCTGGGGCAGTCAGTAGGAACTGTAACTATGTCTCTGATGCACCACGTGTTTAGACACAGCACAGTCCTTTTTTCTGTTCCTACTGTGGAAGTAGTTTCTCTTTGGGCATGCTGACAGCAGTTTTTCATAGCCTCACGGATGAGCCCTTTCTACGGGAGTGACTCCATGCTTGTATACAGAGTATTTATACAAATGTTTTAGCATCTTCATATGCGGTGTTAACCCCTAGTTCTGTACAGCATATTCTGTTCAAGTATTTTTTTACAAGCTTGTGCTGTAGGCACATGCCTTCTGCTGCAGAAGTGGACGCCCGTGGCACACTCCCCCCCCCCCCCCCGTGGGGTGCCACGCCTTCATGGGACATTGCCACTTCTGCCCTGGAACTCGTGCAGGTACGTAGTAGCTGCTACTGCCAGAACGGCAACACCAAGCAAGAGATGGTCCATGCTTTTCTGACGTTCTCAGAATAGTGGCTAGCTTCAAACCTGACAAGCGCTGCTTGAAGCCGGAACACTAGAGAATGTTGCTGAGAGCAGAAACGGCCACGCGGGTCACGACTATGCGTGGGAAAGTCTCAAGCTTCCCTCCTGCCAGCAACAAGAAGGCTTTGGAGTAGGCATGATGTTTTCACGTGTGCGTGCCGTTTCTCCAAGCACTGCAGGTTCCACCGTGTGTCAGAGGCTGCAAGTTTAACATCCTCCTGCCTGAAAACAAATAGGTCCTTTGCTGAAAAGAGGGTAAAAAAAGAGCTTTGATCGTCTCAGCCAGGAGAAGAGGGTGGTGTTTTCACGCGGGCAACTGCTCGCCGGCCTACATGGGGTTAATTCAAGTCTGCTGCGAGCACGACTCCGCCCTTGGCACTGGCCTCCAGCAAGCCCTGTTCTCTTTGGGGTACAGGGGAACGGGATGGTTTAGACTTTCCTGCTCAGTGTGTAAAAAATGTAGCTAAAGCCACTATTTTTGCTCTCCTTAAGCTGTTCAATAAACCGGTTCCTCATTTTACACGTGCATGATGTGTATCTTCTTTGCTGGATGGGCCAGGAAACTGGAGTGGTCCTCTCAGCCAGCCTCAGAGGAAAGAAATCTCTAGCTGGCACAGGCAGCCAGTGAGTGAGGCTGGCGGCTGCAGGGGCACAGCCTTTAGAATGAGTCCTTCAGTGCACAGGTCCCAGGGTATACGGGGTAGTGGGAGGAAGGAGGGGACGCCTCGCAGATGCCACTGTTGGCTGGGCTACACCTTGCCACACTTGTTACTGCTTAGGAGGCTTTCTGGAGTGTTCCTTGGGTGCTACGACAATCTGCAGCAGACACTGTCCTTTCACCGCTCCTGGTCCTCGTTTGCTCCCCAGTGATGTCAACAGCTGAGGACTGCTCACGCTGCAACAAAAGGCTCTGCAGTCGCTGTCTAGCTTGCCCTAGTCGTCTCTAGAGTTCTGCCTGAACTGAAACTCAAGTGGGGTTCAGCTCATGACTTGTGGCAATTGACCAGGAAATTCACCAGTTGCTGTGGCTGGAAGGATTTTCAGTCCTGTGGGTTGTAACCAGAGGCCACAGGTGGATTCTGCCTTAGGCTCATGAGATTTCCGACTTGCTGTTGAAGAAAATGCCTTGTGAAGTGACAACAGTAGCTCTGACCCAACTGCCGGTGCCTCGCTAGTTCCTATACGTCCCACTGGATCCTCACAGCCCCGGGAAGCAGGTGCTACTACTCTTATCCCCGGGAGGAGACAGAGGCCGAGAGAGGTTAAGTGACGTGCCCAAGTCACACAGCTCGGCAGCGGCCGGGTTGAGCATCAGCAGTCTGTTTGCAGACCCCTCACTGTCACCCCCTGAGCCAGTGCGCCTTGGGCCCTGCGGTCAGGATGTCTCAAGCGTGGAGGCATCACCGGTTCGTGGCAGTCTCTGGAAGGTCACTGAGCTCTGTGCCCAGAATCGAGTCGGGGGAGTCTGTGCAGAGGTGGCCCTGTGTGTGGGGACAGTGTGTGACACAGACACTGCTTTGGATGGACACCTCTCCCGTGACCTCCTAGCATCCAATCCCAAAGGAACAACTGTTGCAGAGATGGACCGCTGGACACAAACCCACGTGCGTTTCTCTGGAGACACTGGCCAAGGAAAACAAAACATGCTCGAAGGCCAACAGCTGCATGCCCCACCGCGATGTGACCGCAGACACCCGGGGTGTAGAAGGGTCTCTGCCTGGTGGGGGGACACGTGCAGGCCGAGGAGAGGCAGGAAGGAGGCTGCCTCCGACTCCCCACTGGACTGCATGGCGACGGCGTGTGGTGGGGCAGTCAGCTAAGCCATTTGCCTAAGGGGCTGTCGGGCATCTGCGTGCTGGGGACCGACAGTGTGGGTGTGTTAGGAGGATCTGTATGGAGCACATTGCTGCCTCTGGCTAGGACAGGGTGGAAAGGGTGGCGTGGCTACAGCCTGACCCATGGGCACCGTCCTACCCTTTGTTCTGTGCTTCCGAGTGTCAGTCATGTGCTGGGGTCTGTGGGCCCATGACTCAGACGGTGAGCTCTGACCTTCCTGAGCCAGGGCTTTGCTGTAGTTGTGCCTGGCTCAGGAGCTCTAGGACAAGGGGACCGCTCCAGGTCTGCATCTACGGTGTGGCAGGGCCCCTCGGCACTCTTGTGCACTAGTGTCATCTTTCCCATTGAAATGACTGTGAGGACCAGAATGTGCACATGCAGATGGGCAGCTACTTGTCTGCCTTGGCCCTTTATTACACAACTTGCTGGGGGTGGAGATGCCACCCCCCGGCAGTCAGAGCCCCTTTATGATGTCATGGGGCTGGTTACATGACTGCCAAGGGGTGCTGCTGGCCACACTGCACTAGCAAGTTTGCCAGATGGAGGACAAGCGATCATTGAGTATGGCTCGCTGTGAAGAAAGAAATTCGAGAGGACAGGATCATGGCTTGGAAAGGGTGCCTTTCCCTCCCCAGTTGCAGTCAGAGACCTACCTTCACCCAGCAGATCCTTCCCCTGCCTGGGACGACCCGGGGTCCACTGGGAGCCCTAACTTGAGGCTGCTGACAGAAGAAATCGCTTTCCAACCTCTGGCCGAGGAAGCTTCGTTCAGAAGGCCGCACCCTGACGGTGACGTCCCGCCCCAGGGAGAAGATAATCTCCTCTCCCTCCCCTTTCCACAGAAACTGTGGAGACTGGTCAGCAGCAACCAGTTTTCGTCCATCTGGTGGGATGACAGTGGGGCTTGTAGAGTGATCAATCAAAAACTCTTTGAAAAGGAGATTCTCAAAAGGGACGTCGCACACAAAGTGTTTGCCACAACTTCGATAAAGAGCTTCTTCCGCCAGCTAAACTTGTATGGCTTCCGAAAACGGCGTCAATGCACTTTCAGGACCTTCACCCGCATTTTCTCCGCAAAAAGGCTGGTCTCCATCTTGAATAAGGTAATGAACGACAAGCCTCTGGAGGGGTTAAGTCGGTGGGCTCTGGGGCCTGGTCGGGTGGAAGTCCCAGGACTGCCTCCTGGGAAGTGGGCGACCTCAGGCAGGGTGTGGGGCCATCGCTGTGGGCCTGTGTCCCCCTCTGGGTGGAGGTGACATGAACTAAGAGTGAATGTGGGGAGAGGGCTGAGGATGGTGCGGGCCCCTCTCGAGTGTGTAAAATATCACAGGTGCCAAGTAGCCGTATCTGCGTGTCGTCCTCCCCGGGGCCAGCCATGTCATCTGGCGGTTGCTGTGTCCCCCTGACTCCACAGCACATTACCCTGTGAGGTGAGCAGGCCAGGGGAGTCTGGTATTTGTACCACTGTCACCCTAGCTGGTGTCTGGAGAGGTGCTCAAGTGGAAGCACTGAAGGGCGCCTGGCGCAGGAGGTGCAGATGCTCCTGCTGCCCTTGGTAGGTGGGCCCCTGGTGTGGAAGAGCCAGTACCCAGGGCCTCCAACCCAGCCGGGGTGCATTCTGTTGCCAGCTGACACTGCATGGGGGAGGCCCAGAATCTTCTTCCCTCCTGGTCTGCAACTTCAAAGACCCTTTCCGCCGGCCATGGACACCCTAATCTGCCATTTTGAGGCTTTTTCCAAGACGGAAAGGCCCGCCACAACTTGGTAAACCTTGACGATGTGAACGCGAGTCCCCAGCTTCCTTTGGGGACTGGGACCTTTTCCAGAAAGGCCTCCTGGGCCAGTAGAGTTCTCTTGCACAGGGGCGTAGATGGTTGGTAGTTGTAGTCCATCCTTGTGACTTGCAGTTTCCTTTTGTTTATTTAAACTTTGACTTATAGTTAGAGTTCTACTGCCATCCTTACTTTCAAAGAGACTCCCCTCACCTCCTCGTGAGGATGAAGAGAAGAGTGGGTGTCAAGTCTGCACCAAGACATCAGGAGGAGGACAAGCCAGAAGCTGCTGGATCCTGTCTGGCACCAGCAGACACTGAGCAACAAGATCACACGTCTCCGAATGAGAATGACCAGGTCACACCGCAACACCGGGAACCGGCCGGTCCCAACACCCAAATCAGGAGTGGCTCTGCTCCACCAGCAACTCCTGTGATGGTGCCTGATTCCGCCGTGGCGAGTGACAACAGTCCAGTGACCCAGCCGGCCGGCGAGTGGTCAGAGGGCAGCCAGGCTCACGTCACTCCGGTGGCCGCTGTCCCTGGGCCTGCAGCGCTGCCCTTCCTCTATGTCCCTGGATCTCCCACTCAGATGAATTCTTACGGGCCTGTGGTGGCCCTTCCCACAGCGTCCCGTAGTACCCTTGCCATGGACACCACAGGACTTCCTGCACCTGGCATGCTGCCCTTTTGCCATCTCTGGGTACCGGTGACCCTAGTGGCTGCTGGGGCTGCACAGCCTGCTGCCTCCATGGTCATGTTCCCCCATCTCCCAGCTCTGCACCACCATTGCCCCCACAGCCACCGCACGTCACAGTACATGCCAGCTAGCGATGGGCCCCAGGCGTACCCAGACTACGCAGACCAGAGCACATAGAGGGCAGCATTTGGGCAGAATATGTGCTGGTCAATAAATGTGTCAGAAAATGAGTAATTTTCTGACTGCACAAAAAAGTCTTCATGGTCTCCATCCTTTTTCTTTCTTTGCAGTCCAGTACCCCCCTCCGACATCTTTGGCTTGCATGATAGAGACTTCAGCCTAACACGCCTCCCTGGAAAAGTGCCCAGGAGATACTCGAGCAGGTGCTGGGTTTTAGGAAGCCCCTCAGACATCCCGCCTCTACTCATTAAAAATTACCTGGAGCTGGCCGGGCGCAGTGGCTCATGCCTGTAATCCCAGCACTTTGGGAGGCCGAGGCGGGTGGATCACGAGCTCGGGAGATCGAGACTGTCCTGACTAACACGGTGAAACCCCGTCTGTACTAAAAATACAAAAAATTAGCCGGGCGTGGCGGCGGGCACCTGTAGTCCCAGCTACTCGGGAGGCTGAGGCAGGAGAATGGCATGAACCCGGGAGGCGGAGCGTGCAGCAAGCCGAGATCGCGCCACTGCACTCCAGCCTGGGCGACAGAGCAGGACTCCGTCTAAAAAAAAAAAAAAAAAAAAATTACCTGGAGTTGCTCGCTGAGTGCTAATTGTGCTGCTAGCATTGCCGGCCTAGGGTTCACAATGACTCTGTGTTACTGGCCATTCCTTGTCATGGCGGTGCCTTTATATAACAGGATCTTCACTTTACATACAGATGAGATCACGTCTGGCTTTGTCATTGGGTTAAAAAGTGCCCTTGATAGTTGTGGAGGTGACACATACTACCAAGGAGTCCTACGGGTTTGCAGTTTAGAGGGTGCTCATTAGTGTCTGGTGGACAGGATTTATGTTTGGCTTTTATGTCTGTACTGGATCTGGTGGGGTTTTTTACTTCCTTCCTTGATTCCCCCACTATGCCCCCACTTTTTCTTTCTTGTTTCCCTTCCTTCCTACTTTCCTTTCCTCTCCTTTTTTCTCTCTCTCTCTCTTTGCTTCCTTCTTTCCTTCCTTCCTTCCATCTCTCTCTCTCTCTGTGCTTGCTTGCTTCCTTCCTTCCTTCCTTCCTTCCTTCCTTCCTTCCTTCCTTCCTTCCTTCCGTGTCTCTCTCTCTCTCTCTTTCCCTCCCTTCCTTCCTTCTCCTTTCTTTTGGAGTCAAAAATTAATTTAAAAGATGTCATGTCATGTTTTAACTTAGGAAGCAGCCTTTTCTGCTCACTTGGGGTGTTCATCTTAGAACACATGCTATCATCGACGAACTTCTTTGACTGATCAGAGGAAATAGATTCAAGTTCTTACCGTAGACACAACTGGGCACAGACATCAAAAGAGCTCTGAAATCAGGGCGTGCAGAGAGCCCCAACACCCACACACCAGAACCCAGAGGTATCCCTGCCTGTGATTTTTAATTTGACAGTAGGTGGCAGAGTCCTGGGAGACGTGGGAAGAGGCCATAAGAGAATGCAGACATGGGAATGGATTAATCCAGAGTCCAGCCATGGTCTGCAGGTGGATCTCCCTGTCTCGGCCTGCTCACTTACAAATGGGTGCTCATTTACAAATCGGTGTGAATCACATTTCATCATTTGTGAGCTCCTTAGTTTCCAAGAAGTACAGTTTTCTCATGTGTTTCTTGGACTTTATGCATATGCCTCCAGAGTTTGAATCATGCAAAGATGCTGCCACTTAAAAACCTCTTTCCTACAAACTTACACCCCTCCGATCGTGGTTTTCCTGTGAATCTCAGCTGGGCACGATGGCTGACGCCTGTCATCCCAGCACTTTGGGAGACTGAGGCAGGTGGATCACGAGGTCAGGAGTTCAAGACCAGCCTGGCCAAGATGGTGAAATCCTGTCTCTACTAAAAATACAAAAAATAGCCGGGCACGTTGGCAGGCACCTGTAATCCCAGCTACTTGGGAGGCTGAGGCAGGAGAATCGCTTGAACTCAGGGGGCAGAGGTTGCAGTGAGTCGAGATCACGCCACTGCACTCCAGGCTGGGAGACAGAGTGAGACTCCATCTCCAAAAAAAAAAAAAAAAAAAAAAATACTGTTAGAAGAATGGAAAAAACTATATAGATGGAGAGAAAATATTAGTAATCTGATATCTGATAAAGAACTCATATGCTGAATAAATACCAAACATTTAACATTCAACCTTTGAAAACAAAGAATCCAACTAAAGATGTAAATGATTTGAAGACATTCACCAATGAAGACACGCAGAAATACACATACATTCACCAATGAAGATACACACATGAAAAGATGATCACCATAATTATTCATTAATAATGCAAATGTCAACAGCACTAAGATTCCTCTACCCACCTATTACAATGGATAGAATTCAAATACCTGAGAATATCAAATTCTGGAGAGGATGTGGGATTCTCATTCATAGCTGGTAGACAAGAAAAATGTTTCATTCACTCTAGAAGGCCTTTTGGCCCTTTCTTATGTAGTAAAACATAGACTTACCTTTAGATCCATCAGTCGTACTACTAGGTTTTACCTAAGTGAATTGGAAACTGGTTCTCACATGGAAAATCGTGTACACGAATGTATTAGTAGTTTATTCATAATCACCAACCAAGATGTCCTTGAAGAGGTGAATGGATAAAACCAATGGTACTTCCACAAACTGAAAGTGTATTCAAAGTTCAATCTACCCTCAAATATTCCAGGACAGGAAATTTTGGAGGCCAGTTCAGCCAAGTGGCAAGGGAAAATGAATCACCATCTTATCTCAACTCTTCCAATGCATCCAAAATGGGCAATTGTTTAACTCATTCTCCCAGGCTCGCTCTCCTAGATTCATAAACAGATGAAGGCACCCGAGCACTCATGAAAAGAATTTGTGAGGCAAGTGTTCACACACATCGCAGCAAATGTCATAAACAGATAATCACATATCCAACACAACAGTGGATTAAACGAACAAGCTGCCTGTATGCATGGAATAAAAATAGGATTAAATGTTAGAAAAAAATTCAATTCTAACTCCCTGCATACAAGATAGACTAGAAAAAAACATTCAGTCATGACAATGGGTACAGGAAAAGGCTCTGAAATGAATTCTATGTAAGTACAAATTAACAATGTTTAGCAAACTAACATTAAAAGGAACTTCCATTTCCTAAAATTGGCAGCAAGCATACATAAATGTGAAATGTCAGAAGCTCTGCCATTCACGGCAGTGACAAGTCGTTGACATATGCTGTCACCACTACCACCTACATCTGCAGTGAATATCAAAATGAAAAAGAGCCAGAGCTATGGATGTCAAGATGAAAATGAGATATGAAGACTGCAAAGAAATAGAGTATTTGTTAACTATATGATTATCTACATAGAAAATTCAAAGGAATAGACACATTGAATATTCAAATGAATAAAAGACTTCAGAAAACATCATACAGAAGGTCATTAAAGCAAAATCAAGAGCCTTGCCACACAAAAGCAACTTAGTATATAAAATAGAAAATAGAAAATGCACCATTCACAGCAGCATTAAAATCCAAAATGTAAATAAGAAGAGCCTGACAAGACCTTTATGGAAGCAACTGTGCAAAGTTGCTGATAGACTCAGGAAATAATCTCAAGTAAATGGATCTGTATACCATATTCCTTGATGGGGAACAGAATATGGCAAAGATGTAAATGCTACTTAAATTAAATACAGAGTGAGTGCCTTAACTGTCATTGCCAAAGTGACAACCAAGCTCAGGTTGCTGTGCTCTGCTCCCCAAATCAACCCCGGAAAAAATATAGGAGGGAAAAGATTAAAAAAAAAAACCCATCAAAACAGAGAAAGCCCTGGGGATGACTGAAGACTGTGCTAAACTAGTACTTGTGTTTTGGGTCCAGGGAGCAGCAGGGAAATCGAGGAGGTCTGTACCCTGCATAGATGGCAGATTACAGGATGGATAGGAGAAAGTGTTTAACATTCCACCCCACATCATCGCGCAATCTGAGGCAGCACCACAAAATCTGATGCCAGTAGCCCTGGAGTAATATCAGGACACCAGGAAATTTGAGTTGATTGAGACACTATGGCTCCAGAGTTCTGCTAACAACCACCTGAAACAAACTTAGTAGGAGAAGACCAGCCTTCCAAAAAATTATTATTTTAATGGAATATAAAGAATGAACTAGGAATAGAATAGTAAGTATGTGTGAAGGCCACATACTATGAGTAGATATTAATAAAATATGTGTGCATATATATAGTATAAAGTCTAGAAATACAAACGAATATGTAGCTAAAGATATATACATGTAAGTAAATATAAGATATAAAGATATATATGCGTGTATGTATACATATAAGCATAGATGTATATAATGTCTAAAACAGGTATGTATATAAACGTAGATATAAACAAAATGTACAATACCATATATAATGTACACATACAGTGTAAAATTTATTACCATGTGAATGAGAATTAAAATATGAAAATCGCTAATCTGGACTCTGCTGTGTTCGATACCTTCAAAACACATGGCTTCTCCAAATCTCTTGCTGCTGCTCAGCCTCTTCCGTGTAAAAATAAATCTTTTAGGACAAAAGGTTTGCAAAGTCTAGCTCTGGCTGGGGAGGAGCCCCCATGGGATGGTGTGCATCTTCTCTCACAGGTCCTACAATCACAGGTGCTGCAGCCCCCCAGGGAGCATCTAGCCTGGGACCCGCAGCCATTCTCTGCAACGCGTGCAGCTGGGCAAATGCTCAAAGGTGACATAAACAGATCATCTCCCACACATCACTTCATCAAAGAGCCAGGAGCCAGGAGGAGAACCCTCCTGAGAGGGGACTGAAGGTCCAACCTCCCCACATAGAGGGGCCACAGAATCCAGCTCAGCCCTTCCTGTCAGCCCTGGAAGACCCTGGCAATGTTGTCACCCCGACCACACCCCTCCCCTCACTGCCACCTCATGTGACTGGGAGTCAGAGACTTGGTCCGAGAGGAGCAGACCCAATGGGCAGAGAATGGGGATCGAGACCCAGGCATCAAGGTCAGGACCCCCTGAGGGATGACTGAGGGCCCCTATCCCCATCCCCACCCCTACTCCGCCAGAACCCGGTTCAGCCCCTACTGGCAACCCAGGGAAGCTCCAGGCTTGGGGGCCGGATGTGACGTCACTGACGTGCGCACTGGGGGTCAGAGAGAAGGGAGAGGCCTCCTTCTGAGGGGCGGCTTGATACCGGTGGAGGTAAGCTGGCCGAGGCTCTGTGAGGAGTCAAGGTGAGGTGCTGAGGGAAGACTGAGGATGTCCCCACCCCAGATAGAGGACCCGAAAGAACCAAGTGCCGTCTCTGCTCCCAGCCCTGGACCACCCGGGGGCCGATCTGGGGCTGACTTGTGAGGCTGGGCCGACCCCCTCCCTCCGCCGCTCAAGCTGCTGGGCACTCTGGAGTGAGAGCTTGGTGTGACCAGGGCAGGGCTGGTTAGGAGAGGGCAGGGCCCAGGCTCTGCCGGGCATCAAGGCCAGGACCCTGAGGGAGGCTGGGCCCCCCCAACCCAACCATGACCTACAGCCCCAGGTTCCCCAGCCCCATCCTCAGCTCCACTCTACACCCCACCCCACCCCACCCCACCCCACCCCAAACTCCACCCCACCCCCCCAACTCTCCCGCGGCAGAATCTGGTTCCGCCCCTGTTGTCAACCCAGGGAAGCCCCAGGTGCCCGGATGTACGGCCAGTGACTCCCACACTGGGGGTCAGAGAGTAGCGGGGGCCTCGCTGTGAGGGGCGGGTCGATATCGGTGGAGGGAAGCGGGCCCAGGCTCTGTGAGGAGGCAAGGTGAGACCCTGAGGGAGGACTCAAGACCCCCCGCCCCAGATAGAGGACCCCAAATAATACAGCGCCGCCCCTGTGCCAGCCCTGGACCACCCCGCGGGGTCGGGCGTATCAGGCTGGGCCCAGGCTCTGACTGGCATCAAGGTCAGAACCCTGAGGGAGGGCTGAACGCCTCCACACCCCTAACCCAGCCACCACCACCATGACCTACAGCCTCAGGTTCCCCACCTCCATCCTCACCCCCCCCCCCACTCCACCCCACCCCCAAGTCTCCCGTGGCAGAATCCGGTTCGGCTCCTGCTGTCAACCCAGGGAAGCTCCGGGTGCCCGGATGTAAGGCCTCTGACTTGCGCACTGGGGGTCAGAGAGTAGCAAGGGCTTGGTTCTGAGTGGTGGCTGAAGATCGGCAGAGGGAAGCGGGCCCAGGCTCTGTGAGGAGGCAAGATGAGACGCTGAGGGAGGACTGAGGACGCCCCCACTCCAGATAGAGGGCCCCAAATAATCCAGCAGCACCCCTGCTGCCAGCCCTGAACCACCCCGGGGGCGGACTTCTCAGGCTGTGGGCCACCCTTCGCCACCCCACCACTTAAGCCCCAGGGGACTCTGGGTCAGAGCTTGGTGTGACCAGGGCAGGACTGGTTAAGAGAGGGCAGGGGCCAGGCTCTGCCAGGCATCAGGGCCAGGACCCTGAGGGAGGGCTGAGGCCCCATAGAGGGAGTCACTGCCCCTGCAGTGGACCCTGGGAAGTTCCGGGCATGGCGGTCAGGCAAGCGGATCGTGATATCTGCATCCTGGGCTGACCGAGGGAAGGGGCTTGGTATCGTTAGCGTGGCCGCGGGAGAACAGAGGGAGGGCCCAGGTCCTGCTGGGAGACAAGGGAGGCCTGAGGGGACCCAGTACCCCAGGACAAGGGGCCCACCCCGCCCCTATCTGAGACCGAGGCCCCTCCTCATTCAGCCTCGGGAATCCGACAGATGGAGACTCAGGTCCACAGAGGGGTGGGGCCCAGCCCTCTAGGAGACCAGGGAAGGAACAAGACGGAGGACAGAGGGGACCCCGGAGTCCAGCTCAGTGGGGATCTTGGCCTGGGCGATCCCGGGCACGGTGGCCGCATGTGGTGCATTGTGGCTGGTGGGATCGGGTGTCAATGGGAACAGGGCTGTGGTATGAGGAGTGGGGCCTCAGGTGAGCAGAAGGAGGAGTCCCAGAGGCCTGAGGAAGGATTCACCAGACCTCTCATCCCAGACCTAGGAAACCTGCCCCTGCCGTCAGTCTTGGAAGGCCCCAGGCAGGACGGTGAGGAAGGGAAGTGCCCCCTCCACCCCCAACACACACTTTCTCAAAGAGGGTCTAAGGGAGAAATTGGCCTTGGTCTGCAAGACTCACCTCTGGTTCAGCAAAATGGAAGGGGCCAGATTCTGTCAGAAGCAAATATGAATACCTAGAGGACACCCAGACCGACGAGGCCCCCTGGAACCTGCTCCTTTGGTCAGCCTTGGGTATCTCATGCATGAGTGACCATGAGGTGGCCCCTCACTTCTGCCTCCCGGGTCTCCGGGAGGTGGGGGCCTTGGTCCGAGGGGTTTCCTCAGCTCAGCAGAGGGAGCCACACCTGGTCAGCACAGGGTGGAATCCAGGGTCTTCCAGGAGTGACGGGGAGGAAGTTTGGTGAGGACTGAAGGTAAGAAGGTACCTCCACGCTCTCAAAAAAGAAAGGACCTCACAGACACTGGTGTCACCTGTTCTCAGCCCCAGGTGGCCCCAGGCAGGAATGGCATGAGGCATGCTCTCATTTCTCCCACGTGACTGGGGGTGAGAGGTCTCAGGGAGGTGAGTACCTTGATCCCAGGGGGCACTGAGAGATCCAACAGAGGGCTCCACACCTGGTCAGTAGAAGGAGGACTCCCAGGATCAGCAGGACCCAAGGTGTGCCCCCTTCATGAGGAATGGAGGTACCCCCAACGCAGAAAGAAGCCACCCCACAGAGTCTAGGTGAACTCTGTTCTTAGATCTGGGGGCGGGGGGGGGCCTGATCAAGGATGGTGCTAAGTGGCAAGCTCATTTGTACCACGGCAGGAAGTTGAGGAACCCTCAGGGGGATGAGGCGTTGGTGTAAAGGGAGATGTCTGCTCATCTCAAGGGTTTGAGGGTCGAGGAAGTAGAAGCCCCAGCAGGAGTAAAGATGAATAACCCGCAGGAGGACTTTGGAACACCCACCTCATACCTGAAGGGTTCAGCTGGTGGGGTCAGCCCCGGACACCCCACGCAGGGGTGACATATGTGGGGCCTCCTCACCTCTGTTTCTGGATCTCAGGGAGGTGAGGACTTTGTTCTCAGAGGGTGTGTGTGGACAAAACAGGGAGGCCCTGTGTTCGACAGACACAGTGGTCCCAGGATTGGAGAGCAGTCCAGGTGAGGAACCTAAGGGAGGATCGAGGGTACCTCCAGGCCAGAGAAACTCTCAGATCAAGAGAGTTTGCCCTGCCCCTACTGTCACCCCAGAGAGCCCGGGCAGGGCTGTCTGCTGAGGTCCCTCCTTTATCCTGGGATCACTGGTGTCGGGGAGGGCTGGCCTTGGTCTGAGGGGGCTGCACTCACGTCAGCAGAGGGAGGGTCCCAGGCCCTGCCAGGAGTCCAGGTGCAGACTGAGGGGACCCCACTCACCAAACACAGAGGACCTAGCCCCACCCTGCCCCTTGTGTCAGCTGAGGGAAGCCGCTGGGTGGATGGACTCCCCTCACTTCCTCTTCAGGTGTCTCCTGGAGATAGGGCCTCAGGTCAACAGAGGGAGGGTTCCAGACCCTGCAGGCATCAAGATGAGGACCAGGCAGTATCCTCACCCCAGGACACATGGACCCCATTGAATTTAGACATCTCTTACTGTACTTCCGAGGAAACCCTGGGCAGGTGTGGGCAGATGTTGGTTGGGGCATGTCCTTCTGTTCCATATCAGGGATGTGAGCTCCTGATCTGAGAGACTCTCAGGCAAGTAGAGGAGTAGAGTCCAGTCCCTGCCAGGAGAAAGGTCAGGGCCCTGAGTGAGCGCAGAGGGGACCATCCACCCCAAAAGTGTGTAGAACTCAAGAGTGTCCAGCCCGCCATCTTGACAGCACTGAGGGACCGGGGCTCTGCCTGCAGTCTGCAGCCTAAGGGCCCCTCGATTCCTCTTCCAGGAGCTCCAGGAAGCAGGCAGGCCTTGGTCTGAGACAGTGTCCTCAGGTCGCAGAGCAGAGGAGACCCAGGCAGTGTCAGCAGTGAAGGTGAAGTGTTCACCCTGAATGTGCACCAAGGGCCCCACCTGCCCCAGCACACATGGGACCCCATAGCACCTGGCCCCATTCCCCCTACTGTCACTCATAGAGCCTTGATCTCTGCAGGCTAGCTGCACGCTGAGTAGCCCTCTCACTTCCTCCCTCAGGTTCTCGGGACAGGCTAACCAGGAGGACAGGAGCCCCAAGAGGCCCCAGAGCAGCACTGACGAAGACCTGTAAGTCAGCCTTTGTTAGAACCTCCAAGGTTCGGTTCTCAGCTGAAGTCTCTCACACACTCCCTCTCTCCCCAGGCCTGTGGGTCTCCATCGCCCAGCTCCTGCCCACGCTCCTGACTGCTGCCCTGACCAGAGTCATCATGTCTCTCGAGCAGAGGAGTCCGCACTGCAAGCCTGATGAAGACCTTGAAGCCCAAGGAGAGGACTTGGGCCTGATGGGTGCACAGGAACCCACAGGCGAGGAGGAGGAGACTACCTCCTCCTCTGACAGCAAGGAGGAGGAGGTGTCTGCTGCTGGGTCATCAAGTCCTCCCCAGAGTCCTCAGGGAGGCGCTTCCTCCTCCATTTCCGTCTACTACACTTTATGGAGCCAATTCGATGAGGGCTCCAGCAGTCAAGAAGAGGAAGAGCCAAGCTCCTCGGTCGACCCAGCTCAGCTGGAGTTCATGTTCCAAGAAGCACTGAAATTGAAGGTGGCTGAGTTGGTTCATTTCCTGCTCCACAAATATCGAGTCAAGGAGCCGGTCACAAAGGCAGAAATGCTGGAGAGCGTCATCAAAAATTACAAGCGCTACTTTCCTGTGATCTTCGGCAAAGCCTCCGAGTTCATGCAGGTGATCTTTGGCACTGATGTGAAGGAGGTGGACCCCGCCGGCCACTCCTACATCCTTGTCACTGCTCTTGGCCTCTCGTGCGATAGCATGCTGGGTGATGGTCATAGCATGCCCAAGGCCGCCCTCCTGATCATTGTCCTGGGTGTGATCCTAACCAAAGACAACTGCGCCCCTGAAGAGGTTATCTGGGAAGCGTTGAGTGTGATGGGGGTGTATGTTGGGAAGGAGCACATGTTCTACGGGGAGCCCAGGAAGCTGCTCACCCAAGATTGGGTGCAGGAAAACTACCTGGAGTACCGGCAGGTGCCCGGCAGTGATCCTGCGCACTACGAGTTCCTGTGGGGTTCCAAGGCCCACGCTGAAACCAGCTATGAGAAGGTCATAAATTATTTGGTCATGCTCAATGCAAGAGAGCCCATCTGCTACCCATCCCTTTATGAAGAGGTTTTGGGAGAGGAGCAAGAGGGAGTCTGAGCACCAGCCGCAGCCGGGGCCAAAGTTTGTGGGGTCAGGGCCCCATCCAGCAGCTGCCCTGCCCCATGTGACATGAGGCCCATTCTTCGCTCTGTGTTTGAAGAGAGCAATCAGTGTTCTCAGTGGCAGTGGGTGGAAGTGAGCACACTGTATGTCATCTCTGGGTTCCTTGTCTATTGGGTGATTTGGAGATTTATCCTTGCTCCCTTTTGGAATTGTTCAAATGTTCTTTTAATGGTCAGTTTAATGAACTTCACCATCGAAGTTAATGAATGACAGTAGTCACACATATTGCTGTTTATGTTATTTAGGAGTAAGATTCTTGCTTTTGAGTCACATGGGGAAATCCCTGTTATTTTGTGAATTGGGACAAGATAACATAGCAGAGGAATTAATAATTTTTTTGAAACTTGAACTTAGCAGCAAAATAGAGCTCATAAAGAAATAGTGAAATGAAAATGTAGTTAATTCTTGCCTTATACCTCTTTCTCTCTCCTGTAAAATTAAAACATATACATGTATACCTGGATTTGCTTGGCTTCTTTGAGCATGTAAGAGAAATAAAAATTGAAAGAATAATTTTTCCTGTTCACTGGCTCATTTTTTCTTCAGACACGCACTGAACATCTGTTATTCGGAACACCCTGGGTTAGTAGTAGAGATGCTCGGTAAGCCAGACCCACCCCTTTGCCATAGGGTGGTGAAGTCTAGGGGCTACAATCCTAAAATTAAGGTGGTGCCATGTCCTCTAAGAAGTAGAGGAAAATAAAACATGGGTGAGGGTTTGGGGCTCTAGATGACAGCAGTCGAGTGTATATGCCCTGAGCCAGGGCCCTTTGGGCTTTGGGAAACTGCAGTTCCTTCTGGGGGAGGTAATTCTATTGAAGCTGGGTGGTGCCAGAGCCAGATTCTCAGAGGATGAGAGAAAGGCCTGGAATGGACGACTGCTCAGCAGTTCCTTTTGGATAGTGGATGAACAGAGAAGAGTCTCCACCTGGGGCAGGAATAGAAGGAAATCGTCCCGCGCTCTTGTCTCGGTGCGCTTGAACACAGTGCAGGGGCTAGGTGATGGATACCTATCATCTGCAAGGGTTTCCTGCAAGATGAGGGTGAATCTCCCAGAAGGGAAGCCCAGAAGTCATTGGCCAGGTGCTTTTCTGCCTGTCTGGGAGAGCCAGAGTTGATCGTATTTAAAAGGCATTCTAATCAAGTTATCTCAGGTGGGATTTGACCAATTGTGAGCAAAGGCTAGATTTCGAGTGTTAACAAAATAAGTGAAAACAGAGTCTCGGATCCAAAAGCAGGTGGGAGAGAGGAAAGGAGTTGATCCTCGATTCAAATTCTAGGAGCTTTGAGCTGCATTCAGCTGCGCAAGACTCCAGCACACCCAAATTTTGAAGCACGTTCGCTAAGAGGAAATACTTAATTTTATTGACGAAACTTCCTGTTGGGGCTGATTATCCCATGTCCTACTGAGCTGTATATTCTCTGGTAAGTCTTGGAGAACAACAACATTTACGAAATCCCAGAGTGCTAGGGTCTAGGGTCAAATAGTATTAGATATGACAGCCATCCGCCATTCCTTAAACTTCTAACTTAATGCCAGGCCCTGAGCCAGATGCTTCACTTACATTGCACGCACTCTAACCGTCCTAGTGGAAGGGCCTCATCATACCTGCTTCACAGATGAAGAACCAGAGGCTCACAGAACTTGGGTATTTCCCAGGATCAGGTGGCTAGTAAGGAACAGAGCTGGAACCGGATCCCTGATCTGAATTCCTCTAGAGCCCGTGCTGTTCCCACTCCCCTGAGCCGGAGGCAGACCTCCTCACTGGCACTTCATTCCTCTTCTCAGCAATGCATCATGTCTCTCAGGCAACAAAAAGAAGGACCCTGAGGCCAAGGTACTAAATGCAGGCCTAAAGAAGGTGCCAATGAGCATCAAATACAATTTGGGGATGGCATGCCGGGGGTCCCCTGGGAACTGTCTGCTGGGTGCTGCCTGTTGAGCACCTACTATGCAACAGGTTGTAGGAGCGCCTACAAATGCTCATCCACATCTTTGATCTTCTCTTTCCTGGGCACAAGGGACGAATACATAATCAGCACTTCTGTCTGGCATCAGCACGTTCCCGTGTCACAGTGCCCTTCCCCGGTCACTATCATGTTTCCTCCCTTCTGACTCTGCGACCTGACCTGCTGCTTGCTCTTCACTGTTGCCTCCCCCTGGAGGCTGGGCAGACCCCCCTGCCCTTCCTGCAACATGGAGCATTCCTAGCCCTTGAAGTAGTCCCCTGGTTCTCGCACGGCTCGCCCTTAGTCCAGTCCCACAGCCGCAACCATTCTGGACGGTGACTTTAGACACTTGGTCCTCCCTCCCTGGGAGAATTCTACTCTGTGTATTCCCAGTGGGCTGTGAGAAGAGTCCAATTTGACCCATAAGCTCCTGGTTGGGTTGCAGCCCCCAGGATTGAGAGAGTATTTTCGCAGTCAGTTGCATATTTGTAGTAGGATTTTATTGAGTTTGTTATCTGAAGCTGGGGACAGAACACGCAAACAGACGGATGGTGCTCAGAAATTCCCCTCCTAAGAGGTAGAAGAGGAGCAGCCATTTCATGAAGCTGAATTCTTACAAACCCTGGGCTCCTCCCAGGAGGGGAAAAATGGTTCCATGGCGAACATGCCAGCTGGAGTTTCAAAAGAATATTTAACCAGCCTTTCACTGCTTCCTGTCTGGCATCTGTCCCCAGGAACATGCCGGCTTTCAGCGTGACTAGTGGCACCTATACAGGTGTTCAGGTAAGAACAGTCATATGGAGGGTAGCAGAGATGATGGGTAAGATTCTGCCCCTGCATCAGATGGAAGGAGGAAATCCTCAGCTTCCTGAGCTGATAGATGGTGTGGCAAAGGGAAGTGCAGAAAATGCTATGGAGTGTACAAGGTGAACTCTCCATGCTGACCTTACAGGATCCTCTTCAAATCAGATGGGTTAATGCAGTGATCCCCACCCTTCCTGGCACCAGGGACCGGTTTCTGGAAGACAATTTTTCCATGAGCACGGGGTGGGGGTGGGGCATTGTTTCAAGATGATTCAAGCACATTACATTTATTGCGCACTTTATTTCTATTATTATTGCATACTCACCGTCGTGCAGAATCAGTGGGAGCCCTGAGCTTGTTTTCCTGCAAATAGATGGTCCCATCTGGGGGTGATGGGAGACAGTAACAGATCATCAAGCGTTAGATTCTCATCAGGAACACAAAACCTAGACCCCTCACGTGTGCAGTTCACAATAGGGTTCCCGCTCCTATGAGAATCTAATGTCGCCACTGACGTGACAGGAGGTGGAGTTCAGCTTCACCTGCTTGCCCAACCACTCACTTCCTGCTGTGCAGCCCAGTTCCTATCCATGGCCGGGGGTGTTGGGGACCCCTGGGTTAATACGTTTGAAAGCATCTGTAACATAGCAGACACGTCGAGCATTTCAAGGCAAATCTGGTCTTCTCAGAAACTTCTCTAAGAAACATTGTTGTTGTCACAACAGTTAATAGTTTCTGTAAAGTGTCCTCTACTTCTAGCTGTGTTCAACGCTGTTGCTTCTCCAAAACCACGTTTTCTGGGGTTTGGCTTTGTTTTGTGAGACAGAGACTCACTCTGTTGCCCAAGCTGGAGTGCAGTGGCAAGATCACAGCTCACTGCAATCCCTGCCTCCCAGGCTCAAGCCATTTTCGTACCTCAGTCTCCCGAATAGCTGGTATTAGAGGCATGCACCGCACGCCTGGCTAATTTTTGTATTTTTAGTAGAGACAGGGTTTCACCATCTTGGCCAGGCTGGTCTTGAACTCCTGGCCTCAACGGATCTGCCTGCTTCTGCCTCAAGAAGTACTGGGATTACAGGCTTGAACCACTGCACCTGGCCCAAACCCATGTGTTTTAAATTTCTTAGATTGACTTCGGGCCTTTCGGCTTGTCTGATCTACTTAAAGATCTAACTTTTGATTCCATCAGTATTATTTATTGTTTTTCTAAAACTTCTGAAATCTCAATTTCATTAATTTTTCTCTTCTTGTCTATATTATCCCCATCGTTTTGCTCACCTTAGGTTTAATTTCCTTTTCCTTTTCTAGCTATTTGAGATCAAAATATACATATTTGAGTCTTTTATTACTTTCTAATATAAACATTTCAGTACATAAAATGTCCCCTAGGCACATTTTAGCTAAATTGCAGATATTTTAAAACATCACATTTCCATTTTTATTTATTTGAAAATATTTTCTAACCTTCCTCAAGAATTTTTTTAAACATGGATTAGTAAAAATGTGTTGTTTATTTTAAAAATACTTAAGGACTTTACAGATATTTCCTTTGTTATATTTTGAATTACATTCCATTATAGATTTTAAAAAGATACTTTGTACAATTCCAATTATTTTAAATTTTTTATGGGTTGTTTTCTGGTCTCTTTTGGTAAAAATTCCACACACACTTGAAAATACCATATAATCTACCGTCGTTCTGAGGAGTGCTCACTAAAATCTAATCAGCTCACATTTGTTCTTTGTTGTTCAGCTCCTCCTACACCCTTGCAGAATTTCTGTCTACTTCAATCATTTACTTGGAGAGGACTGTTGCCATCTCCAAATATCATTGTAGATTTGGCGATTTATCCTTGCAGTTCTATCAGATGTAGTTTCTTGCATTTTGAAGCTCTGCTTTTAGGTGAATTAATAGTTAAGATTATTACGTCTTCTCCCCAAAAGAAACCCCCTCCATGTGCAATTCATTTATAGCTGTACCCACCACTGCGCGCCGAACCCTGACAGCCACTCATCTGTACTCCATCGTTTCAGTTTTCTCTTTCAAGAATGCCAGGTAAACAGAATAATAGAATATGTAACTGGTTGAGACTGGCTCCTTTCACACAGCAAAACACCTTCGAGTTTGAAACACATTGTTGTGTGTATCAGTAGTTCATTCTTTTTCATTGCTGAGAAGTATTTCATAGTAAGTAAGGATGCCCCAAAATTTCATTTCCCATTTACCCATGGAAATACATTTGTATAATTTCCAGGTTTTGGCAAATATGACTGGAGCTGCTATAAACATTCACGTACATAGGCTTTTGTGTGAACATAAATTTTTCTTTTTCCCTTAGATGAAATCGCTGAGTCACATGGCATGTGTTCATAAGTAATTACCAAATCATTTTCTGCAGTTGTCCCGTTTCATAACTGCCACTAGCAATGTATGAAATTTCAAGTTGTTCTTCATCCTTGTTAGCACTTACAAGTATCTCGTTAAAAATTTCAGTCATTTTCAAATATGTGTTATGGCATCTGATCATGGTTTAATTTGCATTTCTCTAATAGCTGTGATGTAGAATAGTTTTTCATGGGCTTATTTGTCATGCGTATGTCCTTTTGGGTGAAATGTCTATTGATATGTTTTGCCCTTCTAAAAAATGTGGTTGTTTGTGTTAAATGAACTCATGGGAGGCCATTGTTTTGCCCTAATCTCTGGCCCCAGACCCCAGCAGAACAGACAAAATCAGAATAGTGTCCCTTGTACTAATTGCCATTCATCAAAGTGAACATTGAAACGGGCCAGTTCTCAAAAAACTAAAAACAGAATAGTCACAGCAACCAATAACGAGGAGCCCACCGTACCTGAGCAGGCACGATAAGAAAGTTTTCTCTGCTTTAATCCTACAAGGAAATCAACTTTGAAATCACCAAACCACCTTTTGTTCCCTGTTTCTACTTTTTTCGTCCTCTTCTGCCTATAAGCCAACGTCTTTTGCTCAGCACATAGGGACACGCATTCAAGTTGACGGAGAGAAAAAATGCCCATTCAAGAATCATAAAGAAAAGCCAGTTAGATCTTTGAACAAAATTTGGTGAAACTTTGTGTTTTGACATGTGTTCTAAGTTTTGAGATTTTGGGAATCTTTATACAATTTTCATAAAAGGCCTTTGGTGTATATATGATTTGCAAATACTTGTGAATACTTCGTTTGGCTTTTTAGTGTCTCTTCAGTGTCTTTCTCAGAGCAAAAGTTTTAACTCTGAGGAAGTCTAATTTATTGTTTCTTTTCTTTATGAATCACACTGCTGGTGTCATGTTTAAGACCTCTTTGCCTCACATCAGGCTACTAATATTTCACCCTGTGTTTTCTTTAAGTTTTTTCTTGCTGTTGTTGTTTGTTTGTTTGTTTGTTTGTTTGTTTTTTGAGACGGAGTCTCACTCTATTGCCCAGGCTGGAGTGCAATGGCAGGATCTCGGCTCACTGCAACCTCCGCCTCCCGGGTTCAAGCGATTCTCCTGCTTCAGCCTCCCGAGTAGCTGGGATTGCAGGTGCGCACCACCACGCCCAGCTAATTTTTATATTTTTACTAGAGATGGGGTTTCACCATGTTGGCCAGGCTGGTCTTGAACTCCTGACCTCGTGATCTGCCCACCTCGGCCTCCCAAAGTGCTGGGATTACAGGCGTGAGCCACTGCACCCGGCCTTCTTTAAAAGTTTTATAGTATTTCATGTAACATTTGGATCTGTAATCCACTTTGAGTTAATTTTTGTATAACATGTGAGGTTTTGGTCAAGTCTTTTTTATAACACATGGATGTTCAGTTGTTCCAATACCACTAATTGAAAAGACTAATATTTTTCCAATAAATTGTCTTTACCCCTTTCTAAAACCTCCATTGCTATATTCGCGTGGATCTATTTATGGATTCTCTGTTTTAATCCATTAATCTATACGTGTATCCCTTAGAAAATTCCATAATGACTTGATTGTTTTAGGCTTATGCTAAATCTTAAAATTGAGTGGTACGATTTGTGCAATTACTCTGTGTTTTGAAAATTGTTTTAATTATTTCAAAACCTTTACCTTTCCGTATGCTTTTTGAATCAGCTTGTGTACAAGTACAAAAAAGCTTGCTGGTATTTTACTGGAGTTACATTGGATCTATGGATCGCTTTGTTACAGATCACATATCTTCACTGAGTCTTCCAGTGAATGTACATGCTATGTCTATTTAGTTGGGCCTTCTTTGAATTTTTCATCAGCATTTTGTAGTTTTCACCATCCTGATATGTACATGTTTTGTTAGATATATACCAAAGCATTTCATTTTTAATTTTATTAAAATGGCTATTTTGTTTTTGTTTTTGTTTTTTGGGTTTTTTTTTGGTAAAAAAAATCAAGAATGTATAGTACAGAATCTACAGTGTAGCTGGAGTCAACAAAGCCTTTGAGGATAATATGCTGTATCAGCTGGGCCTCAAATGATTATTTGGAAAGGAGGAAAGGGCACACAAGAAGTGATACTAAAAGAGCAAAGTGATTGAGATGGGATTTTTTTTCCAGGGAATCTCTTTTAATTTTAAATTACTATTATTACATTTTAAGTTCTGGGGTATATGTGCAGAACCTGCAGGTTTGTTACATAGTACAGAACGTGCAGGTTTGTTACATAGGTATCCACGTGCCATGCGGCACTATTCACAATAGCAAAGACTTGGTACCAACCCAAATGTCCAACAATGATAGACTGGATAAAGAAAATGTGGCACATATACACCATGGAATACTATGCAGCCATAAAAAAGGATGAGTTCACGTCCTTTGTAGGGACATGGATGAAGCTGGAAACCATCATTCTCAGCAAACTAACACAAGAACAGAAATCCGAACACCGCATGTTCTCACTCATAAGTGGGAGTTAAACCATGAGAACACATGGACACAGGGAGGGGAGCATCATACACTGGGGCCTGTCAGGGGGTGGGGGGCTAGAGGAGGGATAGCATTAGGAGAAATACCTAATGTAGATGACAGGTTGATGGGTGCAGCAAACCACCATGCCACATGTATACCTATGTAAAACTGCTATGTTTAAAAAAGTTTTCCAATTTTCTTAAATTCTTATGTTCACTCGGGTATGTAAGGAGCTAGATGGCTCTCTGCCTCTGACGCAAACAAGATAAGAAGCTGAACAAATTGGAAAACAACAACTTTTCTCTGATCCCTCAGAGAGCTGAGGCCATAGGGCTGATTGCTGACCCAAAACGGAAGAGACAGTAGATACAGTCAGCCACAACTTTGGAGAGCAGAAGCTCAGGAGCTGAATGCCCAGAAACAAGGACCAGGATACGAAAACCTCATCTTTATAAGACGAATGGTGGAGGGCTCACTATGGACAAATTTGAGAACTAAAAACTCCTGGGGGCACCATCCAGAAGGCTACCACAGTTTCCAGAGTTTCACCTCTGGGAGCCCTATCAGGTTCCCCCAGTGAGGACCAGAGGGAGAAAGGAGTCATTCGAAAATATGCCCAGAGTATTCTGTTCTTCAAACGAGGGTCTGCCCTCAAGAGAAACTGTTTTACCAGAGTCTGTCCTACTTGGTTTTTTTCTAGACTCTCATCAACACTGGGTAAGGAAAACACCCAGCTACAACATTCTGGCCCCTTAATGTCTGTCCAAGGAGAAAACAAAACAAAACTGAGAAGCACTAGTGAAAGCCACAGCCCGGTGTACACTGACTCAAGCCTGCCATGTAGTCATAGGAGGATAGAAGTCTTCCCCTCCCTCTGCAGCTCACTGCCACATCAACTGGGGAATGAAACTGAAAGAACTGTGAGTGCCAGACCATAGTGAGCAGGTCTCCAAGGAAAACCAAACACAGCCAAGGAGGAAAAGTGAAGGACACCACAGGGAGGTTTAGCCTCTGACACCTACAGCTACAGCAAACAGTAAACACAGCCAGATGAAGGTAAACCTCACACTAAAGGCCTATTTAACTCCATTCTTTTCATCTGACACATCGTGGCAAGTTTGCAAAAGGAAATTTCAAAGCATACTAATAGACAAAAAAAAAAAAAAAAACACACACACACAGTGTGAAGACAAAGAGCAGGTATCAGAAACAGACTCAGATATGATAGAGATGTTGGAATGATCTGACTGGGAATTTAAGACAAGTATGAGTAACACGCTGTGGGCCCTAATGGAAAAAGTGGATAATATCCAAGAATAGGTAAGTACTGTAAGTCAAAATATGGAAACTCTTCAAGAACAACTGAAAAGGGGCCTGTAATCCCAGGGCTTTGGGAAGCCAAGGTGGATGGATCACTTGACATCAGGAGTTTGAGACCAGCCTGGTCAACGTGGTGAAACCCCGTCTCTACTTAAAAAATAAATAAATAAATGAGTACAATACAAAAATTAGCCAGGTGTGGTGGCAGGCGCCTGTAATCCCAGCTTCTCGGGAGGCTGAGGCACAAGGATCGCTTGAGCCTGGGAGGCAGATGTTGCAGTGAACCAAGATTGTGCCACTGCACTCCAGCCTGGGCAACAGAGCGAGACTCCTTCTCAAAAAAAAAAAAATGAATGAATGAAAAGGAAATGCTAAAAATTAAAAAAAGAATGAATGAATAAATGAAAAGGAAATGCTAAAAATTAAAAAAATATATAGACCATAAGGGAAATGAAGAATGCCTTTGTTGGTCTCATCAGGGGACTGGACAGGGTGAAAGGTACAATCAGAGAGCCTAAGGAAATGCAACAGCAACTTCCCATTTTTATTGCCATTATATGAAGTACGATAATACGATTATCGTGTGTTGAGCTTCTACCTTGCGACCTGCCTGCACTCACTTATTTGAGGAGTTTTTGTGCAGTTTCCTTGGTATTTTCTGCATAGGCAGTTGTGTCTTCTGAGGTTGGAAACAACATTATATATTCTGTCCCATTCAAGATGTCTCTTATTTATATTTCTTGATTGATTTCACTGGTAAGAATCCCACTACCTTTCTGAATAGGAGTGGTGAGAGGGGACATCCTTTTCTTGTTTCTCTTTTTAGGGGTAGGCATTCAGTCTTTCACTACCCAGTTTGATATTTGCTCTTGGTTTTCTGTACATGTACTCTGTCAGGTTAAGTTCCTTTCTATTTCTAGTTTCCTGAGACTTTTCACTGTGATTATGTTGTACATTCTCAAGTGCTTTTGTCTGCTTTAGTTGAGGTCATCATACATTTCTGGATATAGTGGACAGCATTGATCAACTATCAAATATTAAACCAGCCTTGCATTCTCCAGATAAATCCGACTTTTAAGATATTGCTGGATTCTATTTGCTAATTTTTTGGAGATTTTGCATCTATGTTTGTGAAGCATATTGACCTCTAGAATTTTTATTGGTTTGTGTTTCCTTGTTTGTTTGTACTGTTAGCCTGGTAATACCATGGTAATGTTAACCAGGTAAAATGATTTGGGAAACATCCCCTTCTCTTCTATTTTCTCTGAGAGACTGTGCAAATTCATGTTACTTCTTTAAATGGTTGTACGAAATCTCCAGTGAACCTATCTGGGTCTACAGATTTCTTTCTCAGAAAGAGTTTTACTATGAAATCAGTTATTTTGGTAGCTAAAGTACTCTTCAAGTTATCCATTTTGTCTAAGGTGAGTTCCACTAGTTTCTGATTTTGGTAGAATTTCATTTCATTTTATCATGAATTCCATTTCAGTTATTGAATTATTCTGCACAGATTTCTTCTTAGCATTTCATGGCTATCTTCAGGTCTACAGGTTCTCTAATGATATTTCCTGTTTCACTTTTGATCTTAATAATTTGTATCTTCTCTCTTACTTTCCATGACTGACTAGAGTTCCATCCATTTTCTTGATCCTTTCAAAGAACAGCTTTTGGTTTCCATGATTTTTCTTTCTTTCCTTTTTTTTTTTTTTCGGATTTCATTGTGAACTATTTCTGTTGTGTTTTTTTCTTTTTTTCTGCTTGCTTTGAATTAATTGGTTTCCCTCTTTTTCTGGTTAGTTAAGGTAGAAGCTCACATTATTTATGTGAGATCTTTCTTTTATCTTAATCTAAGTAATGTTATAATTTTCTCTCTAAACACTGTTTTAGCTGCATCCCACAAGTTGTGATATGTTGCTTTTCCAATTAAATTCAGTTCTATGGACTTTTTAATTTCCTTGAGGCTACCTTTTTGATCCTTGAATTGTTGAAGATGGTGTCGTTTAATTCCACAAGGTATGATAATTTCCTATTGTACTTATGTTATTGTTTCATTTCTAATATGGTGCCATAGAGGTCGAAGAACATAAGCTTGATGATGTGGATTTTTAAAAATCTGTTGTTTGAAAAATGAAAGAAAGAAAGAAAGAAAGAAAGAGAGACTGGCAAGGTGGCTCACACCTGTAATCCCAGCACTTTGGGAGACCAAGGCAGAGAGATCACTTGAGGTCAAGAGTTCCAGAGCAGCCTGACCAACATGGTGAAACCCTGTCTCTACTAAAAATAAAACAATTAGCCGGCCAGGCGTGGTGGCTCACACCTGTAATCCCAGCATTTTGGGAGGCCGAGACGGGCAGATCACGAGGTCAGGAGATCAAGACCATCCTGGCCAACATGGTGAAACCCCATCTCTACTAAAAATACAAAAAAAAAAAAAAATTAGCTGGGCGTGGTGATGTGCGCCTGTAGTCCCAGCTACTTGGGAGGCTGAGGCAGGAGAATCACTTGAACCTGGGAGGCGGAGGTTGCAGTGAGCCGAGATCACGCCAGTGCACTCCAGCCTGGTGACAGAGCGAGATTCTGTCTAAAAAAAAAAAAATTAGCCAAGCATGGTGGTGTGTGTCTGTAATCCCAGCTACTCGGGTGGCTGAGGCAGGAGAATCCCTTGAACATGGGAGGCAGAGGCTGTAGTAAGCTGAGATCTCACTACTGTACTCCAGCCTGGGCAATGGAGCAAGACTCTGTCTTAGGAAAAAAAAATATATTTATTTTATGACCCAAGAGATAATCTAGCTTGGTGTGTTTTCCATGTGTGCTTGAAAAAAGGCATATTCTTATGTTGGTGGTGCTGTGATATTTGCATCCATAGCATTTCTGAGTCCTCCTGAATAATGGCTGACTACTGGGTGATGGTCTACCACTAGTTCAGTCCTCCAGTCCTCGGTAACTATGAAGATTTCTGCGTGAGCACCTTAGGTTGAGCCCAGGAATTTCTGCTCAATTTAATGTGTTCTCTTGCTTACATTCGCTACTCTCAGTGGTTTTTCCCAAGCTCACTGGGTCCCTGGGGACTTTCTCTGATCCTCTAGCTAGAAGGTAAGTCTTTTGTGTCCTCACATTGCTGTGCATTTCCCTTTCAGGGGTCACGCTAGGCGGCCAAGTGTTGAGAGGATAGACAGAGAAAGGATTTCTCTCACACTTGTTTTTCCTCCAGCTTCTTTCAAGATTTTTTTTCTCTTTGATTTTCTGCAGTTTGAATATGTACATAGATGTATACTTCTTAGTATTTATCCTGTTTCCTGTTCTATGAGCTTCCTGAATCTGCAGTTTCATGTCTGTCATTAATTCGGGGAATTCTCAGCCATTACCACTTCAAATATTTCCTTTGTTTCTTTCTCACCTTCTGAACATGGTGTTTCAGTTATGCACAGTGGTGGTGCCTTTTGTAACTGTCTCATGCTTCTTGAATTTTCTGTTACTTTTCTTCCTTTTTTCTCTCTTTGCATTTCAGGTTTGGATTTTTGATTGACGTTTCTTCAGGCTTGCTGCTTGTTACCTCAGCCATGTCCTGCCTATTGATGAATTAATCAAAGATATCCTTCATTTCTGTTACAGTGGGGGTTGTTTTATTTTTCCTAATAAATTATTTCTATCATGATAAAACACCTATCACATAAACCCTCCTAACCATGGTAAGTGCACATTTCAGGGCTCTTAAATACATCCATACTCTTATTCAACCATCACCATGGCTCATCTGAAGAACTCTTTTCCTCTGACAAAAATGAAACACTATACCCGTTCAACAATAACTCCCCATTTTTCCTCCCTCTCATCTGGTAACTAGCTTTCTATTTCCTGTCTCTATGAATTTGACAACTCTATGTACCGTGTGTAAATGATATCCTACAGTATTTGTCTTTTCATGCCTGACTTACTTCACTTAGCATAATGTCCTCAGGTTCAGTCACGCTGTACCTTATGCCAGAATTTCCTTCCTTTTGAATGCTGAATAATTTCCCATTGTATGTATATTGCATTTTCCTAATCCAATTATGTGTCAAGGGACACTTAGGCTGGTTTCACAGTTTAGCTATGGTGAACATTGCTGCTATATATATGGGTCTACAAATATCTCTTTGAGACTCTGCTTTTAATTATTCTGGGTATACATTCGGAAGGGGAATTGCTAGATAATATGGTAACCCTATTTGGAATTTTGTGAGGAATCACATACTGTTACCCACGGCAATTTTGTAACATTTTATATTCCAACCTACACAGAGATTCCACTAACACCACATCGTTGCCAACTTGTTATTTCCTGGTTGGTCGTTGCTTTATTTGTTTTAACAGTAGCCATCCTAGTGAGTGGGAGGAGGTGCCTCATCGTGCCTTTGATTCCTATTTCCCTAATGATTAGTGATGTTGAGTATCTTTTCTCATGCGCATCAGTCACTTGTGTATATTTTTAGGAGAAATGTCTATTCAAATATTTTCCCCATTTTTGATTTTGCTGTCGTTGTTGTTTTTGTCATGTTTCAGGAGTTCTTTATATATCCTGGATATATATCCCTTAACAGATATGTGATTTACAAATATTTTCTCCCAGTCTTTTGGTTGCATTTTGACTCTGTTCATTGTGTTTTTGATGCACAAAAGTTCTTAATTTTCATGAAGTCTAATTTGCCTGTGTTCTTTTATTGCCTAGAGTGTTTTAGATTTTTAGTGTTTTCTTGTGATTCTTCTTAAAGAGTTTCCATCTCCCTGCTATTATTACCCACCTGTTCTTGCATGTTGTTCACTTTTTCCATTAGAGCCCTTAGCTTATTCATCATAGTTGTATTAATTCTCAAGCTGGTAATTCTAACATCTCTGCTAAACCTGCATATGTACCTGATATTTACTCTTCAACCTGTGATTTTTTTTTCCCCCTTCACTATGCCTTGTAACATTTTTGGTGAAAGCCAGTAGTAATGTCCTGAGTAAATGGAATGGAAGAGAATGGGCCTTTCAGCTGAGAGTTTATTTTTATCTGACTATGCGGTAGACTGTGTTTACTGTTTGCTGGAGCTATAGGTGTCAGAGGTTAAACTTTACTCAGGTGTCCTTGTTTTGTTCTTCCCTCCTGTCTTGGATTTCCCTAGAGACTTTTTCTTCTTCTATTTGGTTTGTTTCTTTTAGACACAGTGTCGCTCTATGTTGCCTCGGCTGGTCTCAAACTCCTGGCCTCAAGTCACCCTCCCGCCTTGTCAACCGAAAATGCTGTGATTACAGGTGGGAGCCATTGTGCCTGGCATGGGACTCTTCTTAAATGAAGTTTGCGATGTGCACTTGTTTCAGTGCTGCTCCCCTGCTATTACACAGGAGCCTACTGACATCGTGGTAAGGCGTGGGGGAGGGAAAGTGTTCTGCACACCTATGAGCAGGGCTCAGTCTTTTTATTGGCCTCTGCCACTGTGCTATGACCTGCACGAGTGCTTTTCATTTCTTACCCCCAAACTCTCCCCCTACTTTTTGGTTGAAATTTCTTGTCAGAGAGCAGGAATCACCTATTCGAGGGTTTTAGGTGCCTGCCTGCCCAGCTGTGGTTGATGCTGCAACCGCAGGTTATAGATGCAGGACTGGGGCTGGTGTGGAGGCAGGTCCAGCAGGATCGAAAGATTTTTTTCCCTCATTACCCATGTCCTCTATGGG
This sequence comes from Homo sapiens, assembly GCF_000001405.40. Taxonomy (NCBI): domain Eukaryota; kingdom Metazoa; phylum Chordata; class Mammalia; order Primates; family Hominidae; genus Homo; species Homo sapiens. The sequence continues at coordinate 149,801,899 of NC_000023.11, forward strand.
CCTGCCTTCTTAGCTTTTGGACCATAAAGAGAGACCTTCATACATACAGCTTTTCCTATCCTTGTGCAATTCTCAAATGTAGGCTGCCTTTGAGTCCATGCTTGGAGATACAAGAGGGAGAAATAGCACAGGAATTTCTCCACCATATTGACCTTACTTCAACTTCTGGTTTCTTTGCCCAGTGCTCCTTTTCTGAACCACGCACCCTTTTAGACAAGGCGTCTTTACAGGAAATTATCAGTAGGACCTGACACAGCAGGGCGAAACCGAGCTGCATATAGATGTCACATACGCCGTTAGGGGTCCTGGACTGAACCAGTTAACACGAACCCCATTAACCACAGAGGTGCATCTTAGACAGCCACGTGGCTTCCCTCTTAAATTTCAGTATTAACTTTTTCTTTATACTTGGCCAATTGAATCAATTGGGGCATCAATTCAGGCAGGACACAGCTCTGGACCGTTGTGACCTGACCTGAAAGCCATCCTGGACTGAGGCCATGTCACAAAGGCAGGGCACACATGGGACTTACAACCCCGAGGGCACATGTGGTCCCCCTGCAAAGACACACGGTACCATAATTTGGGCACCCCAAGGTGGCCGAACTGAGTCAGGAAGCACAGAATATCAAGGCCTCACTGTGATATATCACCATGGCACCTCCTGCCAGCTACAAGGGTATCCAGTACAGGACACATAATCCAGTTCAGTCCCTGGTTTCACTTGCAGACAATTTGGCTTCTCCATGACTGGTAGGGAGGGCATCTGAAGGTACTCCGTGGGGAAAACAGTGGAGCCGGGGTCTCTCCCTCTGTCCCCTAGTCAGCGAGGTCAGATGTTGTCATGGGTGCAGCCATCAGTTTGGGGTCACGGAAATTGCAGCTGCTTGCAAAGGCAGTATGGGGAGTTTTCTTTCAGCAAGAGAAGAAAGCTTCCAGGAACAGTTCTGCAACACCAGGATCACAATGCCCTCCTCACACCTCCCCAGATGTTGTGTTTTTCCTCCGTCCTTACTAAATCAGCATGGCCCACTCAATAATAAAAGCTTTACATTGTTTCAATCATCCCCTTATGCCTGAGGCCTTCTCACCTGGCAGGGCTGTGTGTCATGGGGACAAAACCATTTTCACAGTAAAACACTGTCATAAAACAAGATGTGAACAGAAAGACCCGTCATGTTTAGGAAGCAGCCAGGAAAAAATCCTATGTTTCCAAAAGATTCCAAAATGAGTTTGCATACCCCTTTTCATCCTGCTCATTTATGCAGTAAACAGTATAGAACAATAATGATAAAAAGAAAACAAAATCCATCCCTTCCTGGGCTCAGCTGCATTTGATAATCCTACTGCCTGGCGTGTGGACCAGGAGGAAGGAGAGGAAGCAGAGTTAGGCTGTCTGTCCACTATCAAAAACTGCAACTGAAGTGGGTCCTGGGACACAAATGACTGGCAGTGGACACGCTAGAGAGAAGATCTGAGACTGATCTGTCACGCGTGGGTGGAGAAATCACAGTCGATGGGGGGTGCCATCCCACAACATGCAGCTTTCAGCAGACATCGCACAAGTTAGAAGTGCAACCTGTCTGCATCAGAAATACAGTGCCCATGAGCAGCTTCACTCCAGTTGGCCCCACCGGAGAACAAGCCCTTCATCATGGGCATCTGCAAGAGATGTGGGAGGTCTGTGCTGCATCTGTGCTGTGTGGTGATGGTTTCGAACCCCACTAACAGGTGTTTAAAACCTGCCAGGGTTCCAGAGTCAAAGATGCCTTTGTTGCATTGAGCTATGCCTGCTTTCTGCTTGGCACAGCTTGTGGTGAGTCCGAAACAGCTCAGAGCAGATACTTTGGTTTTAGTTTAGAGTCAAGGCCAGCTTATTGAGATTTGTGACTTTGCAATTCCAAAACAGTCGGGGGTGGAAGGAAGGGGTTCTGTAGCAGCAGGATAGCCAGCACGCTGCAAGGCCGGAAAACAGTGAGGCAGGGAGACGCCTGCCTGGCATGCTTTCCTATGGCCTTTAGGCCTTGCCAGTCTTACAGTCCAAACATGCACCTCAAATCACGCACCTTAGCTCCGACAGTCATCAGCTTATACGTGGCTGACATCCCAGTTCAGAAGAGCTCATTTCACACTGTTTGGGACTGGGGGTTGATCAAGGAAAATGAGAGGATCACCAGAGGCTGTACCATACAAGCAGCTTTATTGGGTGGTGCTTGGACAGGGAATGCAGGGAGGGGACAGACTGTCCAGAGTCTATGTTTCCAGGGTCACCATCAGAACGGAAGGAAGGCAGGAGAACTGATGGTGCAGATGGGAATTGGAGAAGGACCTTATGAGTATAGGTGATGTTGCTCAGCAGCTGGGCCAAGTGGCTTGGGAGTCTCGTAACCATAAGGTTCTATCTTATCTACGGTTAGCAGATGTTAGGTGAGGACTAGCAGGGTATGCAAGCGAGGAAGGCTCTGAATGCCTAAAAACGTACTTAGCTGTGCCACGTTTCAAACCATCAACTGTGTGAAACATTCAGTTTTGTGCTGATGGGCTTCTGAGCCAACAGGTCTCAGTCTTGTGAAGAAAAACAGTAGAGAAACATCAGCAGTGCTGCACGACAGCTGAGATGCTACTGCAAGGCCCTTTGCCAGCCACATCCCACGTCTAAACAATAAGCAAGGCCTTCCTCCAGCCTAGGGGCTACACACACAGGTCATCTTTGGTTCATTTATAGAACACAAGCTGAAAACTGTTTTTAAAATCTCTGAAGATGTATCTCCACCTGGAGACCGTCTCTCTTTTTCCATGTGGACTTCCTTTCTCCAGGGATCCCAGGAGGCAAGAATTATCACCTTCAGAAACACTTTCTGTTTCCCATACTTGAAAAGCTTAACGCGAACACACACGCAGAGTTAGAGAGAAAGAGCGTGAAAGCCAATCCAAGCACTAGATATACACTGATTGAGAATAGTGTTAATACTGTAATTCCTCACAGACAAAGTTTCGTACAGAAGGCTTTTAAGATTCTGTAGAAAAGAAAACCAGTGGAAATCACGAGCATCCAAGTATCCCTGTCTACAGCAAGGGAGGAAAGCTCGGTGTTAAGCAAAGCTAACACTGTCTCCTTTAGAAAGGCTCATTAACTCGGGGGCCTGTGTGAAACAACATTCAGGGGAGGCCACTGCTGTGGACTAGCCTCCTGCCCTAAGCCCCAGCTGACCACACCTGACCAGAATGGGGTCACTTGTGCTGAGCGCCTTGGGGATCACAGAGAAGTGAGGGCCTGGTTCTGATGAGATTGTTGGAGGGAAGCGGGCCCAGCTTCCGTGAGGAGGCAAGGTGAGGCCCTGAGGGAGGACTGAGGACGCCCCCGCCCCAGAGGGAAGACCCCAAATAATCCAGCACCACCCCTGCTGCCAGCCCTGGACCACCTGGGGGCGGACTTCTCAGGCTGTGGGCCACCCTTCGCCACCCCACCGCTTAAGCCCCAGGGGACTCTGGAGTCAGAGCTTGGTATGACCAGGGCAGGGCTGGTTAGGAGAGGGCAGGGGCCAGGCTCTGCCAGGCATAACAAGGTCAGGATTCTGAGGGAGGGCTGAGGCCCCATAGAAGGAAGCTCTGTCTTTGCTGTCAGCGCTGGGAAATGCTGGGAATGGGGACCAGGCACGTTGATGCTGCTGTCCACATCCTGGGCTGATGGAGGGAAGGGGCTTGATACCATGAGCATCACCTCAGAGGAGTAGACGGAGGGCCCAGGTCCTGCCGGGAGAGCACGGAGGCCTTAAAGGACAATCACTACAGGACAGGGGACCCGCCCCGCCCCCATCTCAAGCTAAGGCACCTCCTCATTTCGCCTCAGGAATCCAACAGATAGACTCAGGTCGGCAGAGGGGAGCTCTGACGCAGCCCTGCCAGGATCAAGGGGAGGAAAAAGAGGGAGGACTCAGGACACCTTGGACTCCAGATCACTGGGGACCTCCGCCCTTGGAGGTCCCACGCACGATGGCTGCATGTGGTGCATCCCTGCCTATGCCTTGGAGACAACAAAGAGGAGAGGGCTTTGGTATGAGGACTGGAGGCTCAGGTTAGCAGAGGGAGGAGTCTCAGGACCCTGAGGGAAGACTCAGCAGAGCTTCTTTCCCAGAGGTAGGACACCTGCCCTTCCTGTCAGTCCTGGGGGGCCTCGGGCAGGACTGTGGGGAACGGACCTGGCCCCCACTTCCTCGTTAGGGATCCCAGGGAGATGGTGGCCTTGACCTGGAAGACCGTCCAAAGTTCAGCAGGAGGGAAAGGGCCAGGCCCTGTCGGAAGTAAATCTGAATATCTATAGGACACCCAGACACAGGAGGCACTCCTGAAATATGCACCTTTTGTCAGTCTTGGGAATCCCATTGAGGGGTGTCAGTGTAGAGTTCCTTCACTTCTGCCTCCCAGGCCCCAGAGAGGTGGGGGCCTCCGTCTGAGGGGTGTCCTCAGCTCAGCAGAGATAGCCACACCTGGTCAGCACAGGTTGGGTCCAGTCTTCCAGGCGTCAAGAGAAGGAAGGTTGGTGAAGACTGAAGGTAAGAAGGTACCTCCACACCTCCAAGAAGAAGGGAACTCGCAGAACCTGGCTTCCACTGTTCTCAGCCCCGGGTGGCCCCAGGCATAGGTACCATGTGGCATGCTCTCCTTTCTGCCATATGGCGGGAGGTGGGAGGTCTCAGGGAGGTGAACACCTTGGTATTAGTGGTACTTACAGTTCAACAGAGGAAGCCACATCTGGCCAGCAGAGGGAGGGGTCCCAGGATCAGCAGGACCCAAGGAGTGCCCCCTTCATGAGGACTGATGGTACCCCTGGCCCAGAAGGAAAGGACTCCACAGATTATGGCTGTCACTTATTCTTAGCTCTGGGACAATCAGATCAGGAATGTCCCTAATTGGCAATCTCACTTGTACCACAGATAGGAAGTTGGGGAACCCTTGGGGACATGGGGTGTTGGTGTAAAGGCGAGATGGCTGCTCCTCTCAGGAGTTTGGGAGTTGAGGAAGGGCAGGCGCCAGGAGGAGTAAAGATGAATAACCCACCGGAAGACATTGGAAGCCTCACCCCAGAACCAAAGGGGCCAGCTCCTGGAGTGAGCCCTGGACACCCCACCCAATGGTGATGGGATGTGGCGCCTCCTCACTTCTGTTTCTAGATCTTAGGGAGGTGAGGACCTTGTTTTCAGAGGGTGACTCAGGTCAACACAGGGACCCCAGTCTGATCGACTGACACACTGGTCCCAGGATCTGCCAGGTGTCCAGGTGAGGAACCTGAGGGAGGACTGAGGGTACCCCCAGGCAAGAACGCAAACGGGGGCTCCACAGAAATCTTCCCTGCCCCTGATGTCACCCCAGAGAGCATAGGCAGGGCTGTCAGCTGAGGTCTCTCTCTTATCCTGGGATCATCAGTGTCAGGGAGGGGGATGCCTTGGTCTTAGGGGGCTGAACTCAGGTCAGTAGAGGGAGAGCCCCAGACTCTGCCAGGAGTCAACATGAGGACCCAGCAGGCTCCTTGCCCAGGACACATGGTGTCCAGTGAATTTGGATATCTCTTGCTGTCTCTCCCAGTGGACCTAGGCACATGTGGCCAGATGTGGGTCCCCTCATACCCTTCTGTTCCATATCAGGGTTGTGAACTCTTTATCTGAGTTTCTCGAGCCAGCAAAAGGGCAGGATGAGGCCCCTCCAGGAGAAAGGTGAGTGAGCACAGAGGGGACCATGCACCCCATGAGAGTAGGGACCTCACAGAGCCTGGTCAACCCTTCTGACAGCACTGGAAAGCCAGGGCTGTGCTTGCAGTCTGCACCCTGAGGGCCCCTCGATTCCTCTTTTAGGAGCTCCAGGAACCAGGCAGTTAGGCCTTGGTCTGAGGCACTGTGCTCAGGTCACAGAGCAGAGGAGTCGCAGGCAGTGTTAGCAGTCAAGGCGAGGTTCTGATCTGAATGGACAACAAGGGCCCCACACTCCCCAGAACACAAGGGACTCCAGAGAGCCCAGCCTCACCTTCCCTACTGTCAGTCCTGCAGCCTCAGCCTCTGCTGGCCGGCTGTACCCTGAGGTGCCCTCTCACTTCCTCCTTCAGGTTCTCAGCGGACAGGCCGGCCAGGAGGTCAGAAGCCCCAGGAGGCCCCAGAGGAGCACCGAAGGAGAAGATCTGTAAGTAGGCCTTTGTTAGGGCCTCCAGGGCGTGGTTCACAAATGAGGCCCCTCACAAGCTCCTTCTCTCCCCAGATCTGTGGGTTCCTCCCCATCGCCCAGCTGCTGCCCGCACTCCAGCCTGCTGCCCTGACCAGAGTCATCATGTCTTCTGAGCAGAGGAGTCAGCACTGCAAGCCTGAGGATGGCCTTGAGGCCCAAGGACAGGAGGCTCTGGGCCTGGTGGGTGTGCAGGCTCCCGCCACCGAGGAGCACGAGGCTGCCTCCTCCTTCACTCTGATTGAAGGCACCCTGGAGGAGGTGCCTGCTGCTGGGTCCCCCAGTCCTCCCCTGAGTCTCAGGGTTCCTCCTTTTCCCTGACCATCAGCAACAACACTCTATGGAGCCAATCCAGTGAGGGCACCAGCAGCCGGGAAGAGGAGGGGCCAACCACCTAGACACACCCCGCTCACCTGGCGTCCTTGTTCCAATGGGAAGGTGGCTGAGTTGGTTCGCTTCCTGCTGCACAAGTATCGAGTCAAGGAGCTGGTCACAAAGGCAGAAATGCTGGACAGTGTCATCAAAAATTACAAGCACTAGTTTCCTGTGATCTATGGCAAAGCCTCAGAGTGCATGCAGGTGATGTTTGGCATTGACATGAAGGAAGTGGACCCCGCGGCCACTCCTACGTCCTTGTCACCTGCTTGGGCCTCTCCTACAATGGCCTGCTGGGTGATGATCAGAGCATGCCCGAGACCGGCCTTCTGATTATGGTCTTGACCATGATCTTAATGGAGGGCCACTGTGCCCCTGAGGAGGCAATCTGGGAAGCGTTGAGTGTAATGGTGTATGATGGGATGGAGCAGTTTCTTTGGGCAGCTGAGGAAGCTGCTCACCCAAGATTGGGTGCAGGAAAACTACCTGCAATACCGCCAGGTGCCCAGCAGTGATCCCCCGTGCTACCAGTTCCTGTGGGGTCCAAGGGCCCTCATTGAAACCAGCTATGTGAAAGTCCTGGAGTATGCAGCCAGGGTCAGTACTAAAGAGAGCATTTCCTACCCATCCCTGCATGAAGAGGCTTTGGGAGAGGAGGAAGAGGGAGTCTGAGCAGAAGTTGCAGCCAGGGCCAGTGGGGCAGATTGGGGGAGGGCCTGGGCCAGTGCACGTTCCACACATCCACCACCTTCCCTGTCCTGTTACATGAGGCCCATTCTTCACTCTGTGTTTGAAGAGAGCAGTCAATGTTCTCAGTAGCGGGGAGTGTGTTGGGTGTGAGGGAATACAAGGTGGACCATCTCTCAGTTCCTGTTCTCTTGGGCGATTTGGAGGTTTATCTTTGTTTCCTTTTGCAGTCGTTCAAATGTTCCTTTTAATGGATGGTGTAATGAACTTCAACATTCATTTCATGTATGACAGTAGGCAGACTTACTGTTTTTTATATAGTTAAAAGTAAGTGCATTGTTTTTTATTTATGTAAGAAAATCTATGTTATTTCTTGAATTGGGACAACATAACATAGCAGAGGATTAAGTACCTTTTATAATGTGAAAGAACAAAGCGGTAAAATGGGTGAGATAAAGAAATAAAGAAATTAAATTGGCTGGGCACGGTGGCTCACGCCTGTAATCCCAGCACTTTAGGAGGCAGAGGCACGGGGATCACGAGGTCAGGAGATCGAGACCATTCTGGCTAACACAGTGAAACACCATCTCTATTAAAAATACAAAACTTAGCCGGGCGTGGTGGCGGGTGCCTGTAGTCCCAGCTACTGGGGAGGCTGCGGCAGGAGAATGGTGTGAACCCTGGAGGCGGAGCTCGCAGTGAGCCGAGATCGCGCCACTGCACTCCATCCAGCCTGGGCAACAGAGCGAGACTCCGTCTCAAAAAAAAAAAAAAAATTAGCTGGGTGAGGCGGTGGGTGCCTGTAGTCCCAGCTACTCAGGAGGCTGAGAAGGAGAATGGTGTGAACCCAGGAGACAGAGCATGCAGTGAGCCCAGATCGCACTGCTGTAGCCTGGGCGACAGAGCAAGACTCTATCTCAAAAAAAAAAAAATTAAATTATAGTTAATTCTTGTCTTTCTTGTATTCTGTGTAGTTAAGAAATACATATTTGCTTGGCTAATACATATTGGATTAGCTTGGCTTCTTTGAGAATGTAATTGAATTAAATATGAATAAATGCATTCCCCTGCTCACTGACTCATTTCGTCCTGAAACATTCATTGAGCTTCTGCTATTTGTAAGTCCCTGGGTTAGTATTGGAGATGCTAAGGTAAGCCAGGCCCACCCCTAACCTTACGGTGGGTGAGTCTAGGATCTGCAGTCATATAACTAAGGTGGACAGATGTCCTCCAACATCTAGAGGAAAAATAAGAGAGGGGTGAGGGTGTGGGGCAACAGGTGAGAGTGGTGGAGTGTACATGCCCTGAGCCAAGGCCTTTTGGGCTTTGGGAAACTGCAGTACCTTTTGGGAGAGCTGATTCTAGTGAAATGGGGTAGGACCAGAGCCAGATTCTCAGAGGATGAGAGAAAAGCTTGGAAGGGAAACATGCTCAGCAGTTCCTTTTGGATGGTGGATGAAACAGAGAGGCATCTCCTCCTGGGGCAGGAATGGGAGGTGTCCTGCACTCTTGTCTCAGTGCAGTTGAACACGGCACACGAAGTTGGTGATGGATACCCATCATCCGGAAGGGTTTCCTTAGAGAGAAGCGTGAATCTCCTGGGATGTGAGGCTCAGATGCCACTGGCCAGGTGTTTTTCTTCCTGGTTGTGTGAGCCAGAGCTGACTCTATTAAAGAGACATTCTAACTAGCTTATCTGAAGTGCAATTTGGCCAATTATAACAAGGGAAAGATTTTGGGTCGTGACATAATCAATGAAAAAAGTGGTTTGGATGTAAAAGAAGCTGAGAGAGAGGGAAGGACTTTATTCTTGACTCATATTCTAAGAGCTTTGAGTTGCATTCCAGTTGGGGGAGGGTTCTGCACCCTGAAATTTTGAAGTATGCCCCGTGAGAGGGTAAACTAACTGAAATTCATTGACAAAACTTCCTTTTTTTTGGCCGAGTAATTGTTCCATGTCCTATTCGCCTGCATAGTTTCTGATAAGTCCTGGAGAACCACAACAACAATAAGAAAATCCCAGAATACTAGGATCTGGGGTCAAATACTAGAAATAAAAGCCATCTGCCATTCCGTAAACTTCTTATTTGTGTCAGGACTTGAGCCAGGTGCATCACTTACATTACATACACTCCAACAGCCCTATTGGTCAAGGCCTATTACCCATGCTTCACGGACAAAGAATCTGAGGCTCACAGGGCTTGAGAATGTCCCAGGATCACAAGGGTAGTAAGTAACAGGGCTGGAACCAGATCTCTAGTCTGATTCCACTGGAGCCCAAGCTGCTCCCACTCCTCCCAGCCTGAGGCCCACTTCCTGAGCAGTAGTTCATTTCTCACCACTGCATCATGTCTCTCAGGTGACAAAAGGAAGGACCCTGGGGACAAAGTACTAAAAGCAGGCCAAAAGAAGGTGACAATGAGAATCAAACAGAATTTGGGTGGCATGTGTTGGGGCCCCTGGGAGCTGACTGCTGGGTGCCTTCTGTTGAGCACCTACTATGAAAGATGTTATGGGAGAGCCTACAAGTGCTCATCCACATCTTGGTTCCTCCGTCAAAGGCACAAGAGACAAGTACACTCCCAGCCAGCATGTCTGTCTGGCCCCAACACTTTCCCGAGTTACAACACCCTTCCCTTGGTCGCCCTCACGTGCCCTCCATTCCAACTCAGAGGCCCAGCCTGGTGCTTGCTCTTCCTTGCTGCCTCAGGAGGCTGCACAGAATCCCCTGCTTTCCCCAGAACATGGAGCATCCCTATCCCCTGCAGAACCCCCCTAGCTTTCCCACGGCTCACCTTCGGTCCTGTCCCACAGCCACAGCCACCTGGTCCTCCCTCCCTGGGAGTTCTATACACATTCTTTATTTTCCCAATGGGCTGTGAATAGACTATACTTTGCCCATAATCTCCTGACTCTTGGGAAACAGCCCTGAAGGTGGAGAGTAGATTTTTAAGCCACTCACATATTTGCAGTAGGATTTTAATGGGCTTCTTATCTGAAGCTGGGAACTGAACAGGCAAACAAATAGATAGTGCTCAGAAATTCCATTCCTTCGTAAGAGGTAGAAGAGGAGCACCCATCCTCTAAAGCTGAATTCTTACAAACACTGGGCTCCTCCCGGGGTATGAGAAATGCGTCCTTGATGGACATGCCACCTGGAATTTGAAAAGAATGATGAATCACTCTTCCACTGCCTCCTGTCTGGCATCTGCACCCAGGGACATACTGGCTTTCAGTGTGACTAGTGGCACCTGCACAGGTGTTTAGGCAAGAACAGTTATGTGGAGAGAAGCAGATATGTCACGTAAGATTCTGCCCCTGCATCAGGTGGAAGGAGGAAATCCGCAGCCTCCTGAGATGATAGATGGCATTGCAAAGGGAAGTGCGGTAAATGCTATGGAGTATGGAAGGTGAAATCTCCCTGCTAACTTTTGCAGGATCTTCTTCAATTTGATGGGTTAATGCATTTGAAAGCATCTGCTACGTGGTAGACACTTGCAAATTCAGAGAATTTCAAGGCAAAACTGGTCTTCTCAGAACCGTCTATAAGAAATGAAGAGTGTAGTTATCATAACAAATTAGAGTTTGTATGTAGCTTCTTCTACTTCTGGCTGCGTTCATAGCCGTTGTTTCTCCACAACTATATTGTTCAAATTTCTCATATTGCCATGGGACATTTTAGCTAGTCTGATCTATTGAAAAAAATAACACTTGGTTTCATCAATTGCATTTATTGTTTCCAGAAGTTTCTGAAGTTTCAATTTCATTAATTTTTCTCTTCCTGTCTATATCATCCCAATCCTTTTGTTTTCCTCAGGTTTAATTTACTTTTATTTTTCTAATTATTTAACATCAATGATTAGATGTTTTATTTGAGCCATTTGTTACTTTCTTACATAAGCACTCAAGGAGATAAAAATTAGGCACTACGTTAGCTGATTTCCACATATTTTAAAACATCATATTACCATTTTTATTTATCAGAATATATTTTCTCATTTTCCTTAATAATTTTTTAAACAAAGAAGAGTAAAAATGTGTTGTTTATTTAAAATTACATGGAGACTTTACAAATATGTCCTTTGTTATATTTTTATTTTATTCTGGATCTTTAAAATTTCCACTTTGTACAATTTCAATTATTAAATTGAAATGTATAATTTGAAATGAATACATTTTCGTATTAAAACGTATATTTTGTACAACTTCAATTATTTTAAATTTGTTAAGAGTTGTTTTACGGTCTATCTTGGTAAAAATTCCACATACACTTGAAAACAATATTTATTCTGCTGTTGTTCTGTGACGTGTTCAGTAAAAGCCAGTCAGCTCAAGTTGGTTCTTTGTGTTATTCGGGTTGGTCTATAACCTTGCAGAGTTTCTGTGTACTTCAATCATTTACTCAGAGAGGAGTTTTGCAATCTCCAAATGCAAGTGTAGATTTGACTATTTATTCTTTCAATTCTATCAGATGTTTCATGTATTTTAAAACAATGCTTTTAGGTGAACTAACAGGATTATGATGTATTTTTTGTTAATTGACTCTTTTATCATTGCATAATGTCCCTATTTATCCAGGGTAATTTTCCTTCCCATAAAGTTTTTAAAAGTTTACTTTTCTGTTTTTCCAGCTTTCTTTTTAATTTTCAATTTTATTATTTAAATGGACAAACAGTGTTTTTTTCCTTTTCTGTCCAATTCTGTGGGTTTTGCTCATGTATAGATTCATGGAACCACCATCACAATCTTCATACAAACAATTCCGTCACCCTCCTCTCCAAGAGAAACCCCTTTTACTTGCTATACACTTATAGTTATACCCACATGTCTACAACTAACAGTGGGAACCTCTCATCTGTACTCACTATTTCAGTTTTCTCTTTCAAGAATGTCACATGAATAGAAAAAATAGAATATGTACCTGGTTGAGACTGGCTCTTTCCACACAGCAAGACATCTTTGAGTTTGATACACCTTGTTGTGCATACCAGTAGTTCATGCCTTTTATTGCAGAGTAGTTATTTCATAGTTTGGATGCACAAAAACTTCATTGTCCATTTATCCACAAAAATATATTTGTGTAATTTTCAGGTTTTCTCAAATATGACTAGAGCTGCTGTAAACATTCATGTAGTAATGTCTTTTAAAATTTTTTTTTGTTATTTTCAAATATATGTTACTGTAGCTCATTATGCCTTAATATGCATTTCTCTAATAGCTGTGATGTAGAATAATTTCTCATGTGCTTCTTTGTCATGCATGTGTCCACACTGGACAATGCCCTCAACATACTGGGCACTGCAGGAACACACCTCAAAATAATATAGCCATCTATGTACAAACCCACAGCCAACATCATATGGAATGGACAAAAGATGGAAGTGATCTCCATGAGAACCAGAACAAAACAAGGATGCATACTCTCACCATTCCTATTCAACATATTATGGAAGTCCTAGCCAGAGCAATCAGGCAAGGCAAAGATATAAAAGGCATCCAAATAGGAAGAGAGGAAGTCAAATTATCTCTCCTTGCAGATGATATGATTTTACACCAAGAAAGCCCCGATAGTCTCTGCCCAGAAGCTCCTAGATCTGATAAATAACTTCAGCAAAGTTTCAAGATACGAAATCAAGGTACAAAAATCAGCAACAATTCTATACACCAACAACATCCAAGTGGAGAGCCAAATCAAAAACATAATCGCATTCATAATACAAAAGTATAAAATGCCTAGGAATGCAGCGAATCAGAGGTGAAACGCCTTTACAGTGGCAGTTACAAATACTGCTGAAAAAAATCAGAGATGACACAGGCAAATGGGAAAACATTACATGCTCATGCTTAGGAAAAATCAATAATATTTAAATGGCCATAATGCCTAAAGCAATTTACCGATTTAATGCTATTCCTAACAAACTACCAATGACATTTTTCACAGATTAGAAAAAAAACTATTCTAAATTCCATATGGAACCAGAAATAAACCTGAATAGTCAAAAGCAATCATAAGCAAAAAGAGCATAGCCAGAGGCATCACAGGACCTGACTCTAAACTATACTATAATGCTACAGTAACCAAAACATGATAGTCTTCTCTAACACGGGTTAGAGAACCCAGAAATAAAGCCACACAGCTATAACCATCTGATCTTCAACAAAATTGACAAAAACAAGCAATGAGGAAATGAGTTCCTATCAATAAATGGTGCTGGCATAACTGGCTAGCCATACGCAGAAGATTGAAACTGAGCCCCTTCCAGTTTCAACTCAAGATGAATTCATCTTTAATCCATCAACTCAAGATGGATTAAAGACATAAATGAAAAACCTAAAACGATAAAAGTCCTAGAAGAAAACCAAGGAAATACCATTCTGGATGTGGGCCTTGACAAAGATTTCATGATGAGGATTCCAAAAGCTATTGTAAAAACCCCCAAATTGAGAATAAGACCTAAGTAAACTAAAGAACTTCTTCACGTGAAAAGAAACTATCAACCCAGCAAACAGAAAGGCTACAGAATGGGAGAAAGATTTGCAGACTACACATCCAACAGAGGTCTAATATCCAGAATCTATAAGGAACTTTAACAAATTAATAAGGAAAAAACAACCCCATTAAAAAATGGGCCAAGAACATGAGCAGACACTTCTCAAAAGATGACATACACACAGCCAACAAGCATAGGAAAAAGTGTCCAACGTCACTAACATAGAAATGCAAATTAAAATTACAATGAGATACCATCTCACAACAGTCAGAATGGCTATTAATAAAAAGTCAAAAAAGAAACTGATGCTGCTGAGGTCATGAGGAAACTGATACACTACTGGTGGGAATGTACATTCCTTCAGCTATCGTGAAAAGTAGTTTGTAAATTTCTCCAAGAAATTAAATCAGAATTACCAATCGACCCAGCAATCCCATTACTGGATATGTACCCAAGGGAATATAAATTGTTCTACCATAAAGACACATGCACACATATGTTCGTCGCAGCACTATTCACAGTAGCAAATACATAGAATTAACTGAGATGCTCATCAATGGTGGACTGGATAAAGAAAACGTGGTATATATGGACCATGAAATACTATGCAGCCATTAAAAATAACAAAATCATGACCTTTGCAGCAACATGGATGGAGCTGGAGCTATTATTCTAAGCAAATTAATGCAGGAACAGAAAACCAAATACCACATGTTCTCACTTATAAGTAGGAGCTACACATTGAGCATATGTGGACACAAAGGAGGGAACAATAGACACTGGAAACTATTTTACCAATGTGGAGAGTGGAGCCTAGGGGTAGGGTGACAATTTGAAAACCACCTATCTGATACTATGATGATTACCTGAGTGATAAGTCGTCAGTACACCAAACCTCTGAGACACGCAATATACCCATGCAACAAATCTGCACAGGTACCCCCTGAAACAAAAATAAAAGTTGGGAAGAACCAAAGAACCAAAACATAATTAAATTTTTTTAAAATAAATGCAGTAAAGATTGTAAAGTCAGAAAAAAAAATTTCCAAATCATTTTCCACAGTGGTTGTACTATTTCATAATTCCCACTGGCAACATATCAGATTTTAAATTGGTCTTCATCCTTGCTAGCACTTAGTAATATCTTTTTTGAGAAATTTTCAGTCATTTTAAACTATGTGTTATGCTATCTCTTTATGGTTTAATTCTCACTTCTCTAATAGATATGATGAACAATGATTTTTCATGTCTTTATTTGTCATGCATATGTCCACTTAGGGGAAGTGTCTATTGATATCTTTTCCCCATTTATGAAATTTAGTTATTTGTGATAAGTGAACTCATGTTAGGTGATTGTTTTGGACTAAGGTCTGTCTCCAGGCCCTAGCAGAACAGACCTATACAGAATGGAGACACTGGTGCTAATTGTCACTTAATCAAAGCAAATGTTGGCTCATCCTGTATTCTCTTGTTCCCTGGACTGTCTCCTCTGCTTTCCTTTTGCTCTGCTATGCCCTGCTCTGAAAAGACACCTGCCATTTCTCCCCCAGCAAGCAGGCCTGACCTGCCAGGAGGGCAGCATGCAGCTGTGCTTTGCCTGCTCTCCAAGCATGCCATGGCCCTGAACCAGGGGTCTTGGCTGACCGCAGACTATAACCTGTATAGTGCCTACGATTATACAATACCATCTACGGAGTAAGCGCTTGTGAAAACTGCTCTTCCTGCTGGCTGCAATGGATGAGTGGCTCAGTGGTCTGGCCTGGCTGCAAAACACTTTATAGATACAGGAGCTGGTGTCACAGACGAAGGTTATAGAGGAAATGGTGGGACTGTAGTGCTTAATTTGGGTAAAGAAAGGTTTGAAGTCAAAAAAAGTGATCAAATTGCACCAGTTTTCTGTGAATGGATTTTTTATCCGTAAACAGAAGTTCAAGCTCTGGATGAAACTGAAAGGCCTTCAGAAGGTTTAGGTTCCACTGGAAAGAATTAAAATCTATGCCAAAATAGAAAATGTGAAATCATACTGTTTTCTGAAAAATGAAGAGTTTTGCTTAAAGTGATTTGTTGTTTGGTACTTCTCTAAATTTAATAGCTATAACCTTCTAAAAAGACTGCATTTTCATATGATCAAGGAAAGAGTACATCTGTACAGATCACATAATATACTTTCTTATGTTTTTTTTCCAATAAACAGTTGTATGTAAATCTGTCTTGTGGTGACCTTATTCAAACGGTGTCTTTTAAAAAATTAAATGTATATCAATTACTAATACAGAAAAACTTGTATTGCTTAACTCAATCAATGATACCCCATTAGCAATTTATTTTGCTTTAATGGCTTTAAATCATTAATACTTTTTATTGAATAAACTTAAATTCTTTCATGGATACAAAATCTTGCATAAGCTAAACCAAAAGAAATAAAAAATGAAAGGGAGAGATTAAAGTTGTTCCTTGTTCTTCCCTTCTCTTCACTAGTCTAATTTTTTTTAATCTTAAAATTCTTTGTGAGGGTGAGAAAAGAGTCCTCAGTTTATTTTTTCATTATTACATTTCTTTTGGTAGATCTCCTGTTGACTAGGAGAGGTATGCTCTTGAAAAGACATGTGTCTTGGGAATTTCTTACATTTAGTTTGTTTCCCTGAATTTCATCTGAAAACTAAAAAGTATCTGAGATAGGTGTCAATCAATTTGGAAGTTTATTTTGCCAATGTTAAGGGCATGCCCAGGAGGTAGGTCTGTGCCTTTCTCCAGAGATGATTTTGAGGGCTTCAATATTTAAAGGGGAAAAGCAAGCTGGAGGACATTGAGGGAGGGCACGGTCACATTACTGAATGCACATGTTGCAAGAGGAATAGGAGCAGGTAGGGGTATAACCAGTTATGTATTCCTCTCTCCCTCATTAAACTGGCACTTTACGTAAGATAAAGTGAACGTAGAGTAGCTACCTGTGGATATATTTAACCTTTTATCTGTAGCTATCTGCTTAGGAACAAAAGGAAAGGCAGCTTCCTACATGACTCACCTTTCAGATTCATTTTCTTCTTTTGGCATAGTGAATTAGGGTCCCACATTTTTATGTTTCTTTCACATTTCTCCCTCTTTTCTTCTGAAAATCTTTCAGACAAAGCATTTGTATTAGTCACCTTCACACTGCTATAACAAACTACCTGAGCCTGAGCAATATATAAACAAAAGAGGTTTAGTTGACTCACAGTTCCGCATGACTGCAGAGTCCTCAGGAAACACAATCATGGCAGAAAGTGAAGGGGAAGCAAGGCACCTCTCACATGGTAGCAGGAGAGAAAGGGCACAAGGGGGGACCTGCCAAACACTTTTAAACCATCAGATCTCATGAGAACTCACTCACTATCATGAGAACAGCATGGGGGAAACTGCCCCCATGGTCCAATCATTTCCTACCAGGTCCCTCCCTTGTCATGTGGGGATTATAATTCAAGATGAGATTTGGGTGGGGACCAGAGTCAAACCATATCACCATTTTAGAAAAAAATGAGTTTCTGGTTTTGGGTTTTATCTGATCACTCATGGCTAGGACTGTTTATTTCTAGAATACATAATGTAATTCATCATTGCAGTATCCTAGAGAATAATTTCACCAGTCTAATAAATCCCTTCTGCTTATCTAAGGCATACCTTCTCCCCACCCCAGATCACTGGCCACAACAGACATTTTTACTGCCTTTATAGCTTCGCCTTTTCTAGAATGTCAGGTAAATTAGATCATATACTATCTATCATTTTCAGACTGGCTTCTTTCACTTAACACTAAGCACTTAAGATTCATTCATGTTTTTTGTGCCTCAGGGGTCATTTTTTGGTTGATGAATAATGTTCTGTTGTTGTTGGAACACAGTTTTTCCATTCACCTCCTGAAGAACATCTTGTGTGCTTCCAGTTTCTGACAATGATGAAGTAAGCTGCCACATACATTTGTATGCAAGATTTTTGCGTGGGCATAAGTTTGCAAACCAGCTGGATGTATACCTAGGATTGAAGAGACTGTGCTCAGTTTTGTAATGGAAACAGCTGACAAACTGTCTTTGAAAGTTGCTTTACTACTTTGCATTCCCAGCAGTGATGACCAACAGTGTCTTTTGTTCCTCGTTGCCAGCCATTGGCATTTTCGATTTTTTGGATTTTAGTCATCCTAATACGTGTGTATCTCACTTTTATTTAATTCACAATTTCCTTCTGAAGAATGATGTTGATTATCTTGTCTTATGATTATTTTCCATCTGCATATGTTTTTTGTCAATGTGTCCATTTAGAGATTTTTGCCTGTGAACTTTAAAAAGCAGTTGGGGCCAGGTGCGGTGGCTTACGCCTATAATACCAGCACTTTGGGAGGCTGAGGCAGGCAGATCACCTGAGGTCGGGAGTTCGAGACCAGCCTGACCAACATGGAGAAAGCCCGTCTCTACTTAAAATACAAAATTAGCTGGGCATGGTGGCGCATGCCTGTAATCCCAGCTACTCAGGAAGGCTGAGGCAGGAGAATCGCTTGAACCTGGGAGGTGGAGGTTGCAGTGAGCCGAGATCGTGCCACTGCACTCTAGCCTGGGCAATAAGAGTGAAACTCGGTCTCAAAAAAAAAAAAAAAGCATCTGGGCTTCTATTTTTCTGATAAAGTCTTTTAGCACTTTTTTGTCTTTAAGTTAATTAAATATAGAAAATTAAATCATATAAATTATATATAAGCATATAAAATATATAATATATAACCATATATATCTAATGAGGTGTTTTGAAATTAGAAAAAAATCTAATTTTACAAACCTCAAAATTATTTAAGGTCCCTTATGCAGCAGAGAGTAGCAAGAAGAGACAGGCAGAAATAAATGGAGAAAACAGAATTCAGTTGACTGAGAAGGGTAAAAAAAATCCCTTTTTGTCAAAAAAAATAATATCCTAGAAGAGAAAGAAAGCATAAAGGCCTGATATATATATATATGCTTGCTTTATACATATATATATATGTATGTGTATGTGTATATGTATGTATATTTACCTGTTTTATTATTATACTTTAAGATCTAGGGTACATGTGCATGACGTGCAGGTTTGTTACATATGTATACATGTGCCATATTGGTGTACTGCACCCATTAACTCGTCATTTACATTCCTATTACATTAGGAATATCTCCTAATGCTATTCCTCCCGCCTCTTCCCACTCCACGACAGGCCCCGGTGTGTGATGTTCCCCACCCTGTGTCCAAGTGTTCTCATTGTTCAATTTCCACCTATGAGTGAGAACATGCGGTGTTTGGTTTTTTGTCCTTGTGATAGTTTGCTGAGAATGATGGTTTCCAGCTTCATCCATGTCCCTACAAAGGACATGAACTCATCCTTTTTTATGCCTGCATAGTATTCCATGGTGTATATGTGTCACATTTTCTTAATCCAGTCTATCATTGATGGACATCTGGGTTGGTTCCAAGTCTTTGCTATTGTGAATAGTGCCGCAATAAACATACGTGTGCATGTGTATTTACAGCAGCATGATTTATAATCCTTTGATGTGCTGCTGGATTCAGTTTGCCAGTATTTTATTGAGGATTTTTGCATCGATGTTCATCAGGGATATTGGTCTAAAATTCTCTTTTTTTGTTGTGTCTCTGCCAGGCTTTGATATCAGGATGATGCTGGCCTCATAAAATGAGTTAGGGAGGATTCCCTCTCTTTCTATTGATTGGAATAGTTTCAGAAGGAATGGTACCAGCTCCTCTTTGTACCTCTGGTACAATTCGGCTGTGAATCTGTCTGGTCCTCGACGTTTTTTGGTTGGTAGGCTATTAATTATTGCCTCAATATCGGAGGGTGTTATTGGTCTATTCAGGGATTCAACTTCTTCCTGGTTTAGGCTTGAGAAGGCGTATGTGTCCAGGAATTTATTCATTTCTTCTAGATTTTCTAGTTTATTTGCGTAGAGGTGTTTATAGTATTCTCTGATGGTAGTTTGTATTTCTGTGGGATCGGTGGTGATATCCCCTTTATCATTTTTTATTGCGTCTATTTGATTCTTCTCTCTTTTCTTCTTTATTAGTCTTGCTAGCGGTCTATCAATTTTGTTGATCTTTTCAAAAACCAGCTCCTGGATTCACTGATTTTTTGAAGGGTTTTTTGTGTCTCTGTCTCCTTCAGTTCTGCTTTGATTTTAGTTATTTCTTCCCTTCTGCTAGCTTTTGAATATGTTTGCTCTTGCTTCTCTAGTTCTTTTAATTGTGATGTTAGGGTGTCAATTTTAGATCTTTCTTGCTTTCTCTTGTGGGCATTTAGTGCTATAAATTTCCCTCTACACACTGCTTTAAATGTGTCCCAGAGATTCTGGTATGTTGTGTCTTTGTTCTCATTGGTTTCAAAGAACATCTTTATTTCTGCCTTCATTTCGTTATGTACCCAGTAGTCATTCAAGAGCAGGTTGTTCAGTTTCCATGTAGTTGTGTGGTTTTAAGTGAGTTTCTTAATGGTGAGTTCTAGTTTGATTGCACTGTGGTCTGAGAGACAGTTTGTTATAGTTTCTGTTCTTTTACATTTGCTGAGGAGTGCTTTACTTCCAACTATGTGGTCAATTTTGGAATAAGTGTGATGTGGTACTGAGAAGAGTGTATATTCTGTTGATTTGGGTGGAGAGTTCTGTAGATGTCTATTAGGTCGGCTTGGTGCAGAGCTGAGTTCAATTCCTGGATATCCTTGTTAACTTTCTGTCTTGATCTGTCTAATGTTGACAGTGGGGAATTAAGGTCTCCTATTATTATTGTGTGGGAGACTAAGTCTCTTTGTCGGTCTCTAAGGACTTGCTTTATGAATCTGGGTGCTCCTGTATTGGGTGCATATATATTTAGGACAGTTAGCTCTTCTTGTTGAATGGATCCCTTTACCATTATGTAATGGCCTTTGTCTCTTTTGATCTTTGTTGGTTTAAAGTCTGTTTTATCCGAGACTAGGATTGCAACCCCTGCTTTTTTGTTTGTTTGTTTTCTATTTGCTTGGTAGATCTTCCTCCATCCTTTTATTTTGAGCCTATGTGTGTCTCTACATGTGAGATGGGTTTTCTGAATACAGCACACTGATGGGTCTTGACTCTTTATCCAATTTGCCAGTCTGTGTCTTTTAACTGGAGCATTTAGCCCATTTACATTTAAGGTTAATATTGTTATGTGTGTATTTGATCCTGTCATTACGATGTTAGCTGGTGATTTTGCTTGTTAGTTGATGAAGTTTCTTCCTAGCATCAGTGGTCTTTACGATTTGGCATGTTTTTGCAGTGGCTGGTACCAGTTGTTCCTTTCCATGTTTACTGCTTCCTTCAGGAGCTCTTGTAACGCAGGCCTGGTGATGACAAAATCTCTCAGCATTTGCTTGTCTGTAAAGGATTTTATTTTTCCTTCACTTACGAAGCTTAGTTTGGCAGGATATGAAATTCTGGGTTGAAAATTCTTTTCTTTAAGAATGTTGAATATTGGCCCCCACTCTCTTCTGGCTTCTATGTAGAGTTTCTACCAAGAGATCCGCTGTTAGTCTGATGGGCTTCCCTTTGTGGGAAACCTGACCTTTCTCTCTGGCTGCCCTTAATATTTTTTCCTTCATTTCAACTTTGGTGAATCTGATAATTATGTGTCTTGGAGTTGCTCTTCTCAAGGAGTATCTTTGTGGCTTTCTCTGTATTTCCTGAATTTGAATGTTGGCCTGCCTTGCTAGGTTGGGGAAGTTCTCCTGGATAGTATCCTGAAGAGTGTTTTCCAACTTGGTTCCATTCTCCCTGTCACTTTCAGGTACATCAATTAGACGTAGATTTGGTCTTTTCACATAGTCCCATATTTCTTGGAGGCTTTCTTTGTTTCTTTTTACTCTTTTTTCTCTAAACTTCTCTTCTTGCTTTATTTCATTCATTTGATCTTCAATCACTGATACCCTTTCTTCCACTTGATCAAATCAGCTACTGAAGCTTGTGCATATGTCACGTAGTTCTCGTGCCATGGTTTTCAGCTCCATCAGGTCATTTAAGGTCTTCTCTATGCTGTTTATTCTAGTTAGCCATTCATCTAATCCTTTTTCAAGATTTTTAGCTTCTTTGCGATGGGTTTGAACATCCTCCTTTAGCTTGGAGAAGTTTGTTATTACCGATCGTCTGAAGCCTTCTTTTCTCAACTCGTCAAAGTCATTCTCCATCCAGCTTTGTTCTGTTGCTGGCAAGGAGCTGCATTTCTTTGGAAGGGAAGAGGCACTCTGATTTTTAGAATTTTCAGCTTTTCTGCTCTGTTTTTTCCCCATCTTTGTGGTTTTATCTACCTTTGGTCTTTGACGTACAGATGGGGTTTTGGTGTGGATGTCCTTTCTGTTTGTTAGTTTTCCTTCTAACCGTCAGGACCTTCAGCTGCAGGTCTGTTGGAGTTTGCCTAGGTCCACTCCAGACCCCGTTTGCCTGGGTATCAATCACCCGAGGAGGCTGCAGAACAGCAGATATCGCAGAACGGCAAATGTTGCTGCCTTATTCTTCCTCTGGAAGCTTCGTCTCAGAGGGGCACTGGGCTGTATGAGGTGTCAGTCAGTCCCTACTGGGAGGTGTCTCCCAGTTAGACTACTCGGGGGTCAGGGACCCACTTGAGGAGGCAGTCTGTCCATTCTCAGATCTCAAACTCTGTGTTGGGAGAACCACTACTGTCTTCAAAGCTGTCAGACAGGGACGTTTAAGTCTGCAGAAGTTTCTGCTGCTTTTTGTTCAGCTATGGGCTGCCCCCAGAGGTGGAGTCTACAGAGGCAGGCAGGTCTCCTTGAGCTGCGGTGGGCTCCACCCAGTTCGAGCTTCCCAGCTGCTTTGTTTACCTACTCAAGCCTCAGCAATGGCAGACGTCCCTCCCCCAGCCTTGTTGCTGCCTTGCAGTTCAATCTCAGACTGCTGTGCTAGCAGTGAGCAAGGATCCGTGGGCGTGGGACCCTCCAAGCCAGGCGCAGGATATAATCTCCTTGTGTGCTGTTTGCTAAGACTGTTGGAAAAGTGCAGTATTAGGGTGGGAGTGTCCTAATTTTCCAGGTACTGTCTGTCATGGCTTCCCTTGGCTAGGAAAGGGAATTCTCCTACCCGTTGCACTTCCCGGGTGAGGTGATGCCCTGCCCTGCTTCAGCTCACAATCCGTGAACTGCACCCACTGTCTGACAAACCCCAGTGAGATGAACCTGGTACCTCAGTTGGAAATGCAGAAATCACCCATCTTCTGCATCACTCAAGCTGGGAGCTGCAGACTGGAGCTGTTCCTATTCGGCCATCTTGAAACTGCTCTATATTTACCTTTTAAAATTCTTGTTTCTTTTTTTCTCAGACGTTAGATATGAGTTCTAAATTTCTTTTCAAATAATTAATATGTCAGTATGTTCAATTCTTTGCTTTCTACTTTTAAACTTAACTTCCTCGTAAAGCAACCTTTTTCGATTACCTACTCCACCCTGACTCATTCAAATTACCTACTCCACCCTGACTCATTCCAATCACCTGTGCCACCTTAACTCATTCTGATCACCTGCTCCACCCTAACTCATTCAGATTACCTGCTACCTGCTCTGCCCTGACTCCCGCCAAAGCACTCAACCCAACATTCTCTTTAAATTAGCCAATCTGAATTTAGCCTGTGCAGGCTAACCCTAGCCAATAGGAGAATGACACAGCAGCAGGGGCCACATGCGTCAGGGATAAGAACCCCTTCCCCTCCCTTGTCCAAGTGTGCGCTCACCATTGCTCCATCTGTAAGGGCATACCCTTTTATAGAAGTAACTTGCCTTGCTGAGAATTAAAAATAAAATTTTATATTTGAGTGCTATTACTTTTGCTGCACTGAAACTTTATATATAACAATTTAGGGGCTGCCTGTGATTACATTCCCCTCTAGGGACGTTCTCTGGTTCTCTCTTGTGAGGAGGCACACCCCGCCCCCTTGTGGCAGCCTCAGGGGTGAGAAATCAAGACCCACCCAGTGTGAGGAATAACCTGGGCTCTCAGCAACGTGGGGGCAGGGGACTGGCCAGCAACCTAGCTTAAAGGATCCTCACATAGTGTGGCAACAACTCTGTGCACAGACCAAGGAAGGAGAAGCTGTGGGAGCTGGTAAAATATTTCCTTGGTGGTCAGGACCAAGGTAAGAAAGTTGCAGTGGGGCGGGGGCGGTGAAGTACTCCTTGGTCGGGGTGGCTTAGAAGTTAAAAAGTGGTGAGACATCCCCATTGTGGGGGATTGAACCTCACACAAATCTCCAGTAGTAGAAATGGCAAGAAACTTCCAGTGGGGAAATTGAGCCTCACCCCAAAATGCAAGAAATTTCCAGTGGGGACATTGAGCCTCACCCCAAAAAGGCAAGAAATTTCCAGTGGGGGAAATTTAGCCTCACCCCAAAAGGCAAGAAATTTCCAGTGGGGAAATTGAGCCTTACCCCAAAATGCAAGAAATTTCCAGTGGGGACATTGAGCCTCACCCCAAAAGGTGAGAAATTCCCAGTAAGGGAAATTGAACCTTGAACCTTACCCCAAAACCATCAAGATGAGAAATACCCCAAGCAAGACAGGGAGCAAGGAGGATAAAGATGGTAACAAAGATATCCCCCCGGATAGCCCCCTAGGTCTCATGCTAAAACACTGGAAGGATAATGAAGGGACTAAAAGAAAAAAGGAAAAAGCAACAAATGATACAATATTGCTGTTTTACTTGAACTCAGGGACCCATCCTCAAACCCTCAATCTTCTGGCTAAAGTTTAGGTCGAATGAGCATGTAATGTGTCAGCTTCTAATCCGATATGTTAATGATAAAAGTCCAGTGTCTCAAGAAGAACTAGGCTATGGAGACAAGGACCTGCCCTCCTTTTTCCCTTAAAAACAAATAGGGAAGAACCCAATCTGGCACCTCAAAATGAAAAGTCAGAGGAGCCAGCTCTCACGCCTAAACATTCCAGCGCATGAGATCCTCTAGACTATCTTCCCCCATTCAGTGTCCCCAATCTTTCCCCTCAGACAGCCACTGACACCTCAGATCCCATTCCAAATCCCCCTCTACTCATGTTATCCCTCCTCCTTATAACCCTGACTCTTGGGAATTACCATTCCATCAGTCTGTTCCCTCCCGACCTAAATACCCCTGTCTAAAAGGACTCCAGTATGAGGTAGAACGATGTAAAAAAGATATTCAGAATTTCCCATTTCCCTCTGTACCTAAGGGGTTAGCCCTGATCCTCTTACCTTTGAAAGAGGTACCACAAGGAGGGTGGGGGGAGGGGGGAAGGGGGCATTGGATTTGTAAATGCTACCCTACCGAGTTCAGAAGTCCACAGTTTTAAAAAAGGAGCTTAAATCACTACTAGATGACCCTTACAGAGTGGCAGACCAAATTGACCAATTCTTAGGACCTCAGTTGTACACCTGGGTCGAGTTAATGTCCATCTTGGGCATCCTCTTTTCAGAGGAAGAAAGAGTAGCTCCACTCCTGCCAGTCCCTCCCCTAGGGAAAGGGGAAGGAGAGGGGAGAACAGCAGCATAAGCAGCTGGCAGAGGCAGGGAAAGAACAGCAGAGAGGAAAGAGAGGGAGGGGGGAAAGAGAGAGAGAGAGGAAGAGACAAAGAGGGAATCAAAGAGAGAAAGAGAGAGAGACACACACAAAGAGGGAGTCAAAGAGAGAGAGAGAAAGAGGCAGAGAGAGAGGAAGAGACAAAGATGCAGTCAGAGAGAGAGGAAGAGACAGACAAAGAGGGAGTCAAAGAGAGAGAGAGAAAGAGGAAGAGACAGACAAAGAGGGAGTCAGAGAGAGAGAGAAAGAGGAAGAGACAGACAAAGAGGGAGTCAGAGAGAGAGAGAGGAAGAGAGAGAGACAAAGAGGGAGTCAGAGAGAGAGAGACAGAAAGTCAAAGAGAGACAGAGAAAAAGAGAGGCAGAGAGAGAGGAAGAGACAGACAAAGAGGGAGTCAAAGAGAGAGAGGCAGAGACGGAGTCAAAGGGAGAGAAAGAGAGAGACAGAAAGTCAAAGAAAGAAAGATAGAAGTAGTGAAGAAG
Organism: Homo sapiens; assembly: GCF_000001405.40. NCBI lineage: Eukaryota > Metazoa > Chordata > Mammalia > Primates > Hominidae > Homo > Homo sapiens. The sequence continues at coordinate 149,827,715 of NC_000023.11, forward strand.
AAACAGTGTACCCTATTCCTTTAAAAGCCAGGGTAAATTTAAAACCTATAATTGATAATTGAAGGTCTTCTCCATGACCCTATAACACTCCAATACCACCTTGTTGTCAGTGTAAACAAGGGCATAGCCCTAAAGCACTTAGGCCACTGACAACCCTTAGCCTTCCTATCTAAAATCCTTAACCTGCGGATGGCCCAAATGCATTTAATCTGTAGCAGCAACTGCTTTGCTAGCAGAAGAAAGTAGAAAAATCGCTTTTAGAGGAAACTTCATTGTAAGCACACCTCACAAGTTCAGAACTATCTTAAGTCAAAAAAAAAAAAAAAAGCAGAAAGGTAGCTTACTAACTCAAAAATCTTAAAGTATGGGACTCTTCTGTTAGAAAAAGATGATTTAACATTAACCACGGATAATTCCCTTAACCCAGCAGGTTTCCTAACAGGGGATCTAAATCTTAATTAATTACCATACAAAGGTCTGACCATACCTAGGAGGAACTCCCTTCAGGACAGGACAATAGATGGTTCCTCCCTGGTGACTGAGGGAAAAAGACACAATAGGTATTCAGTAATTGATAGGGAAACTCTTGTAAAAGCAGAGTTAGGAAAATGGCCTAATAATTGGTCTGCTCAAACCTGAGAGCTGTTTCCTCTCAGCCAAGCCTTAAAGTACTTAAAGAACCAGGAAGGAACCATCTATGCCAATTCTAAGTAAATCTGGACTAAACAAGGTCTTGTTAACAGCAAAGGATAATTGAAATCCCAAACTTACAAGGTTTTCAACAAAAGTAAAGTTTGCTAAAAGTTAACAGTGTAACATGTATTATCCTAACTTCTAATCTTATGGTCTTAGGCAGTCTAGTCCACAGACATGAAGGAAGTTCGCTTTGGAAAAGAATGGTTATCATCTTTAGGAAAAAAAGGGTGGAGGGGGGAATTTATGTAAAAAGAATGTTATATGGTAAATTCTTGTCCTAAAGTAAATTAACTGGTTGTTTAAAGAAAAGGATGTTTGCAGCAAGTCAGAAAGTTGAGGCACATGGAAGAATTGTCTGTGAAAGTCATGACCAAAAAAAAGTTATAAAAGGGAATTTATGCAAGAAATGTTGTATAATTTAAAAGTAATTAGGCCTCCTGAATGTAGAATTATTGAAGAAACAGTTTACGTGCAAAGTGTATAAGGAAAGTAAAATATACCTTTGGTAAAAGGATTATATGGAGGCATAATGATGTGGATTTTTACCTACATTAAAAGGTTAAAAAAATATTTTGTTTTAAAGGTTTAAGCAAGTTTTGAAATGTTAATTGTAAAGGGAATCCTGTGTGTAAACATATTGGCTAAAGTTACAGAGGTATCATCCAGTTTTTCTGTGAACTGGACATTGTAAATAAAAAGTAAAGTAGAAGTTCGTCTTCAAAGACTTTCCTTCCAATCTAATTAGGAATAAATAGTAACTTCTCTTAGAAGCAAAATTTATTCAAAGACCTGTGCTCCTAAATACTTGCCCTGGCATGCTTATACTGGTCCAAGCAAGCATCAGGTCATAGCCTGTGCCTCTTCTTTATTTAAAAGTGTTTTTACCTTTCTCAGCATTCCACAATTTACTTCCTCCTTCCTTTGTTCTCCTCTACCTTTGCCTCTTCTAAAAACTCCTAAGTTGCTAGCCATTTGGGACGAATACAGAATGTGAGGTCCCGTTCCAGCCAATGGAAACCGGACACAGCAGTAGGGTGGATGCGTCAGGTCATAAATGACCCTGTCTCCTTTGTTTGGTGTATTCTCGTGGCAAAACTGCTGGCGAGTGTACCCTTTCTGCAGAAAGTAAAAATGGCCTTACTAAATAATAATGTTCAAGTGCTATTTCTTTACGGCACTAGGGAACAAGCATTTCAAACAATTTGATGGGCCATATGGGGATACATTCTCCTCTGGGGGTGGTCTCCAGTCGTCTCTCATGATGGAGCGTGCTCCCTTACCTCATTGCAAGCGTCTCATGGGTGAGAAATTGAGACCCACCCGGTGTGATGAATAAACCTGTACTCTCAGCAATGCAAAAATAAAAAGAGAGAGAGAGAGAGAGAGAAAAAAAAAAACAGAAACTGGCCAGCAACCTAGCTTAAAGGATCCTCACATACTGCAGTGATGACTCTGTGCACAGACCAAGGAAGGAGAAGCCGCAGGAGCCAGTAAAGTAAAAAAACTGCAGGGGTGGTAAAGTATGCCTTAGTCAGGATGTCCTGGAGGTTAGAAAGAGGTGAGAAATCCCCAGGGGCGTTGAACCTCAGAAAGAGCTGAGAATTCCTTGGGGGGGGGGTTGAACCTCAGAAAGAGGTGAGAAATCCCCATGGTGGGGGGGTTGAACCTCAGAAAGAGGTGAGAAATCCCCATGGTGGGGGGGTTGAACCTCACACAAACCTCCGGAAGTAAGAAAAATATTTAGAAACCCCCCTTTCCTTTCTTCTCAGGGGAAGAAAGAGTAGCTCCACTCCCGCCGGTCCCTCCCCTAAGGGAAGGGAAAGGAGAAGGAAAAACAGCAGCATAGGTGGCTGGCAGAGACTAAGGAAAGACCAGCAGAGAAGAAAAAGAACTTAGGAGAGAAGAGAGAAAGCAAGCAAAAACAGCAGTCACAGAGCCAAACAGCGAGGCAGGCACGCCAAGGGTTAAGTCCCTCTCCCCAGCCCCAGTCTATGTGAAAAAGAGGGCGGTGGACCCTTGCTGGGAGGAGAGCAGAGGAGGTGAATAGGGCATAATTCTTGCAATTTGCGGCAGGCATCTGCCAAGCCTCTAGGCTGGTGACTGCCCTAGGCCCAGACTGCAGCCACGCAAATCTCACCCAGCCCGAGAAACTAAGTGTAAAAAGAAATGAAAAAAAAGAAAGTAAAGGGGGGGAACACAGGAGAAACAGCCGGCCGCGCACGCGTAGGGGGCGGCCGTGGCTGGTCCCCGCTCACGGCAGGAGCAAGAGAACTCGGGAAAAGAAAGGGAAACAGGATGACAAAGGATGACAGAGGATGAGGGAGAGAGAGAGAGAGAGAGAGAGAGAGAGAAATACAGTGCAAATGAGAGAGAAAGAGAAATGGAAAGGGTAAGTAAGAGAAACTGGAAGAGACAGAAATCAAAGACATAGAGGGTGAAACTAGAAAAAGAAATAGTGTAAAAGGAAGGCACAAAGTTAAGACATGTTGCAGATTGTGAAAGTTGTAAGAAAAGCTATAAAAGGGAATTTATGCAAGAAATATTGTATAATTTAAAAGTAATTAGGCCTCCTGAATGTAAAATTATTTTTAAAAAGTTTATGTACAAGGTATGTAAGAAACATAAAATATACTTTTAATAACAGGATTTTAAGGAGGCATAAGAATGTGGATTTTTACCTACATTAAAGGTTTAAAATTTTTTTTTGTTTTAAAGGTTTAAGCAAGTTTTAAAAAGTTAATTGTAAAGGAAATTCTGTGTGTAAACATACTGGCTAAAGTTAAAGAGGTATCATCCAGTTTTTCTGAACTGGACGTTAAAATTAAAGCACAATAGATCTTTCTTGAAGCACTAACCTGCTCTTTAACAAAAATTATAAAAAGTTAAAAAGAGTCTATAAAAGTCTTACCTTATAATCAGACATTCAAATTAGATAATGTCTACAAAATTTTATTAAAATTAAGTTTAACATTAATAGCATATTAATATAAAGATAAAATTTAACTATAGTCAGACATTAAAATTAGATAATGTCTACAAAATTTTATTAAAATTAAGTTTAACATTAATAGCATATTAATATAAAGATAAAATTTAACTTATCTGGTATAAAATCATATAAAAAACATTGTCAAATATAAAATGGTGTTTAGCTTTCTTAAGGCCCAAAGGCAGCCAGGTAAGTCACAAGGCCCCTCATCCTCAAGGTCACAGTGCACAGGGGCAGTGAAGGCCACAAGAAGGCCAAGACATTAAGAAGGGGCAGGACTGCAGCATCCCCTAGGTGGCACTGAGCAAGAATGGAGCAGGAGGCGTCACCATGAGGCCTCAAGCCCCAGAATATGCAGCAAAAATTATATACTTATCTTCCACTTTTCCTTCCCTTGGAACTAAAAGTCTTTTAGCACAGGTGCCACCCCTAGAATTTCCAGTACATCAGCACCAGCCTGAAAACCACGTCCTCATCAAAAGATAGAAAAACTCAAGCCAGCCTAGGAAGAACCCTATTTTATGCTGTTAACTGCTGAGACTGCCGTCCGCACAGCCAAGACAAAAAAAAATGGACCCACCATACTCGAGTCAAAAAAAACTTCCTCTCAAAATCGTGGGTTACTGTACTAGGATCAAGCCCTACTAAGTTAAAGAAAGCTTAATTTTCATATACCTTCTATATTGCTTCCTTTCCTTTCCTTATTCTGTTACTAGCTCCTTTGTTATTAATGTAACTAAATCTAACTCACCTCAAACCATTGCCTTTAATGCTTGCGCTGTCATACCTTGTGGAAATGTAAAAGATCAACAACAGCTAGTCTTTTCACACAAATATTTATGTCCCAGCCCTCTAATTGACACGGTTACCCCTAGCACTCATTGTTGTAATCACATGCAGCCAAGATGCCAATTTTCTGCTCCTACAGGCTGGCAACCTTGTAGTAAATGGGACTACATCCATTAAACTACTCAGGAGCAAAGTTAAACTTCCACGAAAAAGGTTTGTGCAGATCTAAAATCCCTCATCTATTTCACTAAAAGGACTACCCCTTCTAACTGTCAGCCTTATCAATATAACCCCGTCCTTCTCTCTATCACCACCTCCACCTTAACTAACTCTAAACCTGCCCTTAGTCGCTTCTATAGTATAAGGATTGACGTAAATGGAAAAGACCCCCATAAGTATTTTTAAAATATGCATTATTCCCCCATCTTCCCCTTCTTCAGTAGCCTCAGTTCTAGATCTCACACCGGTTGCTCCTACATCTAATAAAACTAGGGTGTCTATTATAAAAATAAGAGACCTAAGACAAACAGCCGTCAAGACAAAATATCAAATTGCAAATGCCTGGCTGAAATTGATTAAATAATCCGTTAATAAAAGCGATTATGACGCTTGTATGCACGGTAGGCCAGAGGCCCAGATTATCCCCTTTCCATTCGAATGGTCTCCCCATTGACCACATACGGACTGTACGGTGGCTCTTTTTCAAAATCCCACTGCTTAGAATAATCCATCCTACTGAGCTCTCTCTGCTATCTCCTAAAGTTCAACCCCCTGTGGGCCAGCCCCTGAGGGCAATCCAGCTTCCACCTCTAAATGCCAAGTTTACTTTGTACCTCTCATGGCAGGGGGAAGATTTGGTGTTTCTTGGAAACATAAAAGGATATAAAGAGCTCAAGCCTTTCTAAGAGCTTGCCCATCAGTCCATGCTTAGCCATCCCCAAGCAAATGTATGGTAATCCTGTAGAGGATCTTTACTAGACACTTTGCCAAATAATTGGAGCAGTACTTGTGCTCTAATCCAATTGGCTATCCCCTTCACCCTGGCATTTCATCCATCTAAAAAGGTAAAAACAAAACACCGCAGGCCAAGGAAAACTCCTTGTAAGTCCTTTAATCCTCAGGTTTATATAAATGCTATTAAGGTCCTGTGAGAACTGCCAAATAATTTTAAAGCACAAAATCAAATAGATGCAAAATTTAAATCCACGTTGTTCTAATAGGTAACTATAAATTAAAAAAAAATTTAACTTCAATTCTCACCTTGTTCGTTCTTATTATTGGTGTACTTATTCTTGTAGACTGTTATATTATTCCCTGCCTTCAAAGTTTTATGCAAAAACTTGTCTCTGCCACTCTTACAGAGTTAACTCCTAACTCTCCTCCACCCTATTCAAAAAAAAATTACTTCTTTTACAGGGACAAAGCAATTAAGTCAAAACATATTAAATAAGTTTGAAGAGAAATTATGAAATAAAAAGAGGGGGAATATTGTAAAAAGTAAAGTAGAGGTTCCTCTTCAAAGACTTTCCTCCCTATCTAATTAGGAATAAATAGTAACTTCTCTTAGAAGCAAAATTTATTCAAAGACCTGTGCTCCTAAGTATTTGCCCTGGCATGCTTATACTGGTCCAAGCAAGCATTAGGTCATAGCCTGTTCCTCTTCCTTATTTAAAAGTGTTTTTACCTTTCTCAGCATTCCACAAGTTACTTCCTCCTTCCTTTGTTCTCCTCTACCTTTGCCTCTTTTAAAAAGCTCTAAGTTGCTAGCCAATCGGGACAAATAAAGAATGTGAGGTCCCGTTCCAGCCAATGGAAACCAGACACAGCAGTAGGGTGGACATGTCAGGTTATAAATGACCCTGTCTCCTTTGTTTGGTGTACTCTCATGGCAAAACTGCTGGCGAGTGTACCCTTTCTGTAGGAAGTAAAAATGGCCTTATTAAATAAATTAAATTTATGTTCAAGTGCTATTTATTTACAGCACTGGGGAACAAGCATTTCAAACAACAGCAAAATAAAAGCACAGCAGGTTTTTCTGAAAGCACTAACCTGCTCTTTAACAAAAAATATAAAAGGTTAAAGAGTCTATAAAAATCTTACCTTATGGTCAGACATTAAAAATCGAATAAGTATGTCTACAAAGTTTTATTAAAACTAAGTTTAACATTAATAACACACTAATATAAAGGTGAAATTTAGCTTATCTGGTATAAAAATCATACAGGAAGCATTGTCAAATATAAAATGATGTTTGGCTTTCTTTGGTCTAAAAACTAATAAAAATGGGTGCGAAAAGAAATTTCTCAGTAAGAAGGCACCAAGGACTATAAAGTCCACTGCTGATGTCCTCACATTTAAAACAAAAGGTCAGTTTCTTAGAAATTATATACTTGGTTTATCTTCCACTTTCCTTTCCCTCAAAACTAAAAGTCTTAGCACAGGTACCACCCCTGGTTTACAGTAAACCAGCACCAGCCTGAAGATCATGATCTCATCAAAGGGTGGAAAGAAGGAAAACTCGAGCTACTCTGGGAAGGACCCTACCTTGTACTGCTAACCACCAAGACTGCTGTTGGTACAGCGAAAAAGGGATGGACTCATCACACCCAAGTCAAGAAAGTGCCACCCCCTCCAGAGTTGTGGGCCATAGTCTCAGGGAAAAACCCTACCAAACTAAAGCTAAGAAAAATTTAACTCTCTTTCACCTCTTCTATTACTCTTTCTTCTTTCCTCACTCTATTGCTGACCATCTAGTTATTAACATAACTAAGTCAATTTCACCTCAAACTATTGGATTTGATGCTTGCCTTGTTACACCCTGTGGGGACTTGCCAAGTCAAAGACAGCTCTCTACTTCAGAAAAGTACCTCTGTCCCTCCTGACTCTCCTCAGACTGGGCATTAGTAAATTAGGACCATTTAATCTGGGGAGATTTCGATAAAGACTCCAGTGTTAACCAGGAGTCTTGCTCCCTGATGTACAGCTTTTATGCAGTAGTTGGTCCAACGTTTTCTGGACCACTAAAGAGCAAGGATGGACTGCCCCAACCAGTTTTTGTAATTTCCTAAAACTATACATTCATTTTACTAGAGGATCATAGAAGTTAAAGACTTAAAACAAACTTTGGCAATTAAGACAGGATACCAAGATGCAAATGCCTGGTTGGAATGGATCAAATATTCGGTCCACATGTTAAACAAAAGCAATTGTTATGCTTTGCACACGGCAGGCCAGAGGCCCAGATTGTCCCTTTTCGACTAAGGTGGTCCTCCAGTTGACAAGGTATGGGCTGCATGGTAGCTCTTTTCCAGGATTCTACAGCCTGGAGTAATAAGTCGTGCCAAGCTCCCTCTCTGCTATATCCCAAAGTCCGGCACCCTGCGAGTGAGACCCCGAGGGCCATCCAGCTTCTGTCTCCCAACACCAAGTTCACTTCGTGTCTTTCACTACAGGGAGGAAACTTAGCATTACTCGGAGACCTGAAGGGATGCAGTGAGCTTAAGAATTTTCAAGAGCTTATCAATCAGTCAGCCCTTGTTCATCCCCAAGTGGATGTGTGGTAGTATTGTGGTGGACCTTTACTGAACACTGCCAAATAACTGGAGTGGCACTTGTGCTTTAGTCCAATTGGCTATCCCTTTCACCCTGGCATTTCATCAACCAGAGGAAGGAAAAAATAAGACACCATAAAGCAATAGAAGCCCCTTATGGGTCTTTTGACTCTCACATCTATTTAGACACAATTAAAGTCCCACAGGGAATACCAGATCAATTTAAAGCCCGAAATCAAATAGCTGCAGGATTTGAGTCAATACTTTGGTGGATGACAATTAATAAAAATGTAGATTGGATAAACTACATCTATTGCAACCAACAGCAATTTATTAACTACACTAGAGATGCTGTTAAATAGCTGAACAATTAGCGGCTGCTAGCGAGACGGCTTAGGAAAATAGGATAGCCGTAGACATGATATTAGCAGAAAGAGGAGGAGTTTGCATCATGATTACAACTCAGTGTTGCACCTTCATCCCAAACAACACCACCCCTAGTGGAAGTATAACAAAGGCACTGCAAGGTCTGACTGCTCTATCCAATGAGCTAGCCAGCAACTTGGGTAAATGGTCCCTTTACAGGATGGCTAGAAAAGTAGTTCAGTAAATGGAAAGGAATAATAGCCTCGATTCTTATTTCCCTTGCAGCGTAATGGGTGTACTTATTCTTGTTGGGTGCTGTGTCATACCATGCATCTGTAAGTTGATGCAGAGGCTCATAAAAACGGCACTTACTAAAACCTCCCTTAACTATCCTCCACTTTATCCAGAGACACTTCTTCTTTGGAAAACCAAGCAAAACAACTAAGCCAAGACATGTTAAAAAAATAAAAAAGTTTGAAAAGAAAGCTGTAAGGAAATACAAGGGGAGGAGTTGTTAGATATGAGTTCTAAATTTCTTTTCAAATAATATGTCAGTATGTTCAATTCTTTGCCTTCTACTTTTAAACTTAACTTCCTCGTAAAGCAACCTTTTTCTATTTCCCACTCCACCTTGACTCATTCTGATCACCTGCTCCACCCTAACTCATTCTGATCACCTGCTCCACCCTAACTCATTCAGATTACCTGCTACCTGCTCTGTCCTGACTCCTGCCAAAGCACTCAACCCGATATTCTCTTTAAATTAGCCAATCGGAATTAGTTTAGCCTCTGCAGTCTAACCCTAACTAACAGGGGAATGACACAGCAGGTGTCACGTGCATCAGGGATAAGAACCCCTTCCCCTCCCTTGTCCAAGTGTGCGCTCACCAGAAGTAACTTGCCTTGCTGAGAATTAAAAAGAAAATTTTATATTTGAGTGCTATTCCTTTTGTGGCACCGAAACTTTATATATAACACATACACAGACACAGACAGACAGACACACACACACACACACAGGCACACACAAACATATATATCTTGGATCTTAGCTTTTAATTAAGCTGATTTTTAACCATTGTGCTCTTTAAAAAAAATCCTTTTAAATCTCATTACCATATTTTGGCTGGGACAAACTGCTGATATTTCAAAAGTAACAAAAATATCAAACCAGAAAGGACTTGATTTAGGAACAAATGCAGGCTGTCTTGTGAAAAAAAGGCAGAAGCTTAGCTAGTGTACTACAACCATTGCTGTTTCAGTTTGGCTTGTCTACTAAAAGGTGGCCTTCTTATGTAAATAAAGCACCACAGGTAATCAAATTCTTGTTTTTTTTTCTTTTCTTTTTTTTTTTTTCCAGCTGCATGAATTTAGCCAATTCAGAGACCTTGTTCCCCATAATTTGGAACTTTCCTTTGGATTTGGCCAAGTCCAGTAGAGTTGGTCAGAAAAATCCCTTCCTACTTCCTGTAAAAAGATTGGAAAGAATTCATTAGAAAATATGCCCAGAGTGTTCTGTTCTTCTTACCAGATAAATTATTTTTCCAGAGTCTAACTTGCTGGGTTTTTTTCTAGACTTTAACCAACCTGTGGGAAGGGAAATATCCAATTACAACACCATCCAGCCTTTTGTGTCTTCAAGGAGAAAACAAAACTGAGAAGCACTAGTGAAAGCTACAGCCCAGGGCACACTGATTCAAGCCTGACACCTAGTCATAGGAGGATAGAACATTTTCCTTCCCTCCACAGCTCACTGCCACATCAATGGGGGAATGAAACTGAAAGAACTGTGAGTGCCAGATCATAGTGAGCAAGTCTCCAAGGAAAACCAAACACAACCAAGGAGGAAAAATGAAGGATACCACAGGGAGGTTTAGCCTCTGACACCTACAGCTACAGCAAACAGTAAACACAGCCAGATGAACATAAAGCCTCACACTAAAGGCCTATTTAACTCCATTGTTTTTATCCATTCCATTACGTCAAATTTGCAACAAAAAATTTCAAACCATAATACACAAGAAACGCAGTGTGAAGAGACAGAGCATTCATTAGAAACAGACTCATATGGTAGAGATATTGTAATAATCTGACTAGGAATTTTTTTTTTTTTTTTTGAGATGGAGTCTCGCTCTGTCGCCCAGGTTGGAGTGCAGTGGCGCAATCTTGGCTCACTGCAAGCTCCGCCTCCTGGGTTCACACCTGGGTTCACATCATTCTCCTGCCTCAGCCTCCTGAGTAGCTGGGACTACAGATGCCCACCACCACACCTGGCTAATTTTTTGTGTTTTTAGTAGAGATAGGGTTTCACCGTGTTAGCCAGGATGGTCTTGATCTCCTGACCTCGTGATCTGCCCACCTCAGCCTCCCAAAGTGCTGGGATTACAGGCGCAAGCCACCATGCCCAGCCCTGACTAGGAATTTAAAACAACTTTGAGGGATGTGCTGAGGTCTCTGAGGAAACAGTAGATAATGTCCAAGAGCAGATAAGTAATATCAGCAGAAAGATAGAAACTCTGTAAAAAAGAGTCAAAAGGAAATGCTAAAAATAAAAAAAAATACTATAACGAAAATGAAGAATGACTTTGATGAGCTGAACAGTAGACTAGGCAGAGCAAAGGACACAACCTGAAGAAATGGCAAGAACAATTTTCCACTTTTTTTGCCATTACATAGAAATATGATTATTGTATATTGAGTTTCTATCTTGTGAGCTTGCTGCACCCACTTGTTTGAGAAGTTATTGTGCAGTTTCCTTGGGATTTTCTGCATAGACAGGGATGTCTTCTGAGGTTAGAAATAGTGTTGTCTAATCCATTCCATTCTGGATGCTGCTTATTTATATTTCTTGTTTGATTTCACTGGTAAGAATCCCACTACATTGCTGAATAGGAGTGGTGAGAGGAGACATACTTTTCTTGTTTATGCTCTTAGGGGAAGGCATTTAGTCTTTCCCTACATTGATATTTGCTCTAGGGTTTGGTATATGTACTCTGTCAGGTTAAGTTCCTCTCTACATCTAGTTTTCTGAGACTTCTGATTATGAATATGTTGTATTTTCTCAATGCTCTTCTCTGCTTTAGTTCAAATCATCATAAGTTTCATTAGTCTGTTGAGATAGTGAATTATATTGCTTAATTATCAAATATTGAACCAGCCTTCCATTTCCCAGAAAAATCCCACTTTTTAGATGTTGCTGTACTCTATTCAAAAAGGTTTTGATGGAGATTTTTCACATCTATGTTTATAAAGCATATTGGCCTCTAATTTTTTCCTTTATATTTCTTTTTTTTCTTTTTTTGTACTGCTGGCCTGGTAATAGCTCAGTAATGTTAACCTGATAAAAAGATTCAGAAAACATTCCATTCTCTTTTATTTGCTGTATTAGTGTCCAGATGAGTGTGACGTTTTCCTTATATGTTTGTAAGATATCTCCAGTGAACATATCTGGGTCTACATATTTAATTTTCAAAAACATTTTTACTATGAAATCAATTACTTTATTAGCTAGAGTACTATTCAGGTTATCCATTTCAGCTAAGATGAGTTCTGGTAGTTTCTGAGTTTAGAGGAAATTTATTTAATTTCATCACCAATTCCATCTCAATTCTTGAATTTTTCTGCATATATTTGTTTTCAGTATTTCATTTTTACCTTTCTAATGTCTGCAGGTTCTGTAATGATAACTCCTGTTTCCTTCCTGATTTGAATAATTTGTGTCTTCTTTTTACTTTGTCTGGATGACTAGAGTTCCATCCATTTTCTTTATCTTTTCAAAGAACTAGATTTTGGTTTCTTAATTTTTTTCCTATGTATTTTCTCTTTTTAATATCAGTTATTGACTTTCTACTTCTGCTTGCTTTGAATTAATTTGTTTTCTTCTTTTTCTAGTTAGTTAAGGTAGAAGCTTAGATTATTTGAGACCTTTAAAAAGTCTTAATCTAAGTGTTAACTGCTGTAATTCTCTCTCTAAACACTGTTTTAGCTTCATCCTACAAGTTGTGATATGTTGCTTTTTCAGTTTAACTTAGTTCTGTGGATTTTTTATTTTGTTGAGATTAAGTGTGATCCTTGAATTGTTGAAGATTGTGTGATTTAGTTTCTAAGTGGTTTCAGATTTTCCTGCTGTATTAATGTTATTGTTTGATTGCAAATTTGATGCCATGAAAGGCCAGAGACCATACTCGGTGATTTCAATTTTTTTTTTTTTTTTTTGAGACGGAGTCTCGTTCTGTCACCCAGGCTGGAGTGCAGTGGCGTGATCTTGGCTCACTGTAAGCTCCGCCTCCCGGGTTCATGCCATTCTCCTGCCTCAGCCTCCCGAGTAGCTGGGACTACAGGCACCCTCCACGCCCAGCTAATTTTTTGTATTTTTAGTAGAGACGGGGTTTCACCGTGTTAGCCAGGATGGTCTCGATCTCCTGACCTCATGATCAGTTTATTGTGTGTTCCACTACTCAGAAGATAATCCAGCTTGGTGAGTGTTGCATGTGTGCTGGAAAAAATGTATTATACATTCTGCTGTTGCTGCTGTCATGATATTTGAATCCATGGGTTGTGAGTGGTCCTGCTCAGGGTTGAGAACTGGGTAATGCTCTATCTCTAGTCCAGTTCTCCAATCCTAGATTAATAGAAAGATTCCTGCATGGGCACCTTGGGTTGATGCAGGAAATTCTATCAAATTTAAAGTGTTCTTTCTTACATTTGCTGCCATTATTGGTTTGTTCTTGTGTTGTTATAAAGAACCACCTGAGACTGGGTAATTTATTTTTAAAAAGAAGTTAACTCACAGTTCTGCAGACTATACAGGAAGCATAGCTTGGGAGGCCTCAGGAAACTTACAATCATGCTGGAAGGTGAAGGGGAAGCAGGCATGTCTTACATGGTCAGAGAAGTGGAAGAGAGCAGCAGGAGGTGCCACACACTTCCAAACAACCAGATCTCATGAGAACTCACTCACTATCACAAGAACAGCAAGAGGGATATCCACCCCCATCATCCAATCACTTCCCACCAGGGCCCCACTCCAACACTGGGGATCACAATTTGACATGAGATTTTGGTGGAGACACAAATCCAAACCATATCATTCTACCCCTGGCCCATCCCAAATCACATGTTCTCCTCACATTACAAAATACAATCATGCCTTCCCAACAGTCCCCCAAAGTCTTAACTCATTCCAGCATTAACTCAAAAGTCCACAGTCCAAAGTCTCATCTGAGACAGGGTAAGTCCCTTCCACCCATGAGCCTGTAAAACCAAAACCAGTTAGTTACTTCTAAGATACAATGAGGGTACAGACATGGACTAAATACTCCTGTTCTAAAAGGGAGAAATTAGCCAAAACAAAGGGGTTACAGACCCCATACAAGTCTGAAATCTAGCAGTGCAGTCATTAAATCTTAAAGCTCCAAAATAATTTCTTTTGACTCTATGTCTCACTTCCAGGCAACACTGATGCAAAGGGTGGGCTCCCAAGGCCTTGGGCATCTCTGCCTCTGTGGCTCTACAGGGTACAGCCCCCTCAGCTGCTTTCACGGGCTGGTGTTGAGTGCCTGTGGCTTTTCTAGGTACATGATGCAAGCTGTCAGTGGATCTCCTATTCTGGGGTCTGGAGGATGGTGGCCCTCTTCTCACAGCTCCACTAGGCAGTGCACCGGTGGGGACTCTGTGTAGGGGCTCCAACCCCACATTTCTCCTTTGCACTGCCCTAGCAGAGGTTCTCCATGAGGGCTGCAGCCCTGCAGCAGACATTTCCATATAGCCTCTGAAATCTATGTAGAGGCTTCCAAGCCTCAACTCTTGCCCTTTATGCTCATGAAGGCTTAACAATATGTGGAGGCTGCCATGGCTTATGGTTTACACCCTTTGGAACAGAATCCTGAGACATATCTGTGGCCTTTTTAGCCACAGCTGAAGCTGGAGTGGCTGGGACACAGGGAGCGATGTCCTGAGGTTGCACATGGTAGAAGGGCCCTGGGCCTGGTGGCAAAATTGTTCTTCCCTCCTAGGCCTCCAGGCCTGTGATTGGAGGGGCTGCCAGGAAGTTCTCTGAAATGCCTTCAAGGCATTTTCCCCATGGTCTTGACAATTAACATTTGTCTCCTCTTTACGTATGCAAATTTCTACAGCCAGCTGGAATTCCTCCCCAGAAAATGGGTTTTTCTTTTCTACCACATGGCTGGGCTGCAAGTTTTTAAACTTTTATACTCTGCTTCTCTTTAAAATATAAGTACCAGTTCCAGATTATCTTTCTCAAGTTCAAAGTTCCATAGATCTCTGGAACAGGGGCACAATGCTTCCAAACTCTTTGTTAACACATGACAAAAGTAACCTTTGCTCTAGTTTTTTTTTTTTTTTTTTTAGATGGTGTTTCACTCTTGTTGCCCAGGCAGGAGTACAAGGGTGTGATCTCGGCTCACTGCAACCTCCGCCTCCCGGGTTAAAGTGATTCTCCTGCTTCAGCCTCCCGAGTAGCTGAGATTACAGCGTGTACCACCGTGCCCGGCTAATTTTGTATTTTTAGTAGAAATGGGGTTTCTCCATGTTGGTCAGGCTGGTCTCGAACTCTTGACCTCAGGTGATCTGCCCGCCTCAGCCTCCCAAAGTGCTGGGATTACAGGCATGAGCCACAATGCCCGGCCTGCTCTAGTTCTTAGTAAGTTATTTATTTCCATCTGAGACCTTCTCAGCCTAAACCTCATTGACCATATCACCATCAGCATTTTGGTCACAACAAATTAACAAGTCTTTAGGGAGCTCCAAACTTTCCCTCATCTTTTCTTCTTCTGAGCCCACCACACTCTTCCAACCTCTGCCTATTACCTAGTTCCAAGTCACTTCCACATTTTCAGATATCTTTATAGAAATACCCCACTCTCAGTACCAATTTTCTGTATTGGTCCATTCTCACATTGCTATAAAGAACTACTTGAGACTTGGTAATTTATAAATAAAAAAGGTCTAATTAACAGGCTGTACAAGAAGCATGGCTAGGGAAGCCTCAGGAAACTTACAATCATGGCAGAAGGCAAAGGGGAAGAAGGAATGTTTTACACGGTCAGAGAAGGAGGAAGAGAGAGCAGGGTGAGGTGCCACACACGTCCAAATAAGCAGATCTCATGATAACTCACTCACTATCATGAGAACAGCAAGGGGGAAATCCACCTTCATGATCCAGTCACCTCCCATCAGGTCCCCCCTCCAACACTGGGGAATCACAATTTGACATGAGATTTGGGTGGGGACACAAATTCAAACCACATCAATTATTCTCAGTGATCTTCACCATGTCCACTGGATCCCAGGGAACGCCCTCTGACCTTCTCACTAGAAGGTGGGTCTTTTGTCTACTCATACTATTGTGCATTTCCCTTTAAAGGGCTTGGTTAGGAAACTAGGAAGCAGGAAGATAGAGTAAAATAACAATAGGAATTCCTCTGATACTTGTTTTTTCCTCCAGCTCCTTTCAATATTTTTTTCTCTTTGATTTTCTACAGTTTGTCTATGATTTGTGTAGATGTATACTTTTTAGTTTTTATCCTACTTGGTGTTCTATGAGATTCCTAGACCTGTGAATACATGTCTGTCATTAATTTGGGGGCATTCTCAGCCATTGCCAATTCAAATATTTCTCCTGTTCCTTTCTTTCTTTCTTTTCCTTCTGGTATTTCAATTATACATATTTATACCATGTGTAATTGTCACACAGTTCTTGAATATTCTGTTCTGTCTTTTTCCTTTCTTTTTTCTCTTTGCATTTCAGGTTTGAAAATTTATATTGACATTTCATCAGGCTTGTGCTTGTTTCCTCAGCCCTGTCCTGTCTATTGATGAGCCAATCAAAGGCATTATTCATTTTTGTTACAGTAGGGGTTTCTTTCTTTTCTTAATAAAAGATACATAACATGAAATTGACCTTCTCAACCAGTTTTTGTTTACAGAGCAGTGATATTTAAGTACATTCATATTATTATGCAACCATCTACACCATTCATCTCAAGAACTCTTTTCTCTGGCACAACAAACACTATAACCATTAAACAATAGCTCCCCATTCACTTTTCCCAACTCCCCTAGCAACTACCTTTCTAGTTTCTGTCTCTATGAATATGACCACTCTAAGTATCTCGTGTAAATGGAATCATGCAGTATTTGTCTTTTTGTTATTGATTTATTTCATTCAGCATAATATCTTCAAGGTTCATGCATGTTGTAATGTATGCTAGAATGTCCTTCCTTTGTAAGGCTGAATAAGTTTCCACTGTATGCATATACCACATTTTGCTTCTCTATTCATTTAGCAATGGACACTTGGGTTGCTTCTACATTTTAGCTATTGTGAGTAATAATACCATATTTTTCAGTACACAAAAATGTAGGTCTGTGTATTTGTTTATTTTGGACACATACTCAGAAGTGAAATTGTTGAATTATATAGTAATTCTACTTTGAATTTTTTGAGAAATCACACAGGGTTATGCATAACAGTCATATCATTTTACATTCCAGAAGACACAAATGTTCCAATATCACCACGTTTGCCAACACTTATTTCCTGACTTGTTGATGTTTCATTTTTTAAAAAAAATAGTAGCCATCTTAGTGAGCGTGAGGTGGTATATCGCTATGGTTTTGAGTTGTATTTCCCTAATAATTAGTTTCATTAAGTATCTTTTCATATGCCTACTGCCCACTTCCATAGCTTTTAAGCAGAAATTTCTAATCAAATACTTTCCACAGTTTTGAATTGGTTTGTTTTCTGTTGTTGTTGAATTTTAGGAGTCCTCTATATATGCTGCATGTGCATCTCTTATCAGATATATGATTTGGAAATATTTGTTTCTGGTCTGTGGATTGCATTGTGGTTCTCTTCCTAATATCTTTTCATGCACAGAAGTTTTTAATTTTTATGAAGTCCAATAGGTATACATTTTCTTTTACTGATGGTTTTATAGTATTTTCAACTTCTAGCATATCCTTTTTGACTCTGCTTCAAAGAGTTTACATCTCTCTGCCTATATTACCAACCTATTTTTGCATGCTATTCACTTTTTCCATTAGAGCCCTTAGCATATTCACCATACTGGTATTAAATTGTCAGACTGATAATCCAACATCTCTTCCGTACCTGAGTCTGTTTGATATTTAGTCTCTTCAAACTGGGTATTTTCTTTTTTTATAATGCTTTGTAACTCCTTTTTCAGTTGAAAGCCAGACATAACGTACTAGGTAAATGGAATTGAGGAAAATAAGCCTTTATAGTTACAGTTTATTTTTGTCTGTTTAGGAGTGCAACTGTGTTTACGGTTTCCTGGAGCCATAGGTTTCAGAGGTTAAACTTTCTGCTCTTGTGTTGAGTTTCCCTAGATATTTATTCTTAAATGAAATCTGAGATATGAAGTTGTTTCAGTGCTATTCCCCTGCTATTACACAGGAGTCCTACTGACATACTGGTAAGGTGTGGCAAAGAGGAAGTGTTCCACAGACCTATGAGTAAGTCTCAGTCTTTTTATTGGCCTGTGCCCTGGGCTGAGACCTGCAAAAGTGCTACTCATTACCACCTTCCAATCTTCTCACACTTTTTTGGACAAAATCTCTTGTTTGAGAGTAGGATTCCCCTCCTTGAGATTTTTAGATGCTTTTCCAGCTGTGGTTGATGCTGCAGCCACAGGATACAGATTCAGGACTGGAGCTAATCTGTGAGCTGGGCCAGCAGGATCCAAATGTTCTTTCCCTCATTCCCTGTATACTGTATGGGCCTGCCTTCCTAGCTCTTGGGCCATAGACAGAGACCTGTTTCATAAAACTCTTTTTGTCCACACCTCATGTGCAATTTAGAAATTTGGGCAGCCTTTGAGTTCAGTCTTGGAGATAGAGGAGGAAAAAAAAGCACAAAAATTTTACCACCATACTGATTTTACTTCAACTTCTAGTTTCTTTGCCCAAACCTCCTGGTACCATTTACTTTATAGAAGCATGAACTTTTGGTATGAGAAGAGATTTGGATTTACAGAAAAGTTGCATAGAGAAAACCAAGGATTTATTTCACAAAATTGGTGAAAAGATAGAATCTATCTCAACGGTGAGTGATGAGGAATATATTAGATGTTTTAAAAAGCATTGAGAAGAGTCCCTGAGATCTAAGAAACACTCAAGCAAGCTTGTCCATTATGATTCCTCTCAGTAGTGTCCTGATCTGAACTTCCTGGAGTGTGAGATGGAGGGGCTGGATGGATATGCCAGATATGGGGCATATGGACCAAATGGGGGACCCCAAACCACTAAATCTGGTCCAGTATCTCACTAACGGGGAACTCACAGGACTCACCATATAGTCCTACCCATGACTACAACTTATTACAGTGAAAGGGTACCAAGCACAATCAGCAAAGGGAAAGGGTGCACAGGGAGAAGTGCAGGAGACCAGACACAGGTTTCCAGAGTCATCTCATCTCCCAGTAGGGTCACACAGAATGCACTTAATTCCCTCACAACAAGGTGTGACCACACATGTAAAATGCTGCCAACCAGTGGAGTTCAGTAAAACCTCATCACCCATGAGTTGAACTTGGGCTGGTCACACAAGTGGTTCTTCCCAGGCATGGACCAAAATTCCAGACTCCCAGGAGGAAAGCACTGTGCAGCTTTTTGTTTCCATACATAGTTTAGGTATAATGAGTTCTGAGAAAAGTGAAATCCCTCCCAAATCCAAGTCCTCAGAATCCAGCCAATGGACAACGTTGAAAGTAATAGGCTGTTCTAAGTAGAGGAATGAAGCCTGCTGTGTGCAGTCTTTTCTGCACAGTGCACCCCATTGGTCAAGGCATATTACAGGAAATTATCAATAGGACCGGACACAGCAGGGTGTAATCAAGCTGCATACAGATATCACTTATGCCTGTTAGGAGTCCTGGATTGAACCAGTCAACACAAACCCCATTAACCACACAGGACTATCTTAGACAACCAAATGGCTCCCTCCTTAAATTTTAGTACAAATGGTTTCCTTTTACCTAGCCGAGGGCATCAATTCAGGTAGAATACAACTCTGGTCAGTAAGTTGGAGCTGATCTGAAAGTCATCCAGGCCTGAGGCAGTGTCATGACAGGCAGGGCACACAGGATGTACAATACATGAGGGCACACATGGTGTCCCTGCACACACCAAGTGTACCATGGTTTGGGCACCCCAAGAGAGTGTACCTAAGTCAGGAAGCACAGGACATCAAGGCCTCATTGTGGCCTTCCTCTGTGGCAGCTGCTGCCAGCCACGGGGTATCCAGTACAGGCCACATAATCCAGTTCAGTCCCTGGTTTCATTGCAGACAATTTGGCTTGTCCATGACTACTGTGGATGACAACTGCAGGTGCTCCGTGGGGAACATGGAGGGGCTGGAGCCACCGCCTCTCTCCCCTAGTCAGTGGGGTCAGGTATGGCGTCAGGTATGGGCTCAGGTGAAGCTGTCAGTTTGGAGTCACAGAGCTTGCAGCAGCTTGCAAAGGCAGCATGGGGAGTTTTCCTTCAGCAAGGGAAGAAACCTTCCAGGAACAGTTCTGCAACACTAAGACCACAGTGCTCTCCCTCTCACCTCCACAGATATCTTGTGTTTTTCTCCACCCTTATAAAATCAACGTGGCTCACTCAGTAATAAAAACTTTACATTCCCTCAATCACTCATACCTTCTCTCAGGCCTTCTCACCTAGCAAGGCTGTATGTAACAGGGACAAAAACACTGTCATAAAACAAGATGTGGACAGAAAAACCCATCATATTTAAAATCCTGCATTTTGAAAAGATTTCAAAATGGGTTTACATATCCCTTTCCATCCCCCCTATTTATGCAGTGAGCAGAGCAGAAAAAACTCATCCCTTCCTGGGCATCGCTGCATTTGATGACCCCATTGCCTGGCATGTGGACCAGGAGGAGAGAGAGGAAGTGAAGTCAGGCTGTCCATCTGCTATACCAACCTGTAACTGATGTAGGTTGTCAAACACGAGTCACCAGCAGTGGGCATCCCAGAGAAGGGGTTCGAGACTGATCCGTCATGAGTGGGCAGAGGGATCACAGTCTCTGTGGGGTGCCCTCTCCCGATGTGCAGCTTTTGGCCACCATGACTGGTTAGAAGTGCAATCCGCCTGAATCAGAAATACAGTGCCCATGAGCAGTCCCACTCTAGTGGGTCCCACCTGAGAACAAGCCCTAAATCATGGGCATCTGCAAGAGATGTGGATGGCCCAGGGCTGCATGCAGGTTGCAACAGTTTTGAACCCCATGGAGTAGGGCCCAGAACAATCAAGATTCCAGTGTCAAAGACTAATTTATTGCATTGAGCTACGCCTGCTTTCTATCCAGCACAGCTTGTGGCGAGTCTGAAACAGCTCAGGGTGGACAATTTGGGTTTTAACTTAGAGTCAAGCCCAGCCTGTTGAGATCTGTGAATTCAGAATCCAAAACAGTCAGGGGGGTTTCTCCAGCACAAGAAAGCCGAGATGCTGCAAGGCCAGACAACATCAGCATTCCATGTCCCCGTGAGATGCCTGCCTGGTGTGCTTTCCTAAGGCCTTTTGGCCTTGTCCAAACAGACCCCCTCAAATCATGCAACTCAGCTCAATCATCAGCCTCTAAGGGTCAGATATCTGAGTTCATAAGAGCTCATTTCACACTGTGTGCGCCTGGGGGGGTTGATCAAGGAAAATGATAGGACCACCAGAGGCTGTACCACACAAAGCAGCTTTATTGGGTGGTGATTGGATAGGGTGCTGGGGAGGGGATATCCTCAGAGCAGAGGGCTGTCCAGAGTTTATAGTTCAGGGGTCACCATCAGACATGTAAGAAGGCAGGAGAACTGCTGGAGGAGGTGGGAATTGGATAAGGGCCTTACAGGTCTAGCTGCTGTGTATCAGTAGCTGGACAAAGTGGCTTTGAGGTCTCCTAACCACAAGGTTCTATCTTATCTATGGTTAGCAGATGTGGGGTGAAGTTTAGCAGGGTATGGAAGCCAGGTAGGCTCTGAATGCCTAACAATCTGCTTGGCAGTGCCATGTTTCAAACGATCAAACGTGTGAAAAATTGAGTTTTGTGCTGGTGGGCTTCGGAGCCAACAGGTCTCAGTCTTGTGAAGAAAAAGAGTAGAGAAACACCAGCGGTACTGCAGGATAGCCGAGGAGCCTCAAGGCCAATCAACAGCAACATCCCATGTCTAAACGACAACCAAGGCATTCATCCAGCCTAGGGATTACACACAGGTCATCTTTGGTACGTGTATATAACACAGGCTGAAAACTGCTTTTAAATCTCTGAGGATGTATCTCCACCTGAAGATTGCTTCTCTTTTCCATGTGGACTTCCTTTCTCCAGGGACCCCAAGAGGCAAGAATTATCACCTACAGAGACATGTTCTAGTTTCCATACTTGAAAAGCTTAGCACACACACACACACACACATACAGAGAGAGAGAGAGAGAGAGAAGGCAAATCCAAGCACTAAATATCGATTGAGAATTTTAATACTACAATTCCTCACAGACAAGCTTTTCTATGAAAATCATTTAAGATATTGTAGAAAAGAAAACCAGTGTAAACCACTAGCATCCAGATGTTCCTGTCTACAGAGGGGGAGGAAAGCTGGCTGTTTAGGAAAGCTAGCACAGCCTCCTTTAGAAAGCTCCATTAACTCAGGGGCTTGAGTGAAACAACCTACACAAGAGGCCACTGCTGTGAACTAGCCTCCTGTCCTAAGCCCCAGCTGACCACACCCAACCAGAATGGGGTCACTTGTGCTGAGTGTTAAGTAATGATCCTGAACTTTCCAATGGGGAAAAACAAAAAACAAAACAAAACAAAAAAACAGAATCTTCCCATTAACCTGAGTCCCTGAGTCAGCGGAATATCTTCTTTAACCCTAAATGGAACATAAATTCAAAATGACTAACCTGCTTTCTTTTTTTTTCTGTTTCTGCTTCTTTCAGCCCTTTTCTGCCTTCAAAGCCAACCTCCTCCTCTCGGTTGATTGGCACACTCATTCTATTTTATAGAATGTGCTGTTGCCCAATTCTAGTATTGCAAATAAAAGCCAGTTTGATTTTTAAATTGATTTGCTGTTATTTGTTCTTTTAGCAGTTTCTGGCAACCCATGATAGGACCCAAAAGGCACTGCTGATGACTCTGGAGACCCCTTGACAAATGCAGGGGAGATGCCGCTGACAGCTTTTGAGTCCCCTTTCACTCTCACAGACACAAGGGTTATAAGTTCCTCTAGGGTCACATTTTTGTATTGATTCCCCTGATACTTTTGGCTCTTGATTCCAGGATTCATGTGTCCGGTGAGAGAGCACATGAGTTTCTTGGGGGTTTGTGGGGCTGACAAGTCACTGACAAGACTTGCAGTTTTAAAGGTAACTGATGGTGGGAGAAGCTTACCACATGCAGTGTGTGACTCTGGCTTTTGGAAATTTGCAGAGATTTGGTTCTTCCAGTTCCTTTTGGTGTGTGTGCATAGTATGAGAGATTCATTGGCTACATTAGTCAAGGGGACCTCAGAGTCACAGCCATGATCTGACTGGTGGGCATGGTTTAGGCACTTAGGAGCGATTAGAGCACTCACCACCTGTAAATAAGACATCCATGTTAGGATCAGCTGGTCATGAAACAAGTTTAATACCATGTCACCCACCAACTTCAAGACAGCATCCATGCGGGAAGGTTCACTAGAAAGCAATCCAGGACCCAATCCCAAGGCATTTCCTTCTTAGACTTTGATGTCAGCTCTGAAAGACCCAAGAGTCAACATAAAAATGAGACCTTGGCCATTTGTGTATCTTCTTTTGAGAATCATCTATTCATGTCCTTATGCAAATCAAAACCACAAGGTGATACCACCTTACTCCTGCAAGAATGGCCATAATCAAAAAATCGAAAAACAGTAGATGTTGCCGTGGATGCGGTGATCAGGGAACACTTCTACACTGCTGGTGGGAATGTAAACCAGTAAAACCACTTTGAAAAACAGTGTGGAGATTCCTTAAAGAACTAAAAGTAGAACTACCATTTGATTTAGCAATCCCACTACTGGGTATCTACCCAGAGGAAAAGAAGGCATTATACAAAAAAGATACTTAGATACGCATGTTTGTAGCAGCACAATTCGCAATTACAAAGTCGTTGAACCAACCCAAATGCCCATCAATCAACGAGTGGATAAAGAAACTATGAGATATATATATATATATCTCATATATATCTGATATATATGAGATATATATAGATATATAGATGATAGATAGATAGATAGATAGATAGATAGATAGATAGATAGATAGATATATGATGGAATACTACTCAGCCATAAAAAGGAATGCATTAACAGCATTCACAGCAACTGGGATGAGATTGGAGACTATCATTCTAAGTGAAGTAACTCAGGAATGGAAAACCAAACATCGTATGTTCTCACTGATATGTGGGAGCTAAGCTATGAGGACTCAAAGGCATAAGAATGATGCAATGGACTTTGGGGACTTGTAGGGGAAGGGTGGGAGGGGGTGAAGGAAAAAAGACTACAAACGTGGTGCAGTGTATGCTGCTCAGGTGGGTGCACCAAAATCCCACAAATCACCACTAAAGAACTTACTCATGTAACCAAACACCACCTGCACCCCAATAACCTATGGAAAAAACAATTTTTACTGAGATCTTTACTTTCCAGAGACCTGTGTCCTCCACCTTCTGGCTATATTTGCTTTTTATGTGTATAAGTATTAGGCAGCAGAATCTGCAAGCTCTTTAAAAAATGGCACAATCTTAATAAGGATAATTTAGACTTACAATGGCCATCATGTGAACATTTCAGATGAACAAGGTTGTTCACCCCAAAAATGTGCTTAAAAATTAGGCCTCCTCCTCCAGCTCCATCCATGTCCCTGCAAAGGACATGGTCCCATTCTTGTTTATGGCTGCATAGTATTCCATGGTGTATTTTCTTTATCCAGTCTCACTGATGGATATTTAGGTTGATTCCATATTTTTGCCATTGTGAATACTGCTGTAATGATCATACACATGCATGTGTCTTTATAGTAGACTGATTTATATTCCTTTGGGTAAATACCCAGTAATGGGATTGCTGGGTAAAATGGTAGTTTTGTCTTTAGGTCTCTGACGAATTGCCACACTATCTTCCACAATGGCTGAACTAATTTACAGTCCTACCAGCAGTGTATAAGTGTTTCTCTTTCTCTGCCACCTCACCAGCATCTGTTGTTTTGTGACTTTTTATTAATAGCCATTCTGACTGCTATTAGATGATATCTCATAAAATCCAGAACTAAAAACCCTGGAAGACAACCTAGGCAATACCATTCAGGACATAGGCATGGACAAAGATTTCATGATGAAGTTGCCAAAAGCAATTGCAACAAAAGCAAAAATTGACAAAATCTAATTAGACTAAAGAGCTTCTACACAGCAAAAGAAACTATCAACAGAGTAAACAGAAAACCTATACAATGGGAGAACATTTTTGCAAACTGTGTATCTGACAAAGGTCTAATATCCAGCATCTATAAGGAACTTAAACAAATTTACAAGAAAAAAACAAACAATCCCGTTAAAAAGTGGGCAAAGAACATGAACAGACACTTTCAAAAGAAGACATGCATGCGGCCAACAATCATATGAACAAAAAAAGCTCAAGATCACTGATCATTAGAAAAAAGCAGTTATTTTAGATTCTATTAGAATCAACAAGGTCTTTCAATTATCAAACTTGACTCTCAATTGTTGATTTCAATGGAATAATATGTATCCATCATATTAGAAAAAGACACTTTGCTTCTAACAAAGTGTCAAACAATGTTTCTGCAGATATCGATCTTGTTAAAAACAAGAGTGTTTACCACAATATGTGGACAATTACTGAAATAAAGATCCAAATTACCTGTCAAAAGAAAGTTAGGCCTCCTGAAATAGGCCCCCACACGGATGACTATTCATGTGCACAAACTTCTAAAAAGATTTTTTTAAGCCTTGCCTCTTTAAGAAATCCCTTATAGAAAACAAATGCAAAGTTTAAGTAGGTAATTAACAGGAAAATGGAATCTGCCAACATTTTCACTTAGTTACTTTCCTGCTCCAAAGATAGAAAGGAAGCTAGATAAGGCGTTTATAAGTTAAGTCGAGGACAAGCAGGCTTGGTTCTTTTTCAGAACTATCCATGCTGATGATTCCAGCTATAGAAAATGCTTTGCCTGCACTATTCCTTAATGAACATTGCCTTAAACTCGGTCATTTAGTTGAGAAACAGAAGCTGAGTTGAAAATACCACACATCGAACTAAATCAGTCTCCAAAATACGACTTTCTGGCATTTAGAAAATCACCAGAAATTCTTGCAGTGGGAGAAAGTATTGCTTTAGACAAGCCTCACCTTTTACCATTTTGTCTTTACTGGACTTCCTAACTGTTCCTTTTCAGTCTGGCAAGTAAAGGAACTCAGTCCTGAAATCTAAGTCCTGTGCCTTTGACATGTAAGTTTCCTACTTTGATTTACCTAAGAACTATCCCTTTTGAGATGCAAATTTAGGATAATTTTTCTTTCTTAAAAATTGGATGAATTAAAACGACAGTAATGCAGTTAGAAAAAAGGTTAAATCTAGTAATAGTTGAATGGACCAGAGAAACTCTCTGCTAGTTCCCCAACTTTGCAGTACCCCAAACAAGTGTGCTCTGTTTCTCCCTTTCTGTAAAAATTTTAAAAACCACAAGGCAGAGATGACAAGGTAAGAAGTGCTCAGGTAAGAATTGCTCAGGGCAACAATCAGGTAGGTGGATCAAGAATAGGGCAAGGGTCCCTTGATTCAACCCCCTCACTGGAGTGGGTAAAATGGTCAGGGGATGAAGAAGAGACATCCTCAGAGTAACTGATGTGGAGGGAAGATTAATGGTCTCTTAGAAGAACAGATGGTGGTTTGTGAGGAGGTCTGTCTGGGTGTAATGTCGACTTCTGACCTCCTATTATGTGATAAGAGTCATCTTCAGAGGACTCATGACAGTTGAGTTCCTTTTGAAGGATCTGTCTTTAGATAGATAAGGGGAATTCAGAGAGCCTTGCCTTACATTTTGCTATTCTTCAACAGCCTTAAGCTCAAAGTGATTAGTATACCAAAGCAACGCATTGTAGGTTGGCATTTTATGAACTCCTCCAATAGCTAGCTTTGCTTAATGAGCAATTGAATTGTTAAGAATGAGTAAATTAGGTAAATATAAATGGAATAAACTTTATAAGTAAGCTTTCCATAGTTTCAAAAATATTTTTCCACATGGCCACATAAGAGGGTAACAACACATACTAGGGCCTATTGGAGGGTAGAGGGTGGGAGGAAGGAGAGGATCAGGAAAAATAACTAATGGTACTAGGTTTAATACCTGGATGATGAAATAATCTGTAAAACAAGCCCCCATGACACAAGTTTACCTATATAACAAACCTGCACATGTACCCCTGAAAGTAAAATAAAACTTGAAAAAAAAATCTTGTTTCATCACTGGGCATCTTAATATTATGTTATGTTAAATGAAATAATAGATAGTCATAAAATGTCTAAGTCATTCCTAAGCAAGTTAAATTATTGAAACATTAATTGCTGAACATAAATATAAAGTATCGATACTTTGGAAGCTTATTTTTATAGGTATAGTGAAGTTTAATATATTTGAGTCTGTTGTTAAACAAAAAAATTGTGATATGAAAAGTATATCTATAAAATGTTAGCATATGACAGTTCAAAATTGCCTCCTGTATAGTTTCACATAAAAATTAAGATCATAAGGGATTTTGAAAATTCTAACATGTGGTAACTAAAACTAAAATAAAGGAAAACAACTCTATAAGTGAGGAAAGGAAGGCATATCTTATTTTAAAAAAAGGCATATGTATGATGCTGTGTTTGCCTTAAGGGAAAAAGAGAACAATTTTTACCCTAAAATAGAATGACTGATTGTTCCACAATGTGAAAAAGTATATGAAAGACCAAAGAGATACAAGAACATAATAGGATTGTGAAAAGAATTTCATGTGGGGTCAAGCATGCTAAAACGGAATAAATTTATTATAAGAGGTTTTTTTGAATGAGCTTTAATATCAAAAGTACCCTGATGCAAAACTAGAATCGGGTCTTTGCTTTTGAAAATGGGTATTTCCTTGGAGTGTTGATAAGAGACTAGGAAACATTTTCATATCCTTTCAGTGATCTACCTAAGGAACAAAAAAATAATAAATTCAGTGTTTTGTCAGGATTTTTTTGTCGTCTTTTATAAGGTATTTTGTCTTTTTATGGGTCTTTTATCAGGTATTTTGATTTTTTTAAAAAAAATTAGTCTTATAAATCTTCAGAGACCTAAGTCTTTTGAAAGCTATGTAACATATCTGTATTTGTCTTTGTTTCATAATGATTGGTGATACTGTTTAGTGAAGTGCTTTAAACCTTGTGACATCTTTCAAAAACTTCTCAAAATCATATCCTAAATTAAGTCTTTCTTGATCCTAAATTAATGTTAGAACATTCCAAAGGGCTCCTAAACCTCTTCAAAGGAAGGGAGATATTAAACCAATTAGGCTTATTTGATAAGTTAAATTATTGGGACACATTGTCAAATAAAAAGTGATATTTAACCTACTTTGACTCTATTTTTATAGATGTCACTAATATGCACTCCAAAAGTTGCATGAGATTCCTAGAAAACTGATACGTTATCAGTCATCATTTCAGCCATTATGTTAAAATGTTGTATGTCACAGAAATAACCAAATTTCCTTATCAACAGTGTCATCATTATAATGCACTCTCATCAGATTTTTATTATTATTATTACACTTTAAGTTCTAGGGTACACGTGCACAACATGCAGGTTTGTTACATAGGTATACATGTGTCATGTTGGTTTGCTGCACCCATCAACTAGTCATTTACATTAGGTATTTCTCCTAATGCTATCCCTCCCCCAGCCCCCGACCCCCGAACAGGCCCCAGTGTGTGATGTTCCCCACCCTGTGTCCAAGTGTTCTCATTGTCAAATTTCCACCTAAGAATGAGAACATGTGGTGTTTGGTTTTCTGTCCTTGTGATAGTTTGCTGAGAATGAGCTCATCAGATTTTAAACCATGACCATTTCGAGTCTTGTCACCCACAGTTAATTATTTTTGAATGCTTTTTCAAGCAACTGTAATCCTATTTTTTTTCCTCTTTTTTTTTTTTTTTTTTGAGATCGAGTCTCATTCTGTCGCCCAGGCTGGAGTGCAGTGTCGTGATCTCAGCTCACTGCAACCTCCACCTCCCAGGTTCAAGTGATTTTCCTGCCTCAGCCTCCTGAAAAGCTGAGAATACAGGAGCCTGCCACCACGCCCAGCTAATTGTTGTATTTTTAGTAGAGACAGGGTTTCACCATTTCGGCCAGGCTGGTCTCGAACTCCTGACCTCAGGTGATCCACCCGCCTCGGCCTCCCAAAGTGCTGGGATTACAGGCATGAGCCACCACGCCTGGCCCAGCAACTGTAATCCTTAAGTGCTTTGTCTTCAAAAAGACTCATGGAAAAGATTCTGAAAAGTACAGGATTCTGGTAACTTTAAGATCATACCATTGGACTTGATAAGAATGTCCATAAATCTAATGAAGAAACTGATGACTTCATGAAACCATTGCTCCAACATCAAGCAGAACAAGAATTAATTACACGGGAATAAATGAACTGATGAGGATAATGTTTTCATATTTTTTATTTTGGAATTTTCTTGCTTCTTTATTTTAATGTTTTGTTTTCCAGATTTAAGGAAACTTCTTTATTTTAAGGTATCTAGGGCTCACTATAATTTGGTAAAGTATAATTTTGTGAACAAAATTGAAATCATTTAATTTTTCTGTCTACTTGGTCCCTCTAGGAATCAGAAACAATATATATATTTTCTAGTTTTTATGGCGATATTGTTTGCATAAGTTCAATCACAATCTGCTCTCTTTATAACAGGATACAGTTGGCAATACTAGTTATATTACCAAGACAGTCACTGGGACACCACATTTGGGAAAGTCCATAGAATTCATGGCTTTGAGGGTTCCTAGCCTTATACTGAGTGAGAAAAAAAAGTCACTTCCTGAAGGCCCAGGGACCTCAAAATATTTTGGGGACCCGGAGAAGAGAGGAATTCACCCAAATCTGTATAGCAGGCAGTCTGAAGTCTGCCTTGGTTTGGCTTCCTAGCATGAAGAGGCTTTGAAAAGTGTAATCTGAGAATCCTTATTAAAAGCTCCAGCAGAGCAACCTTTAAAAAGAGCTTATTTGGCTAATCACAATCTTTACTGCGCTTAAGTAAATAATCAGGCCAAGTTTGATGATACTAAACTTATTTTGCTATCAAAATAGTCATACTCTGATTATCTTTCTTAGAAACGGGGATGACCGAAGACAGAAAAAATATGTTTTGGGAAAATTTAAAAAAAAAACTATTGTGCACCTATTATTAGACTGTATCTCTGTTCATTGTTTTTGAGTTATTATTATCTATTTGTAGACCATACTTGATTCCAAATTGTTCTAGTTTTCTCCATTACCTGGCTACAATTCCTGTACTAACAACAAAATCTGCTCCATTCCTCTATAGGCTGGAGGTGAACCCCTCAATGTAAGTGTCAAGGGACAACATTCCTGCCTGATATGTGAGCCAATCAGGAGTTCACTACAATCCGTGAAGCCATAACCAGGGACATTCAAACTGCAAACCAGGGTAAGAAGTTGATGACTTCAGAGTTTCAGTCATGATGGTTAACTAGACACAGCCAGGAGGATCATCTGCCACTGAGAGACTAGGACATATGGAAGACTGTCACACTCCAAGCAGATCTTCAGAGGGAAAGCACTGAGAGTGGATGGAGATGGGATGCAGATGCTGGGCTGAAGGGGGAGGAAGCTGGGAACCCTGCACAAGGCTACCATGCACCGGGACTCATTCCTGGCAACCAGCGACAACTGGGGAAGGGGTGAGTTAAACAGGCAGGGAGTGGTCTGCTCTTGCCATAGACATGAGGAATCCTAGCAGCAGGAGACCCCACAACCCCCACAGGCACTTGAGCTGGCAGGGAGAGCTACTTAGAGAGGTGGTAGGGTCAATACTCCAGCCTGTGCAGAGCCCAGATGGTTTGGTGCTGAAATATCTGCAGTGGAGAACCACCAGGGATGCCCATTCCACAAGGCTCACCATTTTCCTCTAGAAGACTTTAGCCTTGGGGCGACTGTCGGACCTGGACAGACCAGCATGATATTGCCTGTGACATGGGACCTGTCCAATCTGAGTGCCACCCTGTCTGCTCTCATCTCCCAGGGCCCCAGCCTAGCCTTGCCTGCTTGCAGTACAGCCTGGGATGCCCTACCACAGTGCTTCCCGGGGTCTTTATCGTAGTTCCTTCACCAGCAGAACATGTTTGATAACTGCAGCAGAGTGGCCCCCATCAAAGTGTCCCAGCCCACCTGTACACTCTCCCCACTGCAGCCTCCCCCACACCACTTTGCTGGCATATACTCACCCACAGCCACCACCATACCACTTTGCTTATGCACACATGCAGGCAGACCTCAACTCCCCTCCTCAGCTGATATGCATATGAGCAAACAGGATGTCATGCCACTGCTGCTGGCGTGAGGACATCCCACCACACCACCTGCTGACGTGTTGGCACCTAGATATCTTGCCACTTCTGGCGTGAATGTGCAAACGTATGCTGGCAACACCAGCCCCCCTCCCCCGTGCCGCCACAGGTGTGAACATAGGCATGGACACCAGCAGCTCTGCCCCACCACCTTGCACTGCCACCTCTACTGGTGCAAACACACTCATGGAAGCCAGCAGCTCCAGGCCCGCCTGTGTCCCACCCCTGCTGTTGCCAACATTGGCATGAGTGGACACATGGACTCCAGCAACCCTGCCCCTGTCGACATCCCATACCTTGTCATACCACAGCTGCTGCCACTGCCATGAGTATACACTATAATGCCTCAGCCTTGTTCCTGCTAGTACTCAGCCTCAGCCATGGTGCATGTACCATGCTGTGTTTCTGTGGCTGCTAACATGTGTAAGGAGGCAAGGATCCCAATGTCACTTCCCTAACAATGTACTTCAGCCAGCACCACTCATGGGAGTGTGGTGACCAGCAGACCAGCAACACCTCTTCTCCTCCAGCATGGCAGGTTGCTAACCTTGAGCAGCTGGAGAACAAAGCTAGGGGCCCAGTCTCAGCCCCCCACAGTTAGAGCCCACAATTCATGGGTGCTGAGCTAAGCCTTGGCCTCCTAAAATCATCCAGAAATGAAGCCAGTTGACTGCACACACTTGATACCACAATCAAACCCTTAAGAGCAAAAAAGAAGATAAATGCAAAAAAAAAAAAATCCGAAGTACAGTAACTTCAAAGACTAAAGGAACACCAGCCCACACAGATAAGAAAGAAACAGTGCAAGAACTCTGGAAACTCAAAAAGTCAGAGCTACACTAGGTCCCCAGCAATAGTTCCTAACCAGGCTGAAATTGCTGAAATGACAGACATAGAATGCAGAATATGGTTAGGAATGAAAATCATCAACCTTCAAGAGCAAAACTCAATCCAAGGATTCTAAGAAATGCAATAAAACAATTCAGGAGATGAAAGATGAAATGGCCATTTTAATAAAGAACCAAACCAAGCTGATAAAGCTGAAAAATTCACTTCAAGAATCTCAAAATACAATTACAAGTATTAACAATTAAATTGATCAAGCTGAGGAAAGATTCTAAGAGATGGAAGACCTGATTTCCAAAACAACTTAGACAATAAAGAAGAATGAATAAAATTTCTGAGAAATATGAGATTATGTAAAGAGACCAATTCTATGACTCATTGTTGTCCCTGAAAGACAGAGAGAGAAAGCAAGCAACTTGGAAAACATATTTAGGATATCATCCATGAAAATTTCCCCAACTTTGCTAGAGAGGCCGAGATTCAAATTCAAGAAATGCAGAGAACCCATGTGAAATACTACACATGAGCACTATCCCCAAGACACATAGTCATCAGATTCCCCAAGGTAGAAATGAAACAAAAAAATGTTAAAGGCAGCTAGAGAAAAGTGGCAGGTCACCTACAAAGGGAGCCCCAACAGAATAACTGAGGGTCTTCTAGCAGAAACTGCACAAGTCAGAAGAGAATGGAGGCCTACATTGAACATTCTTAAAGAAAATAATTTTCAACCAGAAATTTTATATCCAGCCAAACTAAGCTTCATAAGCAAAAGAGAAATAAATTCCTTTTCAGACAAGCAAGTGTTAAGGGATATTGTTACCACCAGGGCTGCCTTACAAGAGGTCCTGAAGCAAATGCTAAACATGGAAAGGAAAGACCATTACTGGCCATTGCTAAAACACACTTAAATACATAGACCAGTGACACTATAAAACAACCACACAAACAAGTCTACTTAATAACCAGCTAACAACATGATGACAGGAACAATTCCACACATATCAATTGTTACCTTGAATACAAATGTGCTAAATTCCCCCAATTAAAATCCACAAACTAGCTAAACAAGCAAGATAAACAAGCAAGATCCAATGGTATGCTGTCTTCAAGAGACCCATCTCACATACAATGACACCCATAGGGTCAAAGTAAAGAGATGGAGAAGAACCTATAAAACAAATGAAAAACAGAAAAAAAGCAGAAGTGGCTATTCTAATTTCAGACAAAACAGACTTTAAGCCAACAAAGATGAAAAAAAGACAATGAAGGGCATTATAAAGTGGTAAAGGGTTCAATTCAACAAGAGGACTTAACTATCCCAAATATATATGCACCCAGTTTCATAAAGAAAGTACTTAGAGATAAATGAAGAGACTGACATAACCACACAATACTAGCTGGAAAATTCAACAATCCACTGAGAGTATTACAGATCACTGAGGCAGAAAACAGAGAAAGGTATTCAGGACCTGAACTTGACACTTGACAAAATGGACCCAGCAGACATCTACAGAGCTCTCCAACAAAAAACAACAGAATACACATTATTCTCATCTGCACGTGGCACATATTCTAAAATAAGCCACACAATCAGACATAAAACAATCCTTAGCAAGTTTAAAAAAAAAGAAAAGAAAACATGCCAACCAACCACACTCTCAGACCACAGTGAAATAAAAAGATAATTCAAAGAAAATCGCTTAAAACTACACAATTACATTAAAATTAAACAAGCTTCTCCTGAATGACTTTTAGGTAAATAATAAAATTAACTTAGAAATTGAAATATTCTTTGAAACTAATGAGAACAAAGATACAGCATACCTAAATCTCTGGAACACAGCTAAAGCAGTGTTAAGAGGGAAGTTTATAGTATTGCATCAAAAGGTTGGAAAGTTCTCAGATTAGCAACCTAATGTCAAACCTAGAGGAACTAGAGAAACAATAGCAAACCAACCCCATAGATAGCAGAAGAGCAAAAATAACCAAAATCAGATCTGAACTGAAGGAAATTGAGATGTGAAAAGCCATTAAAAAAATCAAATCCAGGACTTGATTTTTGAGAGGATAAATAAATAAGATTGATAGAACACTAGCCAGACTAACAAAAAAAGAGAGAAGATCCAAATGAACACAATCAGAAAAGACAAAGGGGACATTACCACTGACCCCACAGAAATACAAAAAAAAAGTCTCAGAGACTACTATGAGCACCTCTTTGCACACAAACTAGAAAACCTAGAAGAAATGGATAAATTTCTGAAAACATACAACCTTCCAAGATTGAACAGGAAGAAACTGAATGCCTGAACAAACCAATAATAGTTTCTAAAATTGAATCCGTAGTAAAAAGCCTACCAGCTAGAAAAAGCTCAGGACCAGACAAAGTCACAGTCAAATACTACCAGATTATAAAGAAGTGATGTTACCATACCTACTGAAACTATTCCACAAAGTTGAGGACGAGGGACTCTCTTTAACTCATTCTATGAGGTCAACATCATCCTCATACCAAAACCTGACAGAGACACAAGAAAAAAAAATAAAACTTCAGGCCAATATCCTTGACACAGACAAAAATCATCAACTAAATAGGACCAAACCAAATGCAGCTGCATATCAAAAACCTAATCCACCATGATCAAGTAGGCTTTATCCCCGGGATGTAAAGGTGGTTCTACATATGCAAGTAAGTAAGTGTGATTCATTACGTAAACAGAATCTAAAACAAAAACCACATGATGATCTCAATAGATGAAGAAAAGAGTTTCTATAAAATTCAACATTCCTTCTTGTTAAAAACCCAAAAAAAACCAGGCTTTGAAGGAATATACTTCCAAATAATGACAGCAATCTGTGACGAGCTTGCAGCCAACATCATACTGAATGGGCAAAAGCTGGAAGCATTTTCCATGAGAAATAGAAAAAGACAAGGATGACCACTCTCACCACTCGTATTCAGCATAGTAATGGAAGTCCTAGCCAGAGAAATCAAGCAAGAGGATCATATAAAAGGCATCAAAATAGGAAGAGAGAAAATCAAACTACCTCTGTTTGTAGACAATTTGATTCTATAACTAGAAAACCCATAGTCTCTGCCCAAAAACTTCTAGTTCTGATAAACAACTTCTACAATGTCTCAGGATACACAACGTACGATAATCAGTAACATCTCTATACACCAACAACATCCAAGAAGAGAGCCAAATCAAGAATGCAATCTCATTCACAACAGCCACAAAAAAAGAATGAAATATCTAGGAATACAGCTAACCAGAGTGATGAAACATTTCTACAAGAATTATAAAACATTGGTCAAAGAAATGAGAGATAACACAAACAAATGGAAAATATTCCACGTTCAAGGAGAGTAAGAATCAATATTGTTGAAATGACCATACTGCCCAAAGTAATTTAGAGACTCAATGCTATTCCTATCAAACTGCCAATGACATTTCTCTCACAATTAGAAAAAAAATCTATTTTTAAAATTCATATGGAACCAAAAACAGCCCAAATAGCCAGGGCAATCTGAAGCAAAAAGAGCAAAGTTTGAAGCGTCACACTGCCTGAATTCAAACTGCACTACAAGGCTACAATAACCAAGAAACCATGGTACTGGTACAAAAAACAGACATATAAACCAATGGAACAGGTTAGAGAACCCATAAATAAAACCACACACCTACAATCACCTGATCTTTGACAAAGTCAACAAAAATAAGCAGGGGGGAAAGGACTACCCATTCAACAAATGGTGCTGGGATTACTGGCTAGCCATATGTAGAAGATTGAAACTGGACCACTTCATTACATCATATTCAAAAAACAACTCAAGATGGATTAGAAACTTAAACCTAAAACCTAAAACTATAAAAACCCTGGAAGAGAACCAAGAAAATACCATTTTAGACCTAGGCCCTGGCAAGGATTTCACAATGATGCCAAAAGCAATTGCAACACAAACAAAAATTGACAAATAGGACCTAATTAAACTGAAGAGCATCTGCACAGCAAAAGAAACTATTAAGAGAATAAACAGACAATCTACAGAATGGGATAAAATATTTGCAAACTATGCATTTCACAAAGGTCTAATATTCAGAATCTATAAGGAACTTAAACAAATTTACAAGCAAAACAACAACTCAATTAAAACATGAGCAGAGGCCAGGCACGGTGGCTCATGCATGTAATTCCAGCACTTTGGGAGGCTGAGGCAGGCAAATCACAAGGTCAGGAGTTCGAGACCAGCCTGGCCAATATGGTGAAACCCTGCTTCTACTAAAAACACAAAAAAAATTAGCCAGGCGTGGTGGTGTATGCTTGTAATCCCAGCTACTTGGGAGGCTGAGACAGGAGAATTGCTTGAACCTGGGAGGTGGAGGTTGCAGTGAGCCGAGATTGCGCCACTGCACTCCAGCCAAGGCGACAGAGTGAGACTCTGTTCCCCGACCCCACCCCCCAAAAAAAAAGTGAGCAAAGGACATGAACAGACACTTTTCAAAAGAAGACATACACGTGGCCAACAAACATATGAAAAAATTTTCCACATCACCAACTATTAGAGAAATACAAATCAAAACCACAATGAGATACGATCTCAAACCAGTCAGAATGGCTACTACTAAAAAGTGAAGAAAATAACAGACACTGGTGAGGTTGCAGAGGAAAGGGAATTCTTATACACTGCTGGTGAGAATGTATGTTAGTTCTGCCACTGTGAAAAACCCAGTTGTGATTTCTGAAAGAACTTAAGGCAGAATTACCATTAAACCCAGCAATCCCATTATTGGGTATATACCCAAAGGAATCGTTCTATCATAAAGACACATGCATGCATATATTCATTGCAGCACTATTCACAAAAGCAAAGATATAGGATCACCTACATGTCCATCAGCAATAGATTGGAAAAAGAAAATGTGGTACATATACACCATGGAATACTACACAGCCATAAAAAGAGATCATGTCCTTTGCAGCACCATGGATGGAGCTGGAGGCCATTATTCTAAGTGAACTAACACAGGAACAGAAAACCAAATACCACATGTTCTCAGTTATAAGTGGGAGGTAATCATGGAGTCCACATGGACACAAAGAAGGGAACACAGACACAAGAGCCTATTTGAAGTTGGAGGGTGGGAGGAGGGTGAGGATTGAAAAACCATCTATCATGTACTATGCTTATTACCTGGATGAGGCGTGCACCAAACCCCCATGACACACAATGTACCTGTATAACAAACCTGCACAAGTACCCCTGAACCTAACATAAAAGTTAAAAAGGTATGACTTCTTATGAAGTCACACTTGAAATAAAACTTATTGACTTACTGAAGTCTTATTGAAATAAGACTATCACAATGACACCCTTACCCCTCTTAATTTTTTCTTACTTATGCTTACCTCATTCACTTGTCAGGATAATACCTGTACAACTGATTCTTGAATAAAGTGAGGGCTGGAGGCACTGACTCCCAATGCAGTCAAAAATCTACATATAACATACTACTCCCCAGAAACATAACTACTAATAGCTTACGGCTGACTGGAAACCGTAAGAATTAACACATATTTTTTTCTGTTTAATGCATTATGTACTATACTCTTACAATAAAGAAAGCTAGAGAAGAGAAAGGGTTATTAAGAAAATCCTATGTAAGACAAAACATATTTACTATTCATTAAGTGAAAGTGGATCATCATAAGGGTTTTGCATTTATATATTTTACGTATTTGTATATTTTAGTAAAATATATTTACTATTTATTAAGTGAAGTGGGTCATGATAAGGGTTTTTGTCCTCATCATCCACACTTTCAGTAGGCTGTGGAAGAGAAGGAAGAGGAGTGGTTATTCTCACAGTCTCAGGAATGGCATGAGCAGAAGAAAGTTCATGTATAACTGGACCGACACATTTCAAACCTACGTTGTTCAAGGGTCAAAAGTAGTTAGAATTTTACAATGATTAGATTCCATAAAAAGTTGGATATGCCATGCCAAACCCATATTTTTACATGACCTAAGAGAATTTTTAATCCACCCAGTAGCTAGCTTTATCAACATCCTTGATGCAATTGTTTATCCAAACTTTACTAGTAATCCCTTTTATAGAGTCAGACTTCCAGACCCACTTGACCTCACTCTCTGCTTTAATTTAGCCCTGTGATAGGATAGTAGATCATAGAACTGCAACCTTCTAGCTCAAAACGGAGGGATCTCTGCAGTTGCTAACACTTTCAGTTGCATGTGGATAAATAGGACAAACAGGCTGCTTGGTTAAAACAAGTAGATTCCTCATCTGGCTCATTCTTTGATCTGTTCAATTTCAGTTGGTTTAATTCATGGGAAGCCTGCCTAAGGGGCTGTTTTTAAAATTCCCAGCCAAACTGAGGTTCCAGTACCAGAGTAGCTGGTAAGGTTTCCATAACTGGAAATGAAGGGGAGCTTAAGGTAGGTGTTTCCAGTATGCCTTTCACAGGATAATTCTTGTGCCTAGTTGTCCAACCATTGATTAGGTAGCCCCTCATGTGGGAAATTTGTTTATAATGGCAGATGTCACTGTGGTTCTTGTCTAATCTGTGTTTCGTTTATGCCTGCCTGACCACCGTTCTGTCACATGGACCCTGATCTTGTGTTCCCCACAACATCCCAGGTAAAGCCTGGCCTTGGTTAGACACAGGATATTCAAATGGAAGGCAAAAATTCAAATTACCACCATGACAGGAAATAAGTTCAAAGATTTATTACTTACAGATCCTGGTCAGAGAGGGTTCAAAGAGTTGGGAGGACGGTTCTCTATTCCCTAATGATATGAGGCAGGAATGAAGAAGCAAAGAATCAGGCACAGAGAGAGGGAAGGGAGAGAGACAGAGACAGAGAGAGAGAGAGAGAGAGAGAGAGAGAGAGAGCAGTATAAATATAGAAAAATAGGACATGGGTCATGTTAAGTTCACAGGCAAATGCCTGAATGGTACTTTTAAAGTAAAAGATATGGAGGGAAAAACAGGGGAAGCCCAGTCTTTTAGGTGGGAGAGACACCTCTAAATTTTTATCTCTGACCAGAGGCTTGAGACATTTGGGTGTGATGTTCTACTTCAATTGGCTAGGCAGCAACCTTTGCTCTGTCATTCCCATTGCAAGAGCATACTCCAAACTCTTGGCATTATCCTCCTGACAGTCATAAGAGTGGTCTCCCTAGTTCACTGCATCCTCTCGAAAAGGCTTAGAAATCTCCATGCAGCCATCTGCTGAAGGCTAAATGGCCTCTCTCCAGCTGGAATGATGAAAGCTCCAAGAAACACATGACAACAAGGACACTGTAATATACAAATGGCATGTTAACACCAAAAATCCAAAACTGATGGTAACTGAGTGTAGCACTCATGCCCTCTGATTTGGC
The DNA here is from genome assembly GCF_000001405.40 of Homo sapiens. Lineage (NCBI taxonomy): Eukaryota > Metazoa > Chordata > Mammalia > Primates > Hominidae > Homo > Homo sapiens. Next base: position 149,867,059 of record NC_000023.11, read on the forward strand.
CACACTCTCACCCTGGCCAAAATGGGGGGATTGTGAAACAAAGTTAATGGGAGGCCATTGTGTCAGACCAGCCTCCTTTACTAGGCCCCAGAAGAACAAATCGGAATGGAGTCATTCATGCTAATTGTCATGAAATCAAATTGAACTTTCAAATGGGCCAGTTAAAAATAATTCGGAAAATTCCAATCCCGGTGTGTGATGTCCCCCTTCCTGTGTCCATGTGTTCTCATTGTTCAATTCCCACCTATGAGTGAGAACACGCGGTGTTTGGTTTTTTGTCCTTGCGATAGTTTGCTGAGAATGATGGTTTCCAGCTTCATCCATGTCTCTACAAAGGACATGAACTCATCATTTTTTATGGCTGCATAGTATTCCTTGGTGTATATGTGCCACATTTTCTTAATCCAGTTGTTGTGGGGTGGGGGGAGGGGGGAGGGATAGCATTAGAAGATATACCTAATGTAAATGACGAGTTAATGGGTGCAGCACACCAACATCGCGCATGTATACATATGTAACAAACATGCACATTATGCACATGTACCCTAGAACTTAAAGTATAATAAAAAATATATATATATTTAAAAAAAAAGAAAATTCCAATCAACATGAGTCAGCATAATCAGGAAGTCTCTTCCACTTTAGTCCTAAATGGAAAGCAACTTTGAAATGACCAACCTGCTTTTTGTTTTCTGTTTCCACTCTCTTCAGTACTTTTCTGGCTACAAAGACAACTTCCTCTCCTCTGTTCAATAGAACACTCATTCTACTTGAGAGAGGTTGTGAGTCTGAGGGTCTGATTATGTGAGCCTATTCTGGTCCTCTTACTTCTTCACTGTGGAACCTGGGCCATGTCTGAACCCTTCCATGGTCTAGTCTGGCTCATCGGAGAGATGGGCTCCTTCCAAATACCCATTGAAGGGAGGGTTGCACATAGCAAATGACACAGACCCCCAGAGCACTTTGTGCAGCAGTTTCCTGTCACCCATTGAATGCTGACAGAAGGTGGGTGAAGGGCAGGTGGTGTGGCAGATTCCTGAGTGTGCAAAAAAGAAAAGTGCAGTGGATGACAAAGCTGAGAGGGCAAGGCCTTGGACATACGAAAGGTTGATGTCTACGCAATCAACAAGTTCCTAGCCATGGTTTAGCACATAATTGTGTCCTGGGGACATAATTCCTCCTCTGGCTGCTTTCTGGAAGGAAATTCAGAAGAGGAAATTGTAAATATCTTGGACTCAAGAGAGGCTTGCAGCTTCTAAGTAGGTAGCTCTAGGCTGAGTCAAACCTTGAAAACAATTGTGTGAGCAAAAATGGTTTTTACATATCTATGTGGAAGGCTCCTTGCAAATCCAAGCTATGGCAGGAAGAATTTGGAATGTGGCTCCAGCATTCTCTAGAAACATGAACCTGGGAGTCCAGGGACAGGCACAGTGTGGGCATTCAGGGTTTCCAGCTGGAGGACTGTCCCTTGCAAAACTTTGAGGTCTGGGGTTGGGTGCAGGGAGTGTGGTCCTGGAAGATGTGTTGGAAACCTTCCCAGGGCCAAGTCCCACAGACTCATGTAGGAATCCAGGCCCTGGTCCAGTAGCCCTGACTGTTACCCAGCCAGACCTGGAACAAGTTATACCATGTCTTCACAGTTCCGAGATGTGAGATGAACCATCCATCATAACAGATTTTCAGGAGGAAATGAAAATAAATGCACTAATCAGTGTACAAGTGGATCTGAAGACATATACAGGTTTAGAAATGTTAAAATATGAGGGAAGGCATATTTTAGACATACTGTAACAAAAGCTACTTCTTACTGACCACATCATTTGGGCCAGTCATTTTACATGCAGGTGGGTGACATCAGGTAAAGACTCACACCAGTTCTCTGAACTTGTACTATCATGTTCCCACTTTACAGATGAAGAATTGAGGCAGAGAAGGTACGTGATTGGCTCAGCTTATAACCAGCAACAGTTGCATTTAACAGGGCTCTGCCCTCACCCTGGCCTCAGCTGTCTACCCCATGACCAGGGAAGGGTTGCTGTAATCAACAGTTACCCAGTGCCAGATGCCCCATGCCACATGGCTGAGGCCTGCAAGGAAGCCAGTGAGAGACTGTCACTGGACCTGGCCCACCTGTCTTCTCCCCATCTCCATTAGGACACCACCTTTTCTAAAATACAGACAAGGGCCCTGGAGGAGAGTTGGGGTTTAGGACAGAGTGGGTGAGGATGGAGAAGCTTCCACTTGTACATGGATGGTGCAGGTCCCTTCCACCCTCCAGAGGCTGCACTCCTGTTCAAGGGTGGGCCCTACACTCCCATATACCTGCCCTGAATCATCTCCTTCATTCCTAGCTGACTGGGTGACCCAAAGGTCACCTGTAGGCCAACCCCACTGGGCAGGCTGACCATTGGCCACACACTAGGGCCAGCAGGCCAGAATACAATGCCTACAGTGAGGAGTCCACCATAATCCCACAAGATGCAATGCCAATCACCATAACCCTAAATGCTGAAATCCCAAAATATCAAAATGCCAAAAATGCACTTCTGGGAAAAATAATTTTAAAAATCATTGAAGATGTTTATTTACCTTTAAAAATGTAGGCTTATTTGAGAAATGTAAAAACATGATAGAATACTTCATAAGCCACTTTATATAATGAAATAGACAACAATAACATGCATATATTTGCAAGCACAAACAGTTACACCAATGACAGTCACACAGGTATAACTCTTATAAGCGGACAAACCATAATCATAAAGAAATAGGTCACACAAGGAAATGTATCAACAAATATTACTATAGTTGATAATTTTGTAAACTCATTTTATAAGTTTGGTGTCATATGAAATACTGTGACCAACAACCTAAGTCTTTTACAACTACAATCAAAAACCATTATGGATCACCACTGCACACACCTTCACCTAGAGTCAAGATCTCGAGAAATTTTATCTTTCAAAAATGCACATGAACAAAAAAAGACATCTCTTCATTTATTCAGCAAGATTATACATGCGTCACAATGCTTACACACAAAGCATTGTGATAATGTACTTTTGTGGAATCTAATTTGAAAAAATGCATAAAACAAATTAGACTCTTTAAAAGTCTCTACACAATTTATGCCTCTAGTACTGGAAGCAATGCCAAGATGAAAGAAATATGACACATTGTAAAAAATAATGCTGACAATTTAACATAGTGAAAAAAAGAAAAGAAATAGGAAACAAAAACTTTAAAAAATGACATAAGAAAAAGTGCATCACAGGTATAAATTACGGGCAATTGCATGGAGATAGTGGTTAAGAACTGGCCAGATTTCACGATCATTTACTATATTTTGAAGTCATGCATCGCATCATATAGCTGCTTTTTTTTTTCTCTTTTAGGACATGGGTATCCTCAGTGAATATATTCACATTCGTTTTCTTCATGGCACTGCTTTATTGAAATTCTATGTTACACTGACATGAGCATTCTCTATTAACCTTTCTCATCTTCTGCTTAGGGATTTTGATATTTTGGAATTTAGACTTTAGAAAGATTGACCTTTTGGGGTTTCAACATTTGGAATTGTGGCCTATGGGATTGTGTCTGTTTGGATCCAAACCCACTAGATTCGCACACTGTATTCATTCATGTCTCCTAATTCTCCCTCTCCCTGCTGACGAAGTGCACAGATCACAAACATAGACTTGCTTAATTTTCATATGTGAATATCCCTGGAGGGCCCATCGTCTCTCAAGAAATTAACATATTCTCTGAGAATCCCCCTCATTCCCCTCCCAGTCACTGTCTCCCAAGGTAACCACTATCCTAACTTTAGTGGATAGAGTAGTACTGCCTGTTTTGATCTTTATTTAAATGGAATTATTGAGCTGATATTCTTTGGGTCTGGCTATATTTGATCAAAAATAGATTAGTGACCTTCATCCATGTTGTAGAAGTAACAATGGTTTTTTCATGCTCATGGCTGTATAGTATTCCTTTGTATATATCCCAATGTATTTACCCATGCTAGGGTGATGAACACTGGGGCTGTTTCTAGCGTGCTACTGAGGGCATGCTTAGACACATCTTTTGCCAAATGAATGTATGCCTTTTCACTAGTACATACCTCAGAGGGGACATTCTGGAGCTTAGGGTGTACGGATGTTCTGCTTTAGATCATACTCTTGGGTCTCTTTTAAGTCTCCAGCAGACCTATTGCCCACAATGTCTGCCTTCATCCCATTGTCCTTTTTCATTCTATTGGCTTGTTTTAGCAGACTGGCCTGTGGTCCTGCAGCATGTCTCACCACCATTCATTTGTCTGTATGCTGCCTTCTTGTGTCATTTAACTTGTTGCTCTTTCCCAGTGTTTCTGATCATAGGAAGTTAGCCTCTGTGACAAGGTTAGAGGCAGGTCTCACTCTTCTGATAAAAGGACTTCATCAGTGGTGCCATGTCTCCTACAGCATCCCAGCATGAAGCACATGAGTTCTGGTTTTTTCACTCTTTACCATATCAGCACTGATCGTGGGTTCAGGTGATGACAGTCTCGTTCCTCCTTTGACTGATTCCTCACTGACCTTTAACCAAAGTGTTTCATTCAACCTACATCAGTTCAGTCACTGGGGTTCTAGATATTGTTTCTTTTGTTAAACATAGCCTTCACTAGGCTTGGCTTAAATTTTTCAGTGAGGAACAGCTCTCCCTCTTCAACTGTGCCTGTAGAGTAATCTTAAAATACACAGGAAGGGCAGAATAAAAGTTTAATTCTTTCCATTGCTAGTCATGCTTCCTTAGTCTTGTCTTAGTTGTAAAAATTCCTGAGACTGTCCCTGTTTTTGATGATCTTAACACTTTTGAGGAATATTGGTCAGCTCTTTAGCACAAAATCCATCCAGTGGTATTTGTCTTATCTTTTTCTCCTGATTAGAATGGGGATATGACAGCAGATCCTCCCCCACCATGAGTGATCACTCCTGCTTGTGGGGCATAGAGAAGGCACCTAGACCTGCACTCACCAGCACCCCACCCCTGAGTCACCACCACCTCCAGTGTGACCACACACACAGTCTCCAGCAGGGGGCCCCCATCCCCCATCCAGCTGCATTGCCTCCGCCACTGTGGTGAACACACGCAGGGAGGTAGGCACCCTGGCACCCACAAACACTCTACCACAGCTGTTGTACCTCTGCCTGCACAGTGCAGTGGATTCCAAACCTCGAGGAGCCAGAGAACAAAGATGGGACCCAATACAAGTCCCCCAGAATTAGAACATACAGTCCAGGTGTTGAGTGCTGAGTGTTGGCCCCCAGAAACAAAGCCAGCCAGCTGACTTTTTTTTTTGAGATGGAGTCTCACTTTGTCACCCAGGCTGGAGTCTCACTTCACCTTACACCACAGTCGAACATTCAAGGTCATCAAATGGGATAAAAGAAAAAATCCATCCAAAGGTCAGAAACCTCAAAGACTGAAGGTACATAAGCCCACAAAGATAATAAGGATAATAAGAATCAGTGCAAGAACCCTGATTCTTGATGAAGAGTGATGCAAAAATCCTCAACAAAATACTGGCAAACTAAATCCAGCAGCACATCAAAAAGCTTATCCACCACGATCAAGTAGGTTTCATCCCTGGATACAAGTTGGTTCAATATATACAAATCAATAAATGTAATTCATCACATAAACAGAACTAAAGACAAAATCACACGACTATTTCATAGATTCAGAAAAGGCTTTCAATATAATTCTACACCCCTTCATGTTAAAAACTCTCAATAAAATAGGTATTGAAGGAACATACCTCAAAATAATAAGACTCATCTATGACAACTCACAGCCAACATCATACTAAATGGGCAAAAGCTTGAAGCATTTCCCTTGAAAACCGGCGCAAGAGAAGGATGCACTCTCTCAGCACTCCCATTCAACATAGGACTGGAAGTCCTGGACATGACAATCAGTCAAGAGAAAGAAATAAAGGGCATCAAAATAGGAAGAGAGGCAGTCAGTTAAACTATCCCTGTTTGCAGATGACATGACCTATATCTAGAAAACCCCATAGTCTAAGCCCAAAAGCTTCTTAAGCTGATAACTTCAAAAAAGTCTCAGGATACAAAATCAATGTACAAAAATCAGTAACATTCCTACACACCAACAACAGTCAAGCCAAGAGCCAAATCAGGAATGAACTCTCATTCACAATTGCCACAAAAAGAATAAAATACCTAGGAATACAGTTAGCCAGGCAGGTGAAAGATCTCTACAATGAGAACTACAAAACATTGCTCAAAAAAATCAAAGATGACACAAACAAATGGAAAAACATCCTATGCTCATGGATAGGAAGAATCAATGTCATAAAAATGGACATACTTCTCAAATCAATTTGTAGATTCAATGCTATTCCTATTGAACTACCATTGAGATTCTTCACACAACTAGAAAAAAAACTATTTTAAAATTTATGTAAAACCAAAAAAGAGCCCAAATAGCCAAGGCAATCCTAAGCAAAAAGAACAAAGCTGGTGGCTTCACACTACCCAACTTCAAACTATACTACAGGTCTATAATAATCAAAATAGTATGGTACTGGTATAAAAACAGACACATAGATGAATGGAACAGAATTGAGAACCCAGAAATAAGGCCACACACCTACAACTATCTGATCTTCAACAAACCTGACAAAAACAAGATATGGGGAAAAGATTCCCTATTCAACAAATGGTGCTGGGATAATTGGCTAGCCATATGCAGAAGATTAAAACTGGACTCTGGCCAGGCGCGGTGGCTCGTGCCTGTAATCCTGGCACTTTGGGAGGCCAAGGCGGGCGGATCACGAGGTCAGGAGATTGAGACCATCCTGGCTAACATGGTGAAACCCCGTCTCTACCAAAAATACAAAAACTTAGCCGGACGTGGTGGCAGGTGCCTGTAGTCCCAGCTACTCAGGAGGCTGAGGCAGGAGAATGGCGTGAACCTGGGAGGCGGAGCTTGCAGTGAGCCGAGATTGTGCCACTGCACTCCAGCCTGGGTGACAAAGTGAGACTCCGTCTCAAAAAAAAAAAAAAACAAACAAAAAAAAAAACCTAGACCCTTTCCTTATACCATATACAAAAATTAACTCAAGATTGATCAAAGACTTAAATGTAAAACTTATGAAAACCCTGGAAAATAACCTAAACAATACCATTGAGGACATAGCAATGGGCAAAGATTTCATGACAAACATGCTGAAAGCAATTGCAACAAAAGCAAAAATTGACAAATGGGATCTAATTAAGCTAAAACGCTTCTGCACAGCAAAGGAAACTATCAACAAAGTGAACAGAAAGCCTGCAAAATGAGAGGAAATTTTTGCAAACTATGCATCTTACAAAGATCTAATATCCAGCGTCTATAAGGAACTTAAACAAATTTACAAGAAGAAAATAAACAACCCCGTTAAAAAGTGGGCAAAGGACATGAACAGATACTTTTCAGAAGAAGACAGAAAACATATATGCGGCCAACAAGCATATGAAAAAAAAGCTCAACATCACTGATCATTAGAGAAATGCAAATCAAAACCACAATGAGATACCATCTCACAGCAGTCAGAATGGCTATTACTAAAAAATCAAAAAATAACAGATGCTGAGGAGGTTACAAAGAAAAAGGAATGCTTATAAACTGTTGATGGGAGTGTAAATTAGTTCAACCATTGTGGAAGATAGTATGGCAGTTCCTCAAAGACCTAAAAACAGAAATACATTTTGACCCAGCAATCAAATTATTGGTATATACCCAAAGGAATATAACTCATTCTATTATAAAGACACAAGGACATGTATGTTCATTGCAGCATCATGGACAATAGCAAAGACATGAAATCAACCTAAATGCCCATCAATGATGGACTGAATAAAGACAATGTTGTACATATACACTATGGAATACTATGCAGCCATAAAAAATAATGAGATCCTGTCCTTTGCAGGAACATGGATGGAGCTGGCGGCCATTATCCTTAGCAAACTCACAAAGGAACAGAAAACCAAATACCACATGTTCTCACTTATAAGTGGGAGCTAAATGATGAGAACACATGGGCACATAGAGGAGAACAACACACACTGGTGCTTCTCAGATGGTGGAGGGTGGGAGGAGGAAGAGGATCAGGAAAAATAACTAATGGGCACTAGGCTTAATAGCTGGGTGATGAAATAATCTGTACAACAAACCCCCATGCCACCAGTTTACCTATGTAACAAACCTGCACATGTACCCTTGAACTGAAAATAAAAATTAAAAAAAAAAAGAATAGAGATAGGGACATTTAGGAGAAGATCTCAGAAGTAAAATGTCATTCTCATTACATCATATAAAAGGAAATCACTAGACATATGAATGGTTTCTCATGGTTGATGTTAGCTTTGATATACAGTTATTCTGTCAACCTACAGTAATCAAGAAAGTATGCTATTGGCAAAAGAACAGATACACATCAATGGAACTAAATAGAGCCCAGAAAAAGACCCACACAAATATAGTCTACTGATTTTTGACAAAGGTGCAAATTCAATTCTATGGAGAAATGACAGTCTTTCCACCAAAAGGTACCTGAACAAATGCATATCAATATGCAAAGAAATGAACCTAGAAAGAGCCTTACAACTTTCACAAACAATTATCTTAAAATACTTCACAGACTCAAATATAAAATGTAAAATTATAGAATTTCTGGAGGAAAACATAAATGGAGATCTACATGGCCTTGATATTGGTGATGGGTTTTTACATACAACATCAAAAGCATGCCCATAGAAGACAAAATTGAAAAGGTGGACATTCTAAAAATTAAAAACAAAACTACTGCTCTGTAAAAGGCACTGGTAAGAAAAAGGAAAGATAAGCTACAGACTTTAAGAAAATATTTGCAAAACATACATCTCATAGAGGACTTGTATCCAAAATCTACAGAGAAAGTATAAAACTAAACAATGAGAACTATTCAGAATATACAGAAAATGCTTAAAAGTAAATAAGAAAACAAACAAGAAATCTCTATTAATAGATGTGCAAAAGCTCTGAACAGACAAATTAACAAAAAACATGTACACATAAAAAATAAGCATAAGACAACATAGTCAATGTCATTCTTTATTAGAGAATTATGAATTAAATAACAAAGATACACACTTATTAGAATGTCCAAAATCCAAATACTGACAATACCAATTCCTGGCAACAAGGAACTCTCATTTGTTGCTGTTGGGAATGCAAAGTAGTACAGCCACTTTCAAAGATGGTTTGTCAGTTGATTTTTTTACAAAGCTGAACAAATTCTTGACACTCCTAGGTATACATTGAACTAATTTGCAAATTTATGCCCACAAAAAAAACCTGCATATGAATGGGTGTGGCAGCTTATTTAATAATTGGCCAAAACTGGAAACAACAAAGATGTTCTTCAAGAGACAGATGAATAAACAAACTGTGGTCCAACAACAACAGAACACTATTCATCAACCAAAATATTTACTTATCTAGGCACACAAAAACATGAATAAATCTTAAATGCTTAATTCTAAGTAAAAGAAGCCAGTCCGAAAAGACTACATAGTATATGATGCAATTTATTTGACGTTCTGGAAAGACAAGACTATAACGACAGTAAAAATACCTGTTGTGGCCAGGGATCAGGGGTGGGGAAAAGGTATGACTAGGATAAGCAGAAGGAATTTATTAGACAGGTGAAACTATTCTCTAGGCTACTGTAATGATTGATTTTGTCATGTCATGGTTGATGACATGCTGTCAAAAAATGGAATATATTATGCATTTGTCAAAAAGCATAAAACCTTAAAGCACAAAGAGTAAACCTCAATGTATGCAAAATTGAAAAAATTAGGAGGTCGAGGAATGCCAAGGTGGAGTATAGAATATGACAAAACAATATAACTGTGTTACAAATCTATGAAACAACCTCTAATGAGTATCTGGGGATATGGTGCTGTCCTAAGTACCTGTGGAAGTTAGTCTCTGGGACCGAAGTTAAAAGAAACTGTACTGAAGCAGTATTGTCTGGCTTCTAAAGCTATTTCTCACAGGGACTGGGTTTAAGAATTCTGATTATAGATATGTGTATATACACAGGTTAATATACCAAAATATATATCTTTACTCTGAGAATTGAGGTGGCTAGGAATAACAAATCCTCAGGAACAATGAGCATGCCAAGCACCCACCTCTCACATTCCAATACTCTTCTCCCATAAAAGGAAGCAGAAACCATGGAAAATTGACTCTTCTATGACTGGAACAGGAAATATAAAAATGAGCCTGCATCATCTTGTCATACCATAAAGTAAGACAGAGCTACAAACAAATGTAATGGCTCAGTTACGTGAAGGGGACATCAGAGCCAACTGAAAGAGCTTCCAATGGACAAAGATGGAACAATCTGAGCAGCAAAATAAAAGTGGTGTTGAATTATAACCCCAAACATATAATAAATTACCATGAGTTCAGCCGAGACAAATTGAAGGTTAAATAAATACAAATAATGGGGGAGAATAAACAAATCTCCCATTGAGAAGAATCCCAAATCATTCATGTCAATACTACCCCTTCCCAAGAAGGTGGACCATACTTCCCTACTACCCAATGGCTGCCCTTAGTGACTTTCTTTTATAAAGCACAATACAGAAAGGGGGGAATGTAATAACCTTGCAGAGGGAAATCCTGACAACACTACCTCAGCCAGTTCATCAGTCAACATCAACAGCGATGAGTCATGTTGCTAAAATATCGTGTAATGAGAATGGCATTTCGCCTCTCTGGTCTCCTACCCCAAAGCCATTACTCAAGTCTATATATGAAAAAACTCAGACAAATACCAAATGAGGGTAATTCCACAAATAGCCTGATCGATACTCCCCAAAACTGTTAAAGTCATCAAAAACAAGAATAGTCTGAGAAACTATCACAGCTTAGACTAAAGTAGCATGGTATCCTAGATGGGATCCTCAAACAATGACAGGAATGTGCAGGTGAATATTGATTTATGAATTATGAAGAATGTATCATATTATTGCATGATGTTAATAATAGGAGAAACTGGACATGATGTATAGGAAAACCCTCTTAACTGTCTTCGCAACTTTTCTGTAAATTTAAAATTACTCTAAAATGTTTACTAAAAAAAAAAAAACACTTAAAGGAATGGGGAAAAAAGCCAAAAATGGGGAGAAAATACTTGTAAACCCCGTGTCGGATAAAGGATTCATATACTGAATGAATAAACACCTTATAACATGCAACCACATAAAAATGAAGAGTCCAATAAAATAGTAAATGATTTCAAGACTTCACCAATGAAGATACACAGATCACAAAAAAGCATATGAAAAGATGATTACCATAATTATTCAATAAAAATACAAATGTAAACAGCAGTAACATTCTTCTACCCACCTGTTACAATTGATACAATGCAACAACCTGAAAATACCAAATTGTACAAAAGATGTGGCATTCTCTTTCATTGCTGGTAGAGAAGAAAAAGAACACATTCACTCTAGAAGGGGCTTTGGCTATTTCTAATATAGCAAAACTTAGACTTACCATTACACACAGCAATTGTACTCCTAGGTTTTATCAAGGAAAATTGGAAACAGGTTCATACACACAAAATCACGTACACAAAAACATATATAGCAGCTTATTTGAAATTGACAATCAATACTTTTTCCAATTGGTGAATGGATAAAACCAATGGTACGTCCACAAACTGAAAATGTATTTAAAGCTCAATCCACCCTCTACCGTTCTAAGGCAGGCAGTTTTGTGGGTCAGTTCCCCCAAGTGGTCAGGGAAAACGAATCACCATATTAACTCTTCCAAATAATCCCAAAATACGGGCAATTATTCAACGAATTCTCCAAGGCTCCTTCTCCTGCATTGGGGGGGAAAAAAAGATAAAGACATCCAGCCTTTATAAAAAGAACATATGAGCCAAGTGTTCACTCATATTGCAGCAAATGTCCTAAATAGATAATTGTATATTCAACACAACAGTGGACTAATGAACAAGCAGCTCGTATGCAAGGAATAAAAATACAGAAAAAGCCTCTGAAATGAATTTTATCATATTTTCAAATTAACATTTTTAGCAAATGAAGATTAAAAGGCACTTTAATTTTCTAAAACTGACAGGAAACATACTTGAATGTGAAATGTTAGAAGCATTCCCATTCTCGTCAGGAGCAAGTCATTGATGTATGCTTTCACTGCTACCGTTCACAGCTGCAGTGAATGCTGAAATGAAAAAGAGAGCTATGGATATCAAGATGAAAAAGAGGTATGAAGATTGAAAAGAAATAGATCATATTTTTCACAATATGACCATCAAGAAAATTCAAAGGAAGAGACACATGGAACATTCAAATGAATAAGAGACTTCAGAAGACAGCATACAAAGACCACTGCAGCGAATACAAGAGACTTGTCACAGATGAGCAACTTAGAACATAAAATGAAAAATATACCATCCCCAACAGCATTTAAATCCAAAATATAAAGAAGAAGAAGCCTAACCAAAATATGCAAGACATTTACAGAAGCAACTGTACAAGTTTGCTGACAGATTCAGAGAAAAAATTCCCAAATAAATGGAGTAGTATATGATGTTCACTGATGAGGAATAGAATACAGCAAAGGTGTAAATCTTACTTAAATTAAATAAACAGTTAATGCCTACCTGTAGCTGCCAAAGTGACAATCAAGCCCAGGCTGCTGTGCTCTACTCCCAAAATCAACTGTGTAAAAATATAGAAGGGAAAAAGAAAAATAAAACAACAATATCAGCAACAAAGTCTAAACAACAAAACATAGAAAACCCTGGGGAAAAAACTGTGTTGAACTGGTACTTGTGTTCTGGGCAGTTGGAGAGGCAGGGAGGTTGAGGAGGTCTGCAGCCACTGCAGACGACAGGGTGAGTTGCAGGAAAAGTTTTAAAGGACCACCCCACATCAATGTAGGATCCGAGTCTGCACCTCAAAACACGAAGCCAGTAGCCCAGGGGTAATATCAGGACACCAGGAAAATTGGATTGATTGAGACACCATGGCTCCAGAATTCTGCTAATAACAACTAGAAACAAAGAGTAGGTTAGGACTACCTTCCAAAATACTATTATTTTAATCAAATATATATAATGAACTAGAAATAGAATAGTATGAGTGAATCACACATTGTATGAGTAGATATTGTTTGATAAAATAAGTACGTATAGTCGACATACATATATGTATAAATATATGTAAAGATATATACACATACATTCATATAATTACACATATATAATATAAACATATACATACATATGTGTTTATGCATATAAACATAAATATAATGCACATATACAATTGGCATAGATTTAAAATTCGTTTCTTACTATACGAATGCGAATTAAATTATGAAAATCACTAAAGTGGAATAGGAATTGTTAGGTAACTTCAAAACTCAGGACTTCCACAAATTTATTGCAGCTACTCAGTTTCTTCAGTGTAAAAATAAATCATTTAGTACAAAAGTTTTGCAAAATCCTCTTCTAGCTGGGGAAGAGCCCCCGTGGGAAGGTGTGCCTCTTCTCCCAGAGGTCACTACAATCTTAGGTGCTGCAAACCCACAGGGAGAATCTGGCCTGGGACCCGCAGCCATTCTCTGCAAGGGGTGCAGCTGTGCAAATGCTCAGAGGTGACAGAAACAGAGTATCTCCTAAAAGAGCCAAGAGTCAAGAAGAGGACCCTCCTGAGTGAGGACTGAGGGTCCACCCACACCACATAGAGGGGCCACATAATTCAGCTCAGACCCTCATGTCAGCCCTGAAAGACCCCAGCAGCCTTGTCCCCCCACCACACCCTTCCCCCCACTGCCACCTCAGGGGACTCGGAATCAGAACCTTGGTCTGAGGGAAGCAGACACCATCAGCAGAGTACGGAGCTCCAGGCTCTGCCAGATCTCAAAGTGAGAACCTTGAGGGATGACTGAACCGCTCCTCCCTCATCCCCCGCCCCACTAGAATCCGGTTCCGCCCCTGTTGTCCACCCAGGTGAGCCCTGGGTGGACGGATGTGACGCCACTGACGTGGCCGCGGGGATCAGAGAGAAGCGAGGGCCTGGTTCTGAGGGGTCGGCTTGAGATCGGCTGAGGGAAGCGGGCTCAGGGTCTGTGAGGAGGCAAGGTGAGACCCTGAGGGAGGACTGAGGAGGCCCCCACCCCTCATATAGGACCCAAAATAATCTAGCGCCGCCCCTGCTGCCAGCCCTGGACCACCAGGGGGCAGACTTGTCTGGCTGGGCCACCCCTCGCCAGCCCTGCGCTTAAGCCCCAGGGGAATCTGGAGTGAGAGCTTGGTGTGACCAGAGCAGGGCTGGTTAGCAGAGGGCAGGGCCCAGGTTCTGCCAGGCATCAAGGGCAGGACCCTGAGGGAGGGCTGAGGCTCCACAGAGCACATCTCTGCCCCTACTGTCAGCCCTGGGAAGCCCTAGGCATGGCGGCCGGGCATGGCGGCCGGGCATGGCGGCCGGGCATGGCGGCCGGGCATGGCGGCCGGGCATGGCGGCCGGGCTCGCTGATTCTGACGTCCGCATCCGGGGCTGATGCAGCAAAGGGGCTTCATGAGCACGGACTCAAGAGGAGCAGAGGGAGGGCCCAGGCTATGCTGGGAGATGAGGAGGCCCGAGGGGACCCAGGACCCCAGGACAGGGGGCCCACCCTACCTGTCTGAGACTGAGGGGCCTCCACATTTGGCCTCAGGAATCCGAGGGACTGAAACTCAAGTCAGCAGGGGGGTGGTGAACAGCCCTGCCAGGAGTCAAGGAGAAGAAGAAGAGGGAGGACTCAGGGGTCCTTGGACTCCAGATCAGTGGAGATCTCAGCCTTGGGAAGTCCCAGGATCTGTGGCTGCATGTGGCGCATCCTTGCTGCATTTTCAGGGTGTCAGAAAGGAGACAGCTGTGGTCTGAGGAGTGGAGTCTCAGATCACTGGAGAGAGGTGCCCCAGAGCCCTTAAGGAGGACTCAGCAGACCTCCCATCATGGCCTAGGAAACCTGCTCCCACTCTCAGGTCTGGGCACCCAAGGCAGGACAGTGGGGAAGGGATGTGGCCCCCCCACTTTCTGGTAGGGGGCCTCAAGGAGATGGTGGCCTTGGCATGCAAGACACATCCACGGTTCAGCAGGAAGGAAAGGGCCATGCCTTGTCGTGGAGTAAATATGAATACCTGGATGACACCCAGACAGAGAAAGACCCCATGAAACCTACTACTTCTGTCAGCCGTGGGAATCCCATGCAGGGTTGTCCATGTAGTGCCTCCTTACTTCTGCCTCCTGGGTCTCAGGGAGGTAGCAACCTGGGTCTGAAGGGCGTCCTCAGCTCAGCAGAGGGAGCCACACCTGTTCAACAGAGGGACGGGGTCACAGGATCTGCAGGACCCAAGATGTGCTCACTTTGTGATGAATGGGGGTACTCCTGGCCTGGAAAGAAGGGACCCCACAAAGTCTGGCTAACTTTGGTTATTATCTCTGGGGGAACCCGATCAAGGGTGGCCCTAAGTGGAGATCTCATCTGTACTGTGGGCAGGAAGTTGGGGAAACGCAGGAAGATAAGGTCTTGGTGGTAAGGGGAGATGTCTGCTCATATCAGGGTGTTGTGGGTTGAGGAAGGGCGGGCTCCATCAGGGGAAAGATGAATAACCCCCTGAAGACCTTAGAACCCACCACTCAAGAACAAGTAGGGACAGATCCTAGTGTCACCCCTGGACACCCCACCCAGTGGTCATCAGATGTGGTGGCTCCTCATTTCTCTCTTGAGATCTCAGGGAAGTGAGGACCTTGTTCTCAGAGGGCAACTCAGGACAAAACAGGGACCCCCATGTGGGCAACAGACTCAGTGGTCCAAGAATCTACCAAGAGTCTAGGTGACAACACTGAGGGAAGATTGAGGGTACCCTCGATGGTTCTCCTAGCAGGCAAAAAACAGATGGGGGCCCAACAGAAATCTGCCCGGCCTCTTTTGTCACCCCTGAGAGCATGAGCAGGACTATCAGCTGAGGCCCCTGTGTTATACCAGACTCATTGGTCTCAGGGAGAAGAAGGCCTTGGTCTGAGGGCACTGCATTCAGGTCAGCAGAGCGGGGGTCCAAGGCCCTGCCAGGAGTCAGGGACTCAGAGGACACCACTCACCAAACACACAGGACCGAACCCCACCCTGCACCTTCTGTCAGCCATGGGAAGTGCAGGGAAAGGTGGGTGGATGGAATCCCCTCATTTGCTCTTCCAGTGTCTCCTGGAGATAGGTCCTTGGATTAAGGAAGTGGCCTCAGGTCAGCCCAGGACACATGGGCCCCAATGTATTTTGTGTAGCTATTGCTTTTTTCTCACCCTAGGACAGGACACGTGGGCCCCATTGCATTTTGTGTAGCTATTGCTTTTTTCCCAGGAGGCCTTGGGCATGTGGGGCCAGATGTGGGTCCCTTCATATCCTTGTCTTCCATATCAGGGATATAAACTCTTGATCTGAAAGTTTCTCAGGCCAGCAAAAGGGCCAGATCCAGGCCCTGCCAGGAGAAAGATGAGGGCCCTGAATGAGCACAGAAAGGACCATCCACACAAAATAGTGGGGAGCTCACAGAGTCAGGCTCACCCTCCTGACAGCACTGGGGTGCTGGGGCTGTGCTTGCAGTCTGCAGCCTGAGTTCCCCTCGATTTATCTTCTAGGAGCTCCAGGAACCAGGCTGTGAGGTCTTGGTCTGAGGCAGTATCTTCAATCACAGAGCATAAGAGGCCCAGGCAGTAGTAGCAGTCAAGCTGAGGTGGTGTTTCCCCTGTATGTATACCAGAGGCCCCTCTGGCATCAGAACAGCAGGAACCCCACAGTTCCTGGCCCTACCAGCCCTTTTGTCAGTCCTGGAGCCTTGGCCTTTGCCAGGAGGCTGCACCCTGAGATGCCCTCTCAATTTCTCCTTCAGGTTCGCAGAGAACAGGCCAGCCAGGAGGTCAGGAGGCCCCAGAGAAGCACTGAAGAAGACCTGTAAGTAGACCTTTGTTAGGGCATCCAGGGTGTAGTACCCAGCTGAGGCCTCTCACACGCTTCCTCTCTCCCCAGGCCTGTGGGTCTCAATTGCCCAGCTCCGGCCCACACTCTCCTGCTGCCCTGACCTGAGTCATCATGCTTCTTGGGCAGAAGAGTCAGCGCTACAAGGCTGAGGAAGGCCTTCAGGCCCAAGGAGAGGCACCAGGGCTTATGGATGTGCAGATTCCCACAGCTGAGGAGCAGAAGGCTGCATCCTCCTCCTCTACTCTGATCATGGGAACCCTTGAGGAGGTGACTGATTCTGGGTCACCAAGTCCTCCCCAGAGTCCTGAGGGTGCCTCCTCTTCCCTGACTGTCACCGACAGCACTCTGTGGAGCCAATCCGATGAGGGTTCCAGCAGCAATGAAGAGGAGGGGCCAAGCACCTCCCCGGACCCAGCTCACCTGGAGTCCCTGTTCCGGGAAGCACTTGATGAGAAAGTGGCTGAGTTAGTTCGTTTCCTGCTCCGCAAATATCAAATTAAGGAGCCGGTCACAAAGGCAGAAATGCTTGAGAGTGTCATCAAAAATTACAAGAACCACTTTCCTGATATCTTCAGCAAAGCCTCTGAGTGCATGCAGGTGATCTTTGGCATTGATGTGAAGGAAGTGGACCCTGCCGGCCACTCCTACATCCTTGTCACCTGCCTGGGCCTCTCCTATGATGGCCTGCTGGGTGATGATCAGAGTACGCCCAAGACCGGCCTCCTGATAATCGTCCTGGGCATGATCTTAATGGAGGGCAGCCGCGCCCCGGAGGAGGCAATCTGGGAAGCGTTGAGTGTGATGGGGCTGTATGATGGGAGGGAGCACAGTGTCTATTGGAAGCTCAGGAAGCTGCTCACCCAAGAGTGGGTGCAGGAGAACTACCTGGAGTACCGCCAGGCGCCCGGCAGTGATCCTGTGCGCTACGAGTTCCTGTGGGGTCCAAGGGCCCTTGCTGAAACCAGCTATGTGAAAGTCCTGGAGCATGTGGTCAGGGTCAATGCAAGAGTTCGCATTTCCTACCCATCCCTGCATGAAGAGGCTTTGGGAGAGGAGAAAGGAGTTTGAGCAGGAGTTGCAGCTAGGGCCAGTGGGGCAGGTTGTGGGAGGGCCTGGGCCAGTGCACGTTCCAGGGCCACATCCACCACTTTCCCTGCTCTGTTACATGAGGCCCATTCTTCACTCTGTGTTTGAAGAGAGCAGTCACAGTTCTCAGTAGTGGGGAGCATGTTGGGTGTGAGGGAACACAGTGTGGACCATCTCTCAGTTCCTGTTCTATTGGGCGATTTGGAGGTTTATCTTTGTTTCCTTTTGGAATTGTTCCAATGTTCCTTCTAATGGATGGTGTAATGAACTTCAACATTCATTTTATGTATGACAGTAGACAGACTTACTGCTTTTTATATAGTTTAGGAGTAAGAGTCTTGCTTTTCATTTATACTGGGAAACCCATGTTATTTCTTGAATTCAGACACTACAAGAGCAGAGGATTAAGGTTTTTTTAGAAATGTGAAACAACATAGCAGTAAAATACATGAGATAAAGACATAAAGAAATTAAACAATAGTTAATTCTTGCCTTACCTGTACCTCTTAGTGTACCCTATGTACCTGAATTTGCTTGGCTTCTTTGAGAATGAAATTGAATTAAATATGAATAAATAAGTCCCCCTGCTCACTGGCTCATTTTTTCCCAAAATATTCATTGAGCTTCCGCTATTTGGAAGGCCCTGGGTTAGTATTGGAGATGCTACAGTAAGCCAGGCCCACCCCTGACCTTAGGGTGGTAGAGTCTAGTATCTGCAGCCACATAACTAAGGTGGCCAGGTATCCTCTAAGATCTAAAGGAAAAATAAGAGAGGGATGAGCGTGTGGAGCAACAGGAAGTGGTGGAGTGTACATGCCCTGAACCAAGGCCTTTTGGGCTTTGGGAAACTGCAGTACCTTTTGGGCGAGCTGATTCTAATGAAGCGGGGTGGGGCCAGAGCCAGATTCTCAGAGGACGAGAGAAAAGCTTGGAAGGGAAACATGCTCAGCAGTTCCTTTTGGATGGTGGATGAAACAGAGAGGCATCTCCTCCTGGGGCAGGAATGGGAGGTGTCCTGCACTCTTGTCTCAGTGCAGTTGAACACGGCACACGAAGTTGATGATGGATACCCATCATCCGGAAGGGTTTCCTTAGAGAGAAGCGTGAATCTCCTGGGATGTGAGGCTCAGATGCCACTGGCCAGGTGTTTTTCTTCCTGGTTGTGTGAGCCAGAGCTGACTCTATTAAAGAGACATTCTAACTAGCTTATCTGAAGTGCAATTTGGCCAGTTAAAACAAGGGAAAAGATTTGGGGTGGTGATATAATGAATGAAAATAGTGGTTTAGATGGAAAAGAAGCTGAGAGGGAAGGAGTTTATTCTTGACTCATATTCTAGGAGCTCTGAGTTGCATTCCAGTTGAGGAAGACCCCTGCACACTGAAATTTTGAAGTATACCCTCTGAGTGGGTAAACTTACTGAAATTCATTGACAAAACTTCTTTTTTTGGCTAAGTAATTCTTCCAGGTCCTAATAAGCTGCATATTTTCTGATAAGTCCTGGAGAAATCAACAAGAACAAAATCTCAGAGTGCTAGGGCCTGGGGTCAAATAGTAGAAATATAGTCATCTGCCATTCTTTAAACTTCTAAATTACACCAGGCCCTGAGCCAGGTGCATCATTTACATTGCATACACTCCAACAGTGCTGTTGAACAGGGCTTATCACACCTGCTTCACAGATGAAGAACCCAAGGCTCACAGGGCTTGGGCATTTCCCAGGATAACATGGCTAGTAATAGGGCTGGAACCAGATCTCTAGTGTGATTCCTCTGGAGCTCATGCTCTTCCCATTCCTGCCAGCCTGAGGCCCACCTCCTGAATAGTAAGTAGTTCATTTCTCAGCACTGCATCATGTCTCTCAGGTGACAAAAAGAAGGACCCTCAGGCCAAGGTAGTAAAAGCAGGCCAAAAGAAGGTGACAATGAGAATCAAACAGCATTAGGGGCATGATGGTTCCCCTGGGAGCTGACTGTTGGGTGCTTTCTGTTGAGCACCTACTATGAAACACGTTATGGGAAAGCCTACAAGTGCTCATCCACATATTGGATTCTCTCCTTCAGCACATGGGGCAAGTACACTCCTAGCCAGCATTTCTGTCTGGCTCCAACACTTTCCTGAGTTACAACACCCTTCATCTGGTCCCCCTCATGTACCCTCTGTTCCACCTCTGGGAACCTAGCCCGCTGCTTGCTCTTCCCTGCTACCTCTGGAGGCTGCACAGAATCACCTGCCCTCCCCAGGACGTGGAACATTCCTAGCCCTGCAAAAGTTCCCTGACTTTTCCACCACGCACCCTCAGTCCTGTCCCATAGCCACAGCCATTCTGGACTGTGACTTTAGACACCTCGTCCTCTCTCCCTGGGAGTCCTCTAAATACTCTTTGTTTTCCCAATGGGGTGTGAGTGGAGTCTGCTTTGCCCATAATCTCTTGATTCTTGGGATACAGCACTGAATGTAGAGAGTAGTTTGTCTAAGCCACTAGCATATTTGCAGAAGGATTTTTAATGAGCTTCTTGTCTGAAGCTGGGGACTGAACAGGCAAATGGATGGTGCTCAGGAATCCCATTCCTTCATAAAAGGTAGAAGAAGAGCAGCCATCTCCTGAAGCTGAGTTCTTACAAATCCTGGGCTCCTCCTAGGACATAAGAAACTGTTCCTTGGTGAACATGCCAGCTGGAATTTGAAAAGAACCAGCCTTCCACTGCCTTCTGTCTGGCATCTGCCCCCAGGAACATACTGGCTTTCAGTGTGACTAGTGGCACCTATACAGGTGTTCAGACAAGAACAAATCATGTGGAGGGTAGCAGAGAAGGTGGGTAAGATTCTATTCCTGCATCAGATGGAAAGAGGAAATCCTCAGCCTACTGAGGTGACAGATGGTGTTGCAAAAGGAAGTGCAGAAAATGCTATGGAGTGAAGAAGGTGAACTCACCCAGCTGACCTTACAGGATTATCTTCAAATTAGATGGGTTAATGCATTTGAAAGCTTCTGACACATAGCAGTCCCTTACAAATTAAGAGAAATTCAAACAAAAGCTGGTCTTCTCAGAAACTTCTCTGATAAATTAAGGGTGTAGTTATCAAGACAAATTATAGTTTGTATGTAGTTGGCTTTATTTCTAGCTGTGTTCAAAGCCAATGCTTCTCAACAACAATATTTTTTTAAATTTCTCAGATTGACATCAGACACTAGGACTTGTCTGATCTATCAAAAAAGCTAACTATTGGTTTTATAAAGTTCATTTATTGTTTCCCTGAAATTCCTGAAATTTTAATTTCATTAATTTTTCTCTTCCTATCTATACCACCCCATCTCTTTCTTTGCCTTAGTTTTAATGTACTTTCCCTCTACTCGTTATTTAAGAGCAAATTTTAGATGTTTTATTTGAGCCCTCTGTTACTTTCTAATGTAAGCATTTAAGGACATAAACGTTTCCATAGGCACTACCTTAACCGAATTCCACAAATTTTAAAACATCATATTTCCATTTTTATTTATCAGAAAATATTTTCTAGTTTTCCTCAAGAATTTTTTTAAATATAGAGTAGTAACAATGTGTTGTTTATTTAAAAATACTTGGGGACTTTATAGGTATGTCCTTTGTTATATTTACATTTTATTGCATTATAGATTTTTAAAATATACTTTGTACAATTTCGGTTGTTTTAAATTTTTTATGGGTTGTTTAATGGTCTATCTTGGTAAAAATTCCACACACACTTGAAAATATTATACATTCTGCTCTTATTCTGTGGAGTGTCCAGTAAAGGCCACTCAGATCAAGTTGGTTCTTTGTGTTGTCAGTTTCTTCTATAACCTTGCAGAGTTTGTCTACTTCAGTCATTTACTCAGAGAAGAGTTTTGCAATCTCCAAATGCAAGTGTAGATTGGACTATTTATCCTTTCAGTTCTATCAGAAATTGTTTCGTGTATTTTGAAATAATGCTTTTAGGTGAATTAACAGGATTATTATGTCTTCTTTCTTAATTAACTCTTTTATCATTGCATAATGTCCCTATTTATCCATGGTAATTTTCCTTCCTATAAAGTTTTTAAAAGTTTACTCAATGTAATCACTCCAACTTTCTTTTTTTAATTTTTAATTTCATTATTTAAATTAACAGTAATTTTGTTTTCTTTATGTGTCCTGTTCTGTGGCCTTAGCCCATGTGTAGATTTAGGGAGCCACCACCATCAAATCATTTTCCACAATGGTTGTACTATTTCATAATTCCTACTAGCAACATATCAGATTTAAAATTGTTCTTCATCTTTGGTAGCACTTAGTAATGGTTTTTTGTTGTTGTTGTCGTTGTCGTTTTTTTTTTTTTGAGAGAGAGTCTCACTCTGTTGCCCAGGCTGGAGTGCAGTGGTGTGATCTCAGCTCACTGCAGCCTCTGCCTCCTGGGTTCAAGCGAGTCTCCTGCCTTAGCCACCGAAGTAGCTGAAATTACAGGCGTGCACCACCACGCCTGGCTAATTTTTTTTATTTTTTATTTTTAGTAGAGATGGAGTTTCACCATGTTGGCCAGGCTGGTCTCAATCTACTGGCCTCAAGTGATCCGCCCGCCTCAGCCTCCCAAAGTGCTGGAATTACAGGCATTGAGTCACAGTGCCAGGCCATGTCTTTTAAATATCTTTTTCAAATATATGTTACCATATCTCATTATGGTTTAATATGCATTTCTCTAATAGCTGTGATGTAGAATAATTTTTCATGTGCTTATTTGTCATGTATATGTCCACATTGGAAAATGCTTTCAACCAACTAGGCATGGAAAGAACATACCTCAAAATAATATGAGCCATCTATGAAAAACGCACAGCCAACATCATATTGAATGGCCAAAAGCTGGAAGCATTCCCCATGAGAACTGGAACAAGACAAAGATCCACACTCCCACCACTGCTACTCCACATGGTACTAGAATTCCTAGTCAGAGCAATCAGGCAACAAAAAGATACAAAAGGCATCCAAATAGGAAGAGAGGAAGTCAAATTATCTCTCTTAGCAGATGATATAGTTTTATGCCAACGAAACCTCATAGTCTGTGCCCAGAAGCTCCTAGATCAGATAAATAACCTCAGCAAAGTTTCAAGATACAAAATCAATGTACAAAAATCAGTAGTATTTCTATACGTCAACAGCATTCACAAAGAGAGCCAAATAAAAAACAAAATCCCATTCACAACAGCCATGAAATTATAAAATACCTAGGAATACAACTAATCAGAGAAGTGAAAGATCTCTACAATAAGAATGACAAAACACTGCTGAAAGAAATTGGAGTTAACACAGACTAATGGAAAAATACTCCATGCTCATGGATAGGAAGAATCAATATTGTTAAAATGGCCATACTGCCTAAAGCAATTTACTGATTTTTAAAATTTTTTTATTTTTATAATTTCTTTCTTTTTATTATTTATTTATTATTATTATTATTATTTTTTGATTATACTTTAAGTTCTAGGGTACATGTGCACAACGTGCAGGTTTGTTACATATGTATACATGTGTCACGTTGGTGTGCTACACCCGTTAACTCGTCATTTACATTAGGTATATCTCCTAATGCTATCCCTCCCCACTGCCCCCACCCCATGACAGGCCCCGGTGTGTGATGTTCCCCACCCTGTGTCCAAGTGTTCTCATTGTTCAATTCCCACCTATGAGTGAGAATGTGCGGTGTTTGGTTTTCTGTCCTTGCAATAGTTTGCTCAGAATGATGGTTTCCAGCTTCACCCATGTCCCTACAAAGGACATGAACTCATCTTTTTTATGGCTGCATAGTATTCCATGGTGTATATGTGTCACTGATTTAATGCTATTTCTATCAAACTACCAATGACATCTTTCATATAATTAGAAAAAAAATATTCTACAGTTCATACAGAACCAAAAAAAGAATGTAAATAGCCACAGCAATCCTAAGGAAAAAGAGCACAGCCACAGGCATCACACTAGTCAACTCTAAACTGTATTATAAAGCTACACTAACCAAAACAGCATGATATTGGTAGAAAAACAGACACATAGACCAATGAAACAGGTTAGAGAACCCAGAAATAAAGCCACACACATACAACCATCTGACATTCAACAAAATTGATAAAAACAAGCAATGAGGAAATGACTCCCTATTTAATAAATGGTGCTGGAATAAGTGGCTAGCCATAGGCAGAAGATTTAAATTGGACCCCTTCCAGTTTCAACTCAAGATGGATTAATCTTTAATTTGTCAACTAAAACTAGATTGAAGATTTAATTCAAAAACCTAAAACTATAAAAATCCTAGAAGGAAACCTAAGAAATACCATTCTGGAACTAGGCCTTGGCAGAGATTTCATGATGCAGATTCCAAAAGCAATTGCAACAAAAACAAAAATTGACAAATGAGACCTAATTTGCATATCAAAAGAAACTATAAACAGAGTAAACAGACAAGCTACAGAATGGGAGAAAATATTTGCGAACTATGCATCCAACAAAAGTCTAATATCCACAATCTCTAAGGAAGATTAACAAATTAACAAGCAAAAAACAAACAACCCCATTGAAATTGGGCAAAGGACAAGAGTAGGCATTTCTCAAAAGAAGACATACAAGTGGCCAACAAGCATATGAAAAAGTGTCCAACCTTGCTAATATTACAGAAATGCAAATCAAAACCACAATGAGATTATACAACAGTCAGAATGGCTACTATTAAAAAGTCAAAAAATAACAGATGCTGCTAAGGTTGTGATGAAAGGGAACATTTATACACTGCTTGTGGGAATGTAAATTACTTCAGCCATTGTGGAAAGTAGTTTGGAAATTTCTCCAAGAACTTAAACCAGAGCTACTAATTCACTCAGCAATCCCATTACTGGGTATGTACCCAAAGGAATACAAATTGTTCTACCATAAAGACACATGCACACAAATGTTCATCACAGCGCTATCCACAATAACAAAGGCATGCAATCAACCTTGATCCCTGTCAATGGTAGACTGGATAAAGAAAATGTGGTATACATACACCATGGACTATTATGCATCATTAAAAGAAAGAAATAATGCCCTCTGCAGCAATAACGATACAACTGGAAGCCATTATCCTAAGCAAATTAATGCAGAACAGAAAACCAAATACCACATGTCTTCACTTGTAAGTGGAAGCTAAACATTGAGTATACACGGACACAAAGGAGGGAAAAAGAAACACTGGGGCCTACTTAAGGGTAGAGATGGGAGTACCTACCTTTCTTGGCCGGGCACAGTGGCTTATGCCTGTAATCCCAGGACTTTGGGAGGCTAAGGTGGGTGGATCACTTGAGGTCAGGAGCTCGAGACCAGCCTGGCCAGCATGGTGAAATCCCATCTCTACTAAAAATACAAAAATTAGCCAGGCGTGGTGATGCATGCCTGTAATCCCAGCTATTCGAGAGGCTGAGGCACGAGAATTGCTTGAACCCAGAGGTTGCAATAAGCCGAGATCATGTCACTGCACTACAGCCTGGGTAAGAGAGTGAGACTCTGAATCAAAAACAAAGAAAACTACCTATGTGGTACTATGCTTATTACCTGAGTGATATAAAATCGATGCACCAAACCCCCATGACATGCAATTTACCCATGTAATGAACACGAACATGTACCCCTAAAGCAAAAATAAAAGTTGGGAAGAAACAAAAAATAATTAAATAAAAGGTTTTTAAACAATAAATGCAGTACAAACTGCAAAACTAGAAAAAAAAATTACCAAATCATTTTCCACAGTGGTTGTACCATTTCACAATTCCCACTAGCAACATACAAGATTTTCTTCATCCTTGCTAGCACTTAGTAATATCTTTTTTTTTTTTTTAATTCAGTCATTTTCAGCCAGGTGCAGTGGCTCACACCTGTAATCCCAGCAGTTTGGGAGGCCGAGGCAGGCAGATCACCTGAGGTCAGGAGTTTGAGACCAGACTGGGCAAAATGGCGAAACCCCATCTCTACTAAAAGTACAAAAATTAGCCGGGCGTGGTGGCAGGTGCCTGTAATCCCAGATTCAGGAGGCTGAGGCAGGGGAAGCTTGAATCCGGGAGGTGTAGGTTGCAATGAGCCGAGATTGTGCCACTGCACTCCAGCCTGGGCGACAAGAGCAAGACTCCATCTCAAAAAAAGACTCCGTCTCAAAAAAAAAAAAAAAAAAAATCATTTTCAAATATGTGTTATGCTATCTCATCATGGTTTAATTCTCATTTCTCTAATAGATGAGATGGACAGTACTTTTTCATGTGCTTATTTGTCATGTGTATGTCCACTTAGGGGAAGTGTCTATTGATGTTTTTTGCCCATTTACAAAATTTGGTTGTTTGTGTTAAATGAATTCTTAAGAGGCATTGTTTTGGACTAAGGTCTATCCCCAGGTCCCAGAAAAACAGACCAAAACAGAATGGAAACACTGGTGCTGACTGCCACATAATCAAAGTGAACTTGGGTTCATCCTGTGCTCTCGTTCCCTGGGCTCCTTCCTCTCCTCATCTTTTGCTTTTAGCAGGACTTGGCATCCTTTTTAGTCCCAGGAATCAAAGCCCTGTAACTTAATAGCACTAGGACTTTAAAAGAGATATAGAAACTGGCCGGGCATGGTGGCTCACGCCTGTAATCCCAGCACTTTGGGAGGCCGAGGCGAGCGGATCACGAGGTCAGGAGATCGAGACCATCCTGGCTAACACGGTGAAACTCCGTCTCTACTAAAAATACAAAAAAAATTAGCTGGGCGTGGTGGCAGGCAACTGTAATCCCAGCTACTCAGGAGGCTGAGGCAGGAGAATCGCTTGAACCCAGGAGTCGGAGGTTGCAGTGAGCCAAGATCGCCACTGCACTCCAGACTGGCGATAGAACGAGACCTCGCCTCAAAAAAAAAAAAAAAAAAAGAAATACAGAAACTTACATGGATGTAATAATCTTAATTTTTTATCTCAGTTTTCCTGAGGAAATCAAAACATAGTAACAATGACATAGGAATTATTTTGATAAAATGTAAAATTTGTTTGTTAGGCCACTTACCAAAAGTTAAAAAAAAAACAAAAAACAACCTTCTGCAGTGTGAATGCTTTTCCTATGGGGAGTCCTTTTAGATAACCTGCAAGTCAGAACTAATGAAAATAGTACTTAGAAATAGGTAGAGTGTGTCCTGGGTCATAAGTGAAAATTCTTAGTTTCATAGAATTTAAAGCCAAGAGCACAGAATATCATACTGGAAGAAAACATTTCCTTTAGACCTTTAAAATGAAACACTTTCAGCATCAGTCCACAACAGCAGTTAAAACCTGAGGAAAAAGGTTACAGGAGCTGACGAAAAAGTTAAAGGAGACAGTTATTATCTCAGCCCTTTTCAAAGGGGAGAGAAAGCTGAAAACAGTGAGATGCAATAACAGTTGAGCTTTTGAGTTAAAAAATTAAAATCCCTTGTAATTTTATTAATAATAAATCAATACCTTAAAAATGTTGTTGTTCTAACCAATTCCTTAGTGTTTTAGTGTTTTTTCCTTATCAATACCCAATCTCTAGAAAGACAATTATAAATAATTTCTTTTTAGTTATAGCCAACTTGATCACATAAAGTTTCTGTCTTATGAATGCTCTTTTTACAAACTTTATTATGGCTTAGAGAAACCATTTACAACATTCTTGGACCTCCTGTTGTATCCTAAACAACCTTTTTCTTAAATAACCAGTCATTTTATTTTAGGGCAAAAAATTTACCATGCAAGATTCATTTTATATAAAATTAGTCTCCTTTTAGCCTTTCTTACCAAAATATCTTATTATATCTATAACTTTCTTTACATCTCTCTTATTTACTGGTTCCTTTTACCTTGTTTCAAAAATAACCATTAAATAACATTTAAATTTAGACTAAACTTATTTCCCTTTAAATAAGAACACATTTTTTATGAAAAATGTTTCCCCATAATTTTTTTAAAGAAATTGGAAATGATCCATTTAATGAATATCTATTATTTAACTCAATACAACTTTAGATTCTAAACTATGTGAGGTTTATTTGCAAGCATTTATTTCATTACATTTTCCTAATCAATTAATTAATTGTATTTTTCAATCGTTTAACTAGATTGTTTATGAAAATTGTGATAGTCATCATTTAAAGTTATATCCCTATTAACCATTTTATAGCACGTGCATTTCAGGTATTTACCTCAGTAAGAATCTTAAGGTTAAAAAAATGGTATATTTTGCCAATATTCAAGATTTAGCTGTTCCCATTAAACTCAACAATATTCAGTGCCTTATTTATAAAAAACTATACAAAAATAATTCTCTTGTGGGCTGCAAGCTTTACAATTCTCCTGCGAAATTTTGACAACTTATAACACCTAACAGATATTAAATATTAAACTACTAGACCAATGAATCCAACAATAATGTATGTTGACCATTCTGAAGAAATTTCTAATTTTATTTTACCAATAATTTTAAAACCAACTTATTTATTAAGGATTTACTTAAGTAAGCTTATAAAAGCATTTGGGCTCCTATTTTTCTGATAAAGTATTTGATTTAAGTGATTTTTTTGTCTGTAAGCCAATTACATATATAAAATTAAATTATATAGATTATAAATCAATATATAAATATATAATTAAATATATAAAAATTAAATCTAAAGAGCTCTAATGAGCGCTTCTGAAATTAGAAAAAAATCTAATTTCACAGACCCTGAAATTATTTAAGGCCCCTCATGCAGCAGACGGTGGCAAGAAGAAAGAGACTGGCAGAAGTAAATGGAGAAAACAGAATTCCGTTGACTGAGAATGGTAAAAAACGCTTTTTCTCAAAAAATAATATTCTAGAAGAGAAAGAAAGCATAAAGGCCTTTTCAATATATACATACACACACACACACACACACACACACACACATATATAATATATATGTAGGTGTATGTGTATACATATATATTTACCTTTTTAAATTTTTGTTTCTGTTTTTCTCAGAGATCCCTGTTCTGAACATACACATACACACACACACACACACACACACACAGAGGCACACACACACACAGAGGCACACACACATATACATCTTGGATCTTAGCTTTTAATTAAGCTGACATAATAATTGTGCTCTTAAAAAAATTCGTTAAATCTCATTACCATATTTTGGCTGGGATAAACTGCTGATAGTTCAAATGTAACAAAAATATCAAACCAGAAAGGACTTGATTTAGGAACCAAACCGAGGCTGTCATGTGAAAAAAGAGCAGAATCTTAGCTACTGAACTACAGCCATTGCTCTTTCAATTTGGCTTGGCTACTAAAAGGTGGCCTTGTTATGTAAATAATGCACCTAAGGTAATCAAATTCTTTCTTTTTTTTCAGCTGCATGATTTTAGCCAATTCAGAGACTTTGTTCCCCATAATTTGGAACTTTCCTTTGGATTTGACCAAGTCCAGTAGAGTTGGCCAAATCCATTGGGAAAAAGACTAAAACAGCAAAAACAACAGTAAAAAAAACAAACTGAAAAACAGAAAGGCAGTTAAGCAAAACAAAAGATAGCACAGGATTACCGAGTACTCTATTGGTAAGTAGAAATTAAGACCAGCTACTTGCTAATCTTAACTTTTAGCCATTACGGAAAATTTCCAAGACAAAACCCCAATTCAGCTACTTACCTGGGAATGGGGCCCAGGCTGAAGACTTGTTTGTACATTTCTCAGCCCTGCTCTGTATGTAAAGCCAACATGTTATGTTCAGCTCATTGGAGCACCTATTCTATTTAAATAGAATGAGAAGTTGTTCACTATAGAATTGCAAATGAAAGCTAATTAGATTTTTGAACCAAATTTGGTGTAATTTTGTCTTTTGACACATTTTCTCATTTCTGAAACTTTAGGACTCTTTATATATTCTGCATAAAAGACTTTTGTTTGGCATACAATTTGCATATATTTGTGTAACTCCACATTTGACTTTTTATTCTCTGATCCATGTATTTCCCAAAGTAAAAGTTTTAATTTTGAGGAATCCAATTTATCACTTTTTCCTTTATGAATCACGCTTTTGGTGTCATGATTAAGACCTCTTTGCCTGATTTCAGGTCATCAGTATTTCCTCCTATATTTTCTTTAAAAGCGTTATAGTTTTTTGTATAACATTTGAATCTATGATCCACTGTGAGTTAATTTTTGTCTAAAGTGTGAAATTTTGGTGAAGTTTTTTTGTTAATAACATATGGATATTCAATTGTTCCAATATCACTGATTGAAAAGCCTAACATTTTTATAATGAATTGTCTTTACTCCTTTCTAAAAATCTCCATTGGCCATATTTGTGTGGGTCTATTCAAGGACTCTCCATTCTATTCCATTAATCTATATGTGTATCCATTAGCCAATTCCATACTGTTTTGATTACTGTAGGTTTATATTACATCTTAAAATTGAGCAGTATGATTCCACCATGATTTTCTGGTTTTTGTTTCAAAATTGTTTTAACTATTCCAGATCCTTTGCCTTTCCATACACTTTTTGAGTCAGCTTGTCTACATGTACAAAAATTCCTGCTAGTAGTTTGACAGCATTGACTTTGAATCTACAGATAGCTTTGGTATAGGTCACACATCTCCACTGAGTCTTGCAGTCCATGAAGATAATATGTTCATATATTTACTTGGACCTCTTTGAATTGTCTTCATTAGCATTTTGTCATTTCTCCACACAGATAGGGACTTATTTTATTGGTTATATAGCAAAGCATTTTATTTTTTAATCTATTAAAACTGATATTTTAAAATATGTTTTCCAATGTTTATTGTCCATTCTTTTTTCCAGTTCAGCCTATAAGAAACTTGAAGTGTCTCTTCCATTGACACAAACAAGTAAAAAGCTGAATAAATTGAAAAAAAAAAAAAAACTTTTCTCAGATTTGCTTAGAGAACTGAGACCACAGGGCAAACTACCAGACCAAAGCTAAAGAAACAGGCAAAATACAGTCACACCTTGGAGATAAGAAGTCCAGGAGCTGAATACCCAAGAACAAGTATCAAGATGGGAAAACCTCATCTCTACGAGATGAATGGCTGGAGGCTCACTATTGGCAAGTTTGAGAGCTCTTGGGGGAACCATGTTAAGGGGACTACCACTGTTTCCAACATCTTCTCTCTAGGAGCCCTGTCAGGTTTTCTCAGTGAAGACCAGGGAAAAATCTCTTCCTACTTCCTGTAAGGAGTTTGGAAAGAATTAATTAGAAAATATGCCCAGAGTGTTCTGTTCTTCTTACCAAGGCCTGAACTCAAGAGAAACTATTTTTCCAGAGTCTAACTTGCTGGGTTTTTTCTAGACTTTAACCAACCTGTGGGAAGGGAAATATCCAATTACAACACCATCCAGCCTTTTGTGTCTTCAAGGGGAAAACAAAACTGAGAAGCACCAGTGAAACCTACAGCCCAGGCACACTGATTCAAGCCTAACACCTAGTCATAGGAGGACAGAACATTTTCCCTCCCTCCACAGCTCACTGCCACATCAATAGGGCAATGAAACTGAAAGAACAGTACATGTCAGACCATAATGAACAAGTATCCAAGGAAAACCAAACACAACCAAGGAGGAAAAATGAAGGACACAAAAGGGAGGTTTAGCTTCTGACACCTACAGCTACAGCAAACAGTAAACACAGCCAGATGAACACAAAGTCTCGCACTAAATGCCTATTTAACTCCATTCTTTTTATCTATTCCATTACATCAAGTTTGCAACAAAAAATTTCAAACCATAATACACAAGAAATGCAGTGTGAAGAGAAAGAGCAGTCATTAGAAACAGACTCATATATGGTAAAGATATTGGAATGATCTGACTGGGAATTTGAAACAACTGTGAGGAATGTGCTGAGGGCTATAAGGAAACAGAAGATAATGTGCAAGAACAGATAAGTAATATCAGCAGAAGGATGGAAACTGTAAGAGTCAAAAGGAAATGCTAAAAATGAAAAATATCACAGCTAGAATGAAGAATGACTTTGATGAGCTGAACAGTAGAATGGACAGAGCAAAGGACACACTCAGTGAATCTGAAGAAATGGCAAGAGCAACTTCCCACTTTTATTGCCATCACATGGAAATATTATTATTGTATATTGGGCTTCTATCTTGTGAGCTTGCTGCACTCACTTATTTGAGAAGCTTTTGTGCAGTTTCCTTGGGATTTTCTGCATAGACAGGCATGTCTTCCAAGGTTAGAAACAATGTTGTATAATATGTTCCATTCTGGGTCCCTCTTATTTATATTTCTTGTTTGATTTCACTGGTAAGAATCCCACTACAATGCTAAATAGGAGTAGTGAGAGGGGAAACCCTTTTCTTGTTTCTGTTCTTAGGAGAAGGCATTCAGTCTTTCACTGCAAACTTTGATATTTGCTCTAGGTTTCCTGGTTCTTGAGATTCAGCTCTGAAAGTAGAGAGTGGGTTTTTGAAGCCACATGGATATTTGCAGTAGGATTTTAATGAGGTTCTTATCCAAAGGTGGAGACTGAACAGGCAAAGAGATGGATGGTGCTCAGAACATCCACCCCCTCATAAGAAGTAGAAGAGAAGCAGCCATCTCCTAAAGCTGAATTCTTACCAAACCTGGGCTTCTCCCAGAGGTGAAAAAATGGTTATTTGGTGGACATACCAACTAGAATTTGAAAAGAATAATTAACCAGCCTTCCACTGCCTCCTGTCTGGCATCTGCCTCTAGGAACATGCTGGCTTTCAGTGTGACTAGTGGCACCTGTACATGTGTTCAGGTAAGAACAGTCATATGGAGGGTAGCAGAGATGATGGGTAAGATTCTGCCCCTGCATCAGATGGAAGGAGGAAATCTTCAGCTTCCCGAGATGATAGATGGTGTTGCAAAGGGAAGTGCAGAAAATGCTATGGAGTGTAGAAGGTGAACTCTCCATGCTGACCTTACAGGATCCTCTTCAAATTTGATGGATTAATGCATTTGATAGCATCTGTCACATAGTAGGCACTTAAAAATTCAGACAATTTTAAGGCAAATCTGGTTTTCTCACAAGTTTCTCTAAAAATGGAGTGCTGTCGTCATAAAAAAGTAGTTTCCATATAGTGTCCTTTACTTCTAGCTGTGTTGAAAGCCATTACTTCTCCACCACGTTTTAAAAATTTTTCTCAGATTGACATCAGACATTTCAGCTTGTGTGATCTATTTAAAGAAATAATTTTTGGTTCCATCAACATCATTTACTGTTTTTTGGAAACTTCTGAAATTTCTATTTCATTAATTGTTCTCTCCTTATTTATATCATCCACATATTTTTGTTTGCCTTTGGCTTTCTTTTCTTTTTCTAATTATGTAAGATCAAAGTTTAGATTTTTTATTTTAGTCCTTTGTTACTTTCTAATATAAGCTTTTAATGACAATGTTTCTTCTAGCCACTCGCTTAGCTGAATTCCACAAAATTTAAAACATATTTCCATTTTCATTTATTTGAAAATATTTTCTAATTTTCTTCAAGAATTTTTTTAAAACATAGATCAGTAAATATATGTGGTTCATTTACATGGGGACTTTACAGATATCTCCTTTATTATATTTTATTTTTTATTCCATTCTAGATTTTTAAAATACACTTTGTACATTTTCAATTATTTTAAATTCATTATGGGCTCATTTAGGGTCTACTTTGGTGAAAATTCCGCATACACTTGAAAACCTTGTATATCCTGCTGCTGTGCTGTGGAGTGTGCAATAAAAATCAATCAGCTCAAGTTGGTTCATTTTGTTCTTCCATTCCTTCTACAACTTTGCAGAATTTCTGTCTACTTCTTCCATCATTACTTAGAAAGGAGCATTGCCATCTCCAAATATAACTGCAGATTTAACTACTTATCCTTTAAGTTCTATTAAATGTTGTTTTGTGTATTTTGAAGCTCTGCTTTTAAGTAAATTAACAGGACTATTGTGTCTTCTTTGTTAATTGACTTTTTTATCATTGCATAATGTCTCTATCCATGGTAATTTTCCTTCTTATAAAGTCAAAAAAAATTATATAATATAGTCACTGCAGCTTACTTTTTAATTTTTTTCTTTAAGTTATCAAACAGTAAATTTTTGGTTTTTTTTTTGGCTTTTGGTGTTCTGTTCTGTGGGCTTTAGCTCATATGTAGATTCATAAAACCACCACCATAATCACGATAGTAACACTTTCATCACCCTCCTCCCCCCAAAATCCCCTCCACCTACTAAACCTTTATAGTTATACCCACCCCTTCACACGTAACCCTGGCAACCACTCATCTGTACTTTGTCATTTCATTTTTCTCTTTCAAGAATATAAGGTAAATAGAATAATAGAATATGTAACTTGTTGAGACTGGCTCCTTTCATAGAGCAAGACACCTTTGAGTTTGATATACTACACATTGTTGTGTATCAATAGTTCATTTCTTTCTATTGCTGAGTGGTATTTCATAGTATGGATGCACCAAAATTTCATTTTCCATTTACCCATGGAAATATATTTGAGTAATTTCCAGATTTTGGCAAATATGACCAGAAATGTTATAAACATTCATGTATGTAAGCTTTTGTGTGAACATAAGCTTTTCTTTTTTCCTTGGGTGGGATTGCTAAGTGTGTTGATATGACATTTGGAAATCATTTTCCATAGTGGTTGTATCATAATTCCCACTAGCAATGTATGAGATTTCAAGTTGTTCTTCATCCTTGTTAGCACTTAGCAATTTTTTTAAAAAAAGTTTCAGTCATTTTCAAATAAGTATTATGGTATCTCATCATGGTTTAATTTGCATTTCCCTAACAGAGGTGATGTAGAATGATTTTTCATGTGCTTATTTGTCATGCATATGTTCACTTCAGTGAAGTGTCTATTGATATCTTTTGGCGCCCCTCTTCCCCCCACAAAAAAAAAATTTGGTTGGTTGTGTTAAATGAATTCATGGGAGACAATTGTTTTGGACTAAGCTCCATTGATAGGCAACAGCAGAACAGACGAAACCAGAATGGAATCACTCATCCTAATTGCCATATAATCAAAATGAAATTTGAAATGGGCCAGTTTTCCAAAAATTAAAAAGAAACAGGAGAGTCACAGCATCCAATGACAAAGAGCCCAGTGTGCTCGAGCAGGCATGGAAAGAAAGTTTTCTCCACTTTTATCATATAAGGAAATCAACTTCAAAATGACCAGTCAACTTTTTGTCCCTTGTTTCTACTTTTCTTCAGCCCTTTCCTGCATATAAAGTCAACCTCTTCTGCTTAGCTCATCAGAACACCCACTCTATTTGATAGAATTAGCAGTTGCACATTCTAGAATCACAAATAAAAGCCAATTAGATAATTGAGCTAAATATAGTGTAATTTGTCTTGTGACACGTATTTTCTAATTTTTGAGGTATTAGGACTCTTTATATAATCTTCATAAAAGACCATATGATTTGCAAATATTTGTCCAATCTCTTGGTTGACTTTACATGCTCTCATCAGAGTTTTTCACAGAGCAAAAGTTTTAATTATGAGGAGGCCCAATTTATCATATTTTCCTTTATGAATTATGCTATTAGTGTCATGTTTAAGACCTCTTTGCCTAACTTCAGACCATTAATATTTCCTCCCATGTTTTCCTTAAAGGTTTTAAAGTATTTACACATAACATTTAGATTTATGATCAACTTTGAGTTAATTTTTGTATAATGTGTGAGGTTTTGGTGAAAGTTTTTTTTTTTAAATAGTTGGATGTTCAATTGTTCCAATACAACTGATTGAAAATGCTAACTTTTTCTTTTTTGAGATGGAGTCTTGCTCTGTCGCTCAGGCTGGAGTTCAGTGGCTCAGTCTCAGCTCACTGTAACCTCCGCCTCCCGGGTTCAAGTAATTATCCTGCCTCAGCCTCCCAAGTAGCTGGGACTATAGGTGTGAGCCAACATGCCTGCATAATTTTTGTATATTTAGTAGAGACAGGGTTTCACCATATTGGCCAGGCTGGTCTCAAATTCCTGACTTCAAGTGATCCACCTGCCTCGGCCTCCCAAAGTGCTGGGATTACAGGCGTGAGCCACCGCACCCAGCCTGAAAACACTAACATTTTTCTAATGAATTGCCTTCACTCCTTTCTAAAAACTCTTTTGGCTAATTTGTGTGGGTCTATTGAAGGACTCTGCATTCTATTCCATATTTATATAAATGCGTCTGTGTGTATCCATTAGCCAATTCCATACTGTCTTGATTACCATAGGCTTATATCAGATTTTAAAATTGGGTAGTATGATTTCCCTATTATTCTGTGTTTTCAAAATTGTTTTACCTATTCCAGCTCCACTGCATTTCCACACACTTGTTAAATCAGCTTGTCTACATCTAGAAAAAAATCCTGCTGCTGCTTTGACCACAGTTTGTCTGAACCTATAGATCACTTTTGTATAGATGATACATCTTCACTGAGTCTTCTAGTCCATGAACACAGTATGTCCATTTATTATTTGGGCCTTCTTTGAAATTTTTTTCATCAGCATTTTGTAGTTTCAACGTCCCGATAATGTACATATTTTGTTAGATATGTACCAAAGCATTTAATTTTTTAATTCTCTTAAAACTGATATTTTTCTAAATGTTTTTTTTCCATCTTTATTGTCCATTCTTGTTTTCAGTTGGGCATGTAAGGAGCTTGAAGTCTCTCTGTTATTGACACAAACAAGAGAAAAGCTGAATAAATTGAAAAACAACTTTTCTTTGATCCCTCAGAGAACTGAGACCATAGGGCAAACTGCTGCCCCAAAGTTCAAGAGACATACAGATACAGTCACAACCCTGGAGACCAGGAGCTAAATACCCAGGAACAAGTACTAGGATAGGCAAACCTCCTCTGCACAAGATGAATGGCTGGAGGCTCAGCATAGGTAAATTTGATAGCTAACAACTCCTGGGGGCGTAATCTTAATGGGGCTAACACATTTTTGGGAGTTTTATCTCCAGGAGCCCTATCGGGTTGTCCCAGTAAAGACCGGAGACAAATCCCTCCCTACTTCCTGTAGGGGGAGTGGAAAGCAGTCATTTGCAAATATGCCCAGAGTGTTCTGTTTTTCTTAACTAGACCGATCTCAAGAGAAACTCTTTTTCTACAGTTTAACCTATTGAGTTTTTTCAGACTCGAATCCACCCAGAGTAAGGGAAATATCCAATTACAACACTCTCCAGCCTTCTTGTATCTCTAAGGGGAAAAGAAAACAAAACTGAGAAGCACTAGTGAAAGCTACAGCTCAGGGCATACTGACTCAAGCCTTCTATCATAGGAGGATAGACAGTTTCTCCTCTCTCCACAGCTTACTACCACGTCAACTGGGGGAAAAATACTGAAAGAACTGTGCATGCTAGACCATACTGAACAGGTTCCCACAGAAAACCAAACACAACCAAGGAGGAAAAATGAAGGACATCACAGGGAGGTTTAGCCTCTGACACCTACAGCTACAGCAAACAGTAAACACAGCCAGATGAAGGTAAACCTCACACTAAAGGCCTATTTAACTCCATTCTTTTCACCCACTACATCATGTCAAGTTTGTAACAAAAAATTTCAAAGTATAATAATAGAACAACAACAAAAAAAAAACCACACACAACCATAGTGTGAAGATACAGAGCAGGCATCAGAAACAGGCTCAGATATGGTAGAGATTTTGGAATGATCTGACCAGGAATTTAAAACCATGAGGAATATGCTCTGTGCTCTAAGGAAACAGTGGATAATATGCAAGAACAAATAAGTAATATTAGCAGAAAGATGGAAACTCATTAAGAAAGAGTCAAAAGGAAATGCTAAAAATAAAAACAAGGTAACAGAAATGAAGAATACCTTTCATGGGTTCATCAGTAGACTGGACAGAGCCAAGGACACATTCAGTGAGCCTGAGGAAACGCAAGAGCAACTTTCCATTTTTAGTGCCATTATATCTATCTTGCGACCTTGCTTGCACTCACTTATTAGTTCTAGGAGTTCTTGTGCAGTTTCCTTGGGATTTTCTTCATAGACAGTCATGTCTTGTGAGGCTACAATGTTATATAATCCATTCCATTCTGAATGCCTCCTATTTTTCTTTATTTATTCCACTGATAAGAATCCCACTGCATTGCTGAATAGGTTCCTTTAAACTTCTAGCTTTCTCAGAGTTTTTATTACGATTATATTGTACTTCCTCAAATGCTGTTTTCTGCTTCAATTAAGATTATCATAAATTTTATAGTCTATTTATATGGTAGATGGCACTGATAAATTATCAAATATTGAACAAAACTTGCATTCCCCAGATAAAACTCACTGTTTAGATATGGCTGAATTCTACTTGCTAATATTTTCTTTGAGATTTTTGCATCGATGTTTATGAAGCATATTGGCCTCGAGTATGTTCATTTCTTTGTATTTCCTAGTTTGTTTGCTTATACTGTCAGCCTGGTGATATTACGATGATGTTAACCTGATGATTCTGGAAACATTCATTTTTCATCTATTTTATGAAAGAGGGTATAAAAATTAGTGTTGCTTTTTCTTTAAATATTTGTAAGAAATCTCCAGTGAACCTATCTGGATCTACAGATTTCTTTCTCAGAAAGATTTTTACTATGAAATCAATTACTTTAATAGCTAGGATACTATTCAGGTTATCCATTTCACCTAAGGTGAGTTCTGATATTTTGAGTTTGGGGGGAATTTCATTTCATCTTAAGTTTCATCTCAGTTCTTGAATTTTTCTGCATAGATTTGTTCTTAGTATTTAATTTTTATCCTTCTCATGTCTGCAGTTTCTGTCATGATATTTCCTGTTTCCATCATAACCTTAATAACTTGTGTCTTCTCTCTTTGTCTGGCTGACTTGAGTTCCATCCATTGTCTTGGTCCTTTCAAAAAACCAGGTTCTGGTTTCCCAGATTTTTTCTATCTCTTTTCTGATTTCAGTGTCAATGATTTCTGTTTCCTGTTTTCTTTCTTTCTGCTTGCTTTGGATAAATCTGTTTACTTCTTTTTCTGTTAAGGTACAAGCCTGGATTATTTATTTGAGATCTTTGTTTATCTTAATATAAGTATTATGTGGTATAGTTTTCTCTTTAAAAACTGTTTTAGCTGCAACCAGCCATAAAAAAGGATGAGTTCATGTCCTTTGCAGGGACATGGATGAAGCTGGAAACCATCATTCTCAGCAAACTACCACAAGGACAGAAAACCAAACACTGCATGTTCTCACTCATAGGTGGGAATTGAACAATGAAATCACTTGGACACAGGGTGGGGAACATCACATACCGGGGCCTTTTGGGGGGTAGGGGGCTGGGGGAGGGATAGCATTAGGAGAAATACCTAATGTAAATGACAAGTTGATAGGTGCAGCAAACCAACATGGCACATGTATACCTATGTATCAAACCTACATGTTGTGCACATGTACCCTAGAACTTAAAGTATAATACAAGTAAAAAAAGTTAGATGTGGAAATGCATGTTTTTAAAAAAGCTACTTAGGCAGTTGTGGTACACAGGCACATGGAAAAGGTGACTCTGAAAATGCTCTGAGAAGCAAAAGAGCCAGTTCTGAGTGTGCTCTGAGGTCATCTATGGAGGGCTCAGGAGGTGTTTTGGTAGTTCTCAAATAATTTAAACATTTTGTTTATTTATACTTCATAAATTTAAATTGTAGTTTATGATTTTTTCAGTTTCTCTACATTTTTCATAAAAATTGCTTTCTTAAAAATGGTTCATGAATCATAAAGTCTATCTGATCATTTAATCTTGACTAATATTTAGTTAACCTGGGGCACTTTGGTCTTCATAAACATGTTTTTATTTTATATTACTATGGGTTTTTGTTTATAATTTATTGATTTCTATTATGTAATTTTATACCATCACCATAAATCAAAGGCTTAAAAAAACTGTATTAGCTGCAACCTACAAGTTGTGATATGTTACTTTTCCATTTTAATTTAGTTCTATGGATTTTTTAATTTCCTTGAGACTATGTTTGACCCTTGGATTGTTGAAGATTTTGTTGTGTAATTATCCTGCAGTTTGAGAATTTTCTGTTGTACTTAAGCTATTGGTTGTTTTCTAATTTGATGCCATAAAGTTCAAAGAATGTACTTTTGGTGATTTGAATTTTTTAAAAGTTGTTGTTTGTTCTATGACTGAGGAAATGATCTACCTTGGTGAGTTTTCCATGTGTGCTTTAAAAAATGCATATTCAGATGTTGTTGGTACCATGATATTTCTATCCATAGTGTTTGTGAGTCACCCTGGGCCAAGGCTGAGAGCTGAATGATGATCTATCCCTAAATCATTTCTCCAGTCCTTGGTAAATATAAAAATTTCTACATGGCACCTTAGGTTGAGACCGGGAATTTCTACTCAATTTAGTGTGTTCCTTTTCTTACATTTGCTATTCTTAGTGATCTCCTCCATGCTCACTTGGTCCCAGGTGACTCCCTCTGATCCTCTAGCTAAAACATGGATCTTTCATCTCCTCACACAGCTGTGCATTTCCCTTGAAAGGGTCTGGCTAGGTAGCCAAGTGGCAGGAGAATAGAGAGAGGAAAATAACAGAAGGGATTCCTCTCACACTAGTTTTTTTCTGACAGCTTCTTTCATGTTTTTTTCCTTTGGTTTTCTACAGTTGGAATATGATATGCATAGATATATACTTTCAGCATTTATCTTGCTTGATGTTTTGAGATTCCTGAATATGTGTTTTCATGTCTGTCATTTATTTGGGGGAAATTATACCCTTTACCACTGCAAGTATTTATTTCGTTCCTTTCTCCTTTTCTTGTTCTTCTGGTATTCCAATTATGCACAGTTACACCATGTGTAGTTGTCCCACATTTCTTGAATATTCTGTTCCATCTTTTTCCTTCCTTTTTTCACTTTGAATTCCAGTTTTGAAAGTTTCTGCTTTCATTTCTTCAGGCTTTTTCCTTGTTTCCTCAGCCATGTCCTATCTACTGAGGAGTTAAATAAGACATTCTTCATTTTTGTTACAATGAATTTTTTTATTTTATTTTTCTAATAAAACATTTTTATTGTGGTAAAATACACACAAAATTTATCCTCCTAACAATTTTAAGTATACAGTTCAGTGGTAATAAGTACATTCATAATCACCACCATTCATCTCAGGAACTGTTTTCCTCCGGCAAAACTGAAACACTCTACCTGTTAAGTATTACTTCCCCATTCCCTCTTACCCACAACCTCTGGCAACTACCTTTCTACTTTCTGTCCTTATGAATTTGACCACTCTAAGTACCTCATGTAAGTGGAATCATACAGTACTTTTTTGTGACTGACTTTTTTCATTTAGCCTAATGTCCTCAAGGGTCATGCGTGTTGTATTCTATGCCACAGTTACCTACCCTTTTAAGGCTAAATAATATCACCGTGTGTGTGTGTGTGTATACATATATATACCCTGCAGTTTGAGAATTGTGCATATACATACATATATATCACATTTTTAAATTCATTTTTTAATCAATGGACACATGGGTTGCATCTACATTTTAGCTATTGTGAATATGGCTGCCATAAATATGGATATACAAATATCTCCTTCAGAGTGTTCTTTCAGTAATCCTGGGTATATACTCAGAAGTGAAATTGCTGACTCATATGGTAATTCTATTTTATATTTTGTAAGAAATCACATATTGTTTTTCACAACAGTTATATCATTTTACATTCCAACAACACAAAAGTTCCAGTATCTCTACATCCCTGCCAATACTTGTTATTTCCTGGCTTGTCATTGTTCAATAGTGGCCCCTTCTAGGCCCTAGGTCCTGGATGATATTTCTAGGCACAACCTGTGCCAGAAGGGAATCTGCTGCCTTGAAGGGAAGTATCCAGTTCAGGCAGAATCTATCAGCTGCTAACCAAAGATCCCTTTGACTCTGAATAACCAGCAGTGATTCCCAGGTAGTATGCCATGGGCCTTACATGAGACTCTGAGACATACTGGCTTCAGGTGACACCCAGAACATTGCCAACTGTGGGAGTTATGGTAAGAGACTCCTTATGCTTGAGGAAAGCAAAGGGAAAAGGGGACTTTCACTTGCACCTTAGGTACCAGCTCAGCCACAGTGGGGTAGAGTACCAAGCATGCTCTTTGGGTCCCTAGTTCCAGGTCTTGGCACTTGGATGGCATTTTGGGGCCTGCCCTGGGCCAGAGGTGGAGCCACTGCCCTGAAGGGTACGTTCCAGACATGGCAGAATTCACCACAAGCTGACTAAAGAGCCACTGGGCCTAAGTGAACATCAATGGTAGCCTGTCAGTACTCCCATGGGCCTATAGAAGTGGTGGCCATGAGATGAGGCTCCTCTGCCTATGGAAAAGGGAGAGATCAGGTAGGACTGTATCTGATGGTTTGATGGCCAGTTCATCCACAGCAGAGGAGAATGCAAGGCAGACTTCTGAAGTTTTTTACTCTAGCCCCTAGGTCCTGGACGGCATTAATGGACCAGCCTGGGGCCTGGGGGAGCTCACTACCCTAATGGGAAGGATGCAAGCCTGGTCGGCTTCACCACCTGCTGATTGTAGAGCCCTGGGGCCTTGAGTGAACTTAGGTGGTAGCCAGGTAGTGATTACAGTGGGCCTTGAGCAAGACTCTGTGCTGTGCTAACTTCAGTTCCGGCCTAAAACAGCCACATGGGTGCTTGTGTCACCTCAACCCCAGCCCTAGGCAGCTCAGCAGATAGAGAGAGACTCTGTTTGTTTGAGAGAAAGGAAGAGAACAAGTCTCTGCTTGGTAATCCAATGAATTCTTGCAGATCTTATCCAAAACCACCTAGGTGTGGTACCTCTATGAGTCTGCAAGAACCACAGCATTACTGTGCTTGGGGTGGCCCCTAATGCAGAAACAGCTTAGATTACAACACCCAAGTCATTCTAAATACCTGGAAAGCCTTCCCAAGAAGGAGGGGTATAAATAAGCCCAGACTGTGAAGAATACAATACCTAACTCTTCGTGTCTAAACACAGGCAAACATCAATGAGCATCAAGATCATCCAGGAAAATACGACCTCAGCTAATTACCTAAAATGTCTCCCAGTAAAAACAGCCCAGAACCCACTGGCTTCATTGCTGAATTCTACCAAACATTTAAAGGAGACCTAGCAGGAGTTTGAGACTCGCTTGGCCAACATGGCAAAACCCCGTCTCTATTAAAATACAAAAATTAGCCAGGTGTGGTGGCGCAGGCCTATAGTCCCAGCTACTCAGGAGGCTAAGGCGGGAGAATCGCTTGAAACTGGGAGGCAGAGGTTGCAGTGAGCCAAGATCCCACCACTGCACTCCAGCCTCGGCAACAAAGGGCAAAACTCCGTCTCTAAATACATATATATATATAATATATATTAACATATATTTATATTAATATATAAATATTATAATTATAATCTATAAATATATTATATATTACTATTTATATATTAATATATATTACTATTTATATATTAATATATTACTATTTATAAATTAATATATTACTATTTATATATTAATATACTACTATTTATATATTAATATACTACTATTTATATATTTATATATGAATATTAATGTATAAATATATTTATAGATATTAATATCTATTAATATATAAATATATTTATAGATATTATCTATTAATATATTTATAGATATTAATATCTATTAATATATAAATATATTAATATCTATTAATATATTTCTATATCAATATATTAATAGATATTAATATATTTTTATATATTTATATATTAATACATATAAATATATTAATATATTTATATAAACATATATTAATATATATTTATATTTATACAAATATATATTAAGATATAAATATATATAAATATATATATATTTATATAAATATATATAAATATATATTTATATATATATAAATATATATTTATAAATATATATA
Source organism: Homo sapiens (assembly GCF_000001405.40). Classification (NCBI taxonomy): domain Eukaryota; kingdom Metazoa; phylum Chordata; class Mammalia; order Primates; family Hominidae; genus Homo; species Homo sapiens. The sequence continues at coordinate 149,911,228 of NC_000023.11, forward strand.
AATATATATTTATATATATATAAATATATATTTATATATATATATAAATATAGATATTTATATAGAAATATATAAATATAGATATTTATATAGAAATATATAAATATAGATATTTATATAGAAATATATAAATATAGATATTTATATAGAAATATATAAATATAGATATTTATATAGAAATATATAAATATAGATATTTATATAGAAATATATAAATATAGATATTTATATAGAAATATATAAATATAGATATTTATATAGAAATATATAAATATAGATATTTATATAGAAATATATATAGATATTTATATAGAAATATAGATATTTATATAGAAATATAGATATATAGAAATATAGATATTTATATAAATATTTATATATATTTATAAATATATATTTATATATTTATATATATTTATATATATTTATATATATATTTATATATATTTATATAAATATATATATTCATATATTTATATAAATATATATATTCATATATATAAATATATATATTCATATATATAAATATATATATTCATATATATATATAAATATATATATTCATATATATTTATATATTTATATATATATTGATATAAATATATATAAATATATTTATATATTATATATTTTATGTATATAAATATATTTATATATTATATATTTTATATATATTTATAAATATATGTATATTTTATATATATGTTTATATATGTATATATATTCATAAATGTAAATATATGTATATTTATAACCAGAAGTATATGTATATTTATAACCATAAATATATATATTTATATAATAAAGAAGACCTAGTTCCAATCCTGGTCAAACCATTTCAAATCAAAAAGTACGGGAGGAAGGAATACTTCCAAACTCATTCTACAGCCAGTATTACCCTGATACCCAAACCAAAGACACACCAAAATAAGAAAACTACAGGCAAATCTCACTGAAGAATATAGATGCAAAAATCCTCAACAAAATATTAGTAAGCCAAATTCAACAACACATTAAAAAGGTCATTCATTATGACCAAGTGAGATTTATCCCAGGGGTGCAAGAAATAGTTTAGCATATACAAATAAATCAATGTAATGTATTATATCAACAGAACGAAGGACAAAAACCACATAATCATTTCAACTGCTGCTGAAAAACCATTTCACAAAATTCAACATCCCGTCATGATTTAAAAAAACACCCCTCAAAAGGTGGAGGTTGCAGTGAGCCAAGATCGCACCACTGCACTCCAGCCTGGCGACAGAGCAAGACTCCATCTCAAAAAACAAACAAACAAACAAACTGAAAAATCTGGGTATTGAAGAAACACGCCTCAACACAATAAAAGCCACGTACGACAGACTCACAGCTGGTATCATACTAAATGGAGAAAAACTGAAAGCTTTTCCTCTAAGATCTGCAGTATGACAAGGATGCCCACTTTCACCAGTGTTATTTGGCATATCACTAGAAGTCCTAGCTAGAGCAATCAGACAAGAAGAAATAAAGGGCATCTAAGTTGTAAAAGAAGAAGTCAAATTATCCTTGTTTGCAGATGATACAAACTTATATTTGGAAAAATCGAAAGACTCCACCAAAAAACTATTAGAATTGATAAATTCAGTAAAGTTGCAGGATACTAAATCAACATACAAAACTTAGTAGCATTTTTATATGACAACAGTAAATAATCTGAAAAAGAAATCAAGAATGTAATCCTTGATTACAAGAGCTACAAATAAAATAAAATAACTAGAAATTCATTTAACCAAAGAAGTGAGATTTCTACAATGAAAACTATAAAACACTGATGTAAGGAATTGAAGAGGACACCAAAAAAATAGGAAGATATTCTATGTTTATGGATTGGAGGAATCAATATTGTTAAATGTCCATACTATTCAAAGCTATCTATAGATTAAATGCAATCTCAATCAACATACCAATAATATTCTTCACATAAATATAGAAAACAATCCTAAAATTTATATAGAATCACAAAAGACCCAGAATAGCCAAAGCTATCCTACTAATAAAGAACAAAACTGGATTAATCACATTACCCAATTTCAAATTATACTATAGAGCTACAGTAACCTAAATAGCATGGCACTGGCATAAAAACAGACACATAGATGAATGTAACAGAAAACAAAACCTAGAACTAAATCTATACATCTACAGTCAACTTATTTTTGACAAAGGTGGCAAGAAGATACGTTGGAGAAAACAGTCTTTTCAATAAATGTCTGCTGGGAAAACTGGATATCCATATGCAGAAAAATGAAACTAGACCTCTATTTCTTGCCATATATAAAAATCAAATCAAAATGAATTAAAAACTTAAATCTAAGACCTCAAACTATGAAAAGACTAAAAACATTGGGGGAAACTCTCCAGCACATCAATCTGGGCAAAGATTTCTTGAGTAATCTTTGCAAGCACAGGCATGGGCAACCTAAGAAAAAACGGATAAATGGGATCGCATCAAGTAAAAAATGTTCTTCACAGCAAAGGAAAAAAATCAACAAAGTAAAGAGACAACCCACAGAATATATTTGTACACTATTCATCTCATAAGGGATTAATAACCAGAATATATATGGAGCTCAAACAATTCTATAGGAAAAAGTGTAATAATCCAATTCAAAATGAGTAAAAGATCTGAAGTTTGAATAGATATTTCTCAAAAGAAGACATATAAGTTGCTAACAGTATATGAAAAGGTGCCCAACATCACTGATATCAGAGAAATACAAATCAAAACTACAGTGAGATATCATCTCATGCCAGTTAAAATGACATTTATCCAAATGCTGGTGAGGATGTGGAGAAAATGGAACACTGTTGGTGGGAATGTAAATTAGTACAACCACTATGGGAAAGTTTGGAGGTTCTGCAAAAAACTAAAAATAGAGCTATCATATGATCCAGCAATCTCATTGGTTGGTATATACCCAAAAGGAAGAAATCATTATATTGAAGGAGATATCTGCACTCCCATGTTTAGTGTAGCACTATTCACAATAGATAAGATTTGGAAGCAACCTAAATGTCCATCAATGATAGATTGGATTAAGAAAATGTGGTACATACACACTATGGAATACTATGCAGCCATAAAAAGGGTGAGTTCATGTCCTTTGCAGGGACATGGATGAGGCTGGAAACCATCATTCTCAGCAAACTAACACAAGAACAGAAAACCAAACACCACATGTTCTCACTCATAAGTGGGAGTTGAACGATGAGAACACATAGACACAGGGAGGGGAACATCACACACTGGGGCCCGTCAGGGGGTGGGGGGCTAGGGGAGGGATAGCATTAGGAGAAATTCCTAATGTAGATGACGGGTTGATGGGTGCAGCAAACCACCATGGCACGTGCATACCTATGTAACAAACCTGCACGTTCTGCACATATACCCCAGAACTTAAAGTATAATAAAAAAAAAAAGAAAAGAAAATGTGGCACCTACACACAGTGGAGTACTATGCAGCCCTAAAAACTAATGAGACCCTGTCATTTGCTACAACATGGATGGAACTGGAGGACATTATGTTTAGTGAAATAAGCCAGGTACAGAAAGACAAACTTTGCATGTTCTCACTTATTTGTGGGAGGTAAAAATACAAACAATTGAACTCATGGAGACAGAGAGTAGCAGGATGGTTACCAGAGGCTGGGAAGGGTAGTTGGGGGTGGAAGGGGGAAGTGAGCATGATTAATGGATACAAGAAATAGAAAGAATAAGATGTAGTATTTGATAGCACAACAGTGACTATAGTAAAACATGATTTAATTGTACATTTTAAAATAACTAAGTATAATTGGATTATTTATAACACAAACGGTAAATGCTTGAGGTGGTGAATATTCCATTTACACTGATGTGATTATTACATGTTGCATGCCTGTATCAAAATATCTCATGTAATCCATAAATACATACACCTACTATGGGTACTATGTGTCCATAAAAAATAAAATAAATGAAAAATTGTCAATTTGAAACAACTGTGCATCTCAAACTTCATTTAAGAAGTCTCTAGGGAAACCCAAGATGACAGGGGCAGACCAAAAAAAAAGGAAACCAGAAGAAAGTTCAACCTCCAATGCCTCTAGCTTCACAAAACAGCTCTGCCATATGCTGAGTCTGTTTCTGATACTCATTCTTTCCAACCTATGTTATTTTTCTTTTACTATGCCTTGTAATTTTGTTGTTGTTGAAAACCAGACATCTGGAGGTCTCTCCATTCAAGATGCAGACTTCATCCAGTCCCCTGGGTCTGGTCTGGTACACCATGCCCCACTCTGTGCCTTGTGACTCTATATCCAGAGGCTCTCTTTTCAGTTTTTCTGAAGGATGCCGTCCTGCTTCTTGCTAATAGGACTGAAAATTGGGGGACTCTGTCCCTTACATAGACTCACATAACTCCCTTGTTTTCAGCCTGCACTTCTTGCTCACCTTCTGCAGTAGCTGGTGCCTTGGGTTCCTGAGCCTTTCTTCAGACACTTGGTTTGACCTTTCCTGCCACTGTCCTCTGCTTGTACAACAGAGTTCTGAGTTACAAATGTCTTCTGGTGTTGTCCAAAATTGAGTTGTGATTCTGGTTCTCATTGTCTTGTGGTTTGGGGGTGAATTCAGTAGAAGAAGGCAGAAACGTCTTGCCTTCATAAATCTGGAAGTTTTCTTGAAGTGCCTAGCTGCCTGGAAGATAGTCTCCATGGAGTGATTTTGCAATGAGACTGAATTATATAAAAATACCTTCATAATTTTAAAATTACAGTACCATTATTTTAAATGTATGACTATCTAAACCTATGAAGAGAATGATTTGGTTTTATAAACATTGACAAAATGTGGGCTTTCTTAAAAAAGTTTTTTGTTTTAGTATGTTATTATCAAAGCTAGGTGATTTTACCTTTGGATTGAGGAAGATCACTTTTGAGACCCCATCCTAAGAAAAATAATTCAAGACGAGCACTAAATGAAATTGATCACTACAATGTTAAATATAATTGTGAAAAATGGGATGATCTAAATGTCTAATGAGAAGAAAACTGATATGTGAATATACTAGAATGGTCTATTCAATATGGAAAATACATCATTGTACTAAGTGAAAGAAGCTTAATGCAAAGTTGACTTCATGCTCTGGTTATAAGTGTGTACTATACCCATTATTATCTTTGTTTTGCAAATTCTTCATCCGTAAAATGAGATAGTAAAATAACTATCTTACATAATCGTCATGGGAATTAAAGGAAGCAATGCTCCTAAAGTTTTCAGCTTGTGCCTTGCACACAGTAAATGTACAATCAATGCTAGCTACTACTGCTACTGCTGTTACACAATGCAATGGTATATGTGTAAAGGTTGTGGGACTATGTGTGTTCCATTACCATTTTTTTAATATTACTTGTTCAATAAAAAAAAATCAACACACACAAAACATTACCTCCATAAATAAACATTTCTATTATTTTTAAAAATATATATAATGTACTGGGTAAATGGAATTGAGGAAAATAGGCCTTTACAGTGATAGTTTATTTTTATTTGACTAAGAGTTAGACTGTGTTTACTGTTTTGTGGAGCTAGAGGCATCAGAGGTTGAACTTTCTTCTGGTTTCCATTTTTTTGGTCTGCCCCTGTCATCTTGGGTTTCCCCAGAGACTTTTTAAGTGAAGTTTGAGATGCACAGTTGTTTCAGTGCCACGTAGTGGTAAGGCGTGGAGGAGAGGAAGTGTTCTACACACCTATGAGTAGGCCTCAGTCTTTTTGCTAGCCTGTGCCCCTTGCTGTGACCTGCACAAGTGCTTTTCATTTCCTCCTTGCAATCCTTCCAGGGTTTTTGGATGAAATTTCTTATCAGAGAGTAGGAATCACTGCCTGGAGTGTTTATGTGCCTGCCCAGCTGTGGTTGATGCTGCCGCCACAGGTTACAGATTCAGGACAGAGGCTGGCCTGGAGGCAGAGCAAGCAAGATAAAAAGGTTCTGTCCCTCATTATCTGTATGCTGTAAAGGCCTCTCTTCCTAGCTCTTGGTCAGTAAAGAAAAATCTTTCTCATAGATCTCTTTCTGTCCACACCTCTTGTGCAGTTCTCATATTTGGGCTGACTGTGACTCCAGGCTTAGAGATACAACAGGAAAACATGGTACAGGAATTTTCACTGCCATATTGATCTTACTTCAAGTCTGGTTTCTTTCCCCAATGCTCTTGTTACTATTTACTTTTTAGAAACCTAACCATTTTGTTTTAGAACAGAGTTGGATTTACAGAAAAGCTGCATAGATAGGACTCGGAGTTTCCTTCACAAAATGGGTGGAACAATAGAATCTATGGATGTTTGCAAAGCATTGAGAACAGTCCTTGAGACCTAAGAAGCACTTAAGCAAGCTTGGCCATTATGATTCTTCTCAGCAGCGTCCTAATCTGAAATTCCCTGGAGTGGGAGACGGAAGGGATGGACAGGTGTGTCAGGGTCCCCAAAATGAAATGGGGGAACCCAGACCACTGAATCAGGTCTAGTAGCTCACTAGGAGAACTCATGGGACTCATGATATAGTCCTACCCACGACGACAACTTACTACAGTGAAAGGATACCAAGCACAATCAGCAAAGGGAAAGGGTGCACAGGGAGAAGTGCAGGAGACCAGACACAAGTTTCCAGAGTCATCTCATCTCCCAGTAGGGTCACATAGAACGCACTTAATTCCCTCACAACAAGGTGTGACCACACATGTAAAATGCTGCCAACCAGCGGAGCTCAGTAAAACCTCATCACCCATGAGTTGAACTTGGCACTGGTCACATAAGCAGTTCTGCCTGGCATGAACCAAAATTCCAGACTCCCAGGAGGAAAGCAGTGTGCAGCTTTTTGTTTGCATAAGCAGCTTGGGTATAGTGAACCACCCTGATCAGTTCTGAGAAAGGTGGAATCCCTCCCAAATCCAAGTCCTGAGAATCCAGCCAATGGATAACACTGAAAGCAGCAGGCTTTGCCAAAGATAGCAGTGAGGCCTGCTGTGTGAACTCTTTTCTTCACAGTGCACCCCACTGGCCAAGGCATATTACAGGAAAATTATCATAGGACCTGACACAACAGGGTGGAAACCAAGCTGCATATAGATGTCACTTGTGCCTGTTAGGGGTCCTGTACTGAACCAGTTAACACAAACCCCATTAACCAAAGAGATGTATCTTAGACAGTCACGTGGCTTCCCTCTTAAATTTCAGTACTTTTTCTTTATACTTGGCCAATTCAATCAATTGGGGCATCAATTCAGGTAAAACACAGCTCTGGACAGGAAGTTCGAGCTGACCTGGAAGCCATCCAGGGCTGAGGCAGTGTCATGACAGGCAGGGCACATAAGCTGTACAATACCCGAGCATACACATGGTCTCCCTGCAAACTCAGAGTGTACCATAGTTTGGGCAACACAAGAGGGTGTACCTAAGTCAGGCAGCACAGGTTAACAGTACCACACTGTGGCCTGTTTTCCAGTACAGGCTATATAGTCCAGTTCCATCCTTGGTTTCCCTTGCAGACAGTTTGGCTTGTGCATGACAGATCCAGAGGACACCTGGAGGCGCTCTAAGGGAAACATGGAGAAGCTCGGGCCACCTCCTCTGTCCCTTAGTCGGTGGGGTCAGGTGTGGTCTCAGGCATGGCCATCATTTTGGATACACAAAACTTGCAGAAGCTTTCAAAGGCAGCATGGGGTGTTTTCCTTCAGCAAGAGGTGAAAGCTTTCAGGAATAGTTCTGAAACACCAAGATCACAATGCCTTCTCCCACACCTCTACAGATGTCTCATTCTCTTTTTCCTCCATCCTTATAAAATCAGCATGGCCCACTCAACAATAAAAGCTTTACATTGCTTCAGTCATCTCTTACCCTCCCCCTGGCCTTCTTGCCTGGCAGGGCTATATGAAAGAGAGATGACACTGTTTTTACAGAAAAACACTGTCATACAGCATCATGAGAACAGAAAGGCCCCTCATGTTTAGGAAGCAGTCAGGAAGAAATCCCGCATTTCCAAAAGATTCCAAAATGGGTTTACTCCTTTTCATCCTGCTCATTTATGCAGTGAGCAGTGTAGAACAACAATTTAAAAAATAATAATCCCTCCCTGGGCACAGCTGCATTTGATAATCCTACTGCCTGACTTGTAGGCCAGAAGCAAGGAAAGAAAGTAGCCAGGCTGTCTGTCCACTTTCCCAAACTGAAACTAATGTGGATCGCTGGACACAAGTCACCAGCAGTGGACATCACAGAGAGAAGGTCTAAGACTGATCTGTCACAATTGGGCAGAGGGATCACAATTCCTGTTGGGTGCCCTCCCTCAATGTGCAGCTTTTGACAGCATTACCAGTAAAAAATGCAACCTGTCTACATCAAAAATACAGTGTTCATGAACAGCTCCACTCTCGCTGGCCCCACCAGAGAACAATCCCCTCATCATGGGCATCTGCAAGAGATGCAGACAGTCCAGGACAGCATCTAGGTTGTGACAGTTTCTAACTCCAGAGAGGGGTGTTCAAAACCTACCAGGATCACAGGGTCAAAGACCCCTCCAGTGCATCGAGCTATGCCTGCTTTCTGTTCAGCACAGCTTGACATGAGTCTGAAACAGCCCAGAGTGGACATTTTTGGGTTTTAGCTTAGAGTCGAGACAAGCCTATTGTAATTTGTGACTTCTGGGTTCCAAAACAGTCAGAGAGTTTTCTACTGCAGCAGGAAAGCTGAGATGCTTCAAGACCAGACAACAGCAGCATTCCATGTCCCAGTGAGAAGCCTGCCTGGTGTGCTTTTCTAAGGCCTTCTGGCCTTATCAGTTTAACAGTCCAAACAGACCCCCTAAAATCACACACCTCAGCTCAGATAATCATCAACCTCTAAGTGCGAGACTCCAAGTTCAGCAGAGTTCATTGCACACTGTGCAGGATTAGGGGGTTGATCAAGAAAAATGCTATGACCAACCAGGGGCAGTACCACACAAACAACTTTATTGGGTGGTGCTTGGATAGGGTAGCAGAAGCGGGGACATCCTCAGAGTAAAAGACTGTCTAGAGTTTATGGGTGTGGGATCACCATCAAATGGGGAGGAAGGCAAGAGAACTGCTGGGGGAGATGGAAATTGGAGAAGGAGCTTATGAGTCTAAGTGATGTTTCTCAGCAGCTAGACAGTGTCTTGGGGGTCTTCTAACCACAAGGCTCCATCTTATCTATGGTTAGCACATGTGGGGTGAGGTTTACCAGGGTATGAAAGCCAGGAAGGCCTCCAATGCCTAACAATCTTCCTGGTTGAGCTATGTTGAAAACAATTTAGAAGTATGAAAATCTGGGTTTTATGCTGGTGGACTTCTGAGCCAATAGGTCTCAGTGTGGAGGAGAAAAACAATAGAGAAATGTCAGTGGTGTTGCAGGAGAGCTGAAATGCTGCAATGAAACCAGCAAAAACCAGCAAGGTAAAAAGAAAAAGAAAAAGAAAAAGAAAAAAGAAAAAAGAAAAAGAAAAACCAGCAAGGCTTTCCTCCAACCTAGGGGCTATACACACAAGTCACCTTTGGTGCTTTTATAGAACACAAGCTGAAAATTTCCTTTAAAATCCCTGAAGATGTATCTCTACCTGGAGACTGCCTCTCTTTTCCATATGGACTTCCTTTTTCCAGGGAACCCAAGAGGCAAGAATTATCACCTACAGAGGCTCTATGTGCTATACTTGAGTTTAACACACACACACAGACATGCACAGTGTGTGTGTTCAAGCATTAGATATTAATTCAGAATAATTTTAACACAATTGCTCACAAACATTGTTACAAAAGGCTTTTAAGATACTGTAGAAAAGAAAACCAGCATATTTTACTCTGAGCAGGGCAACAGGATAAATTAATTAATTTTTAAAAACGTGCACGGCCAGGCGTGGTGGCTCACGTCTGTAATCCCAGCATTTTAGGAGGTTGAGGCGGGTGGACCACGAGGTCAAGAGATCGAGACCATTCTGCCCAACATGGTGAAACCCCGTCTCTACTAAAACTACAAAAATTAGCTGGGCATGCTGGCACATAATCCCAGCATGTAATCCCAGTTACTCGGGAGGCTAAGGCAGGAGAATCACTTGAACCTGGAAGGCGGAGGTTGCAGTGAGCCAAGATCACACCACTGCATTCCAGCCTGGCTACAGAGCGAGACTCTGTCTCCAAAAAAAAAAAAAAAAAAAAAAAAAGCAAATTATGAGCATCCAGGTGTCCCTGTCTACAGTAAGAGTGGAAAGATGGCTGATAAGCAAACCAAGCAAAGCCTCCTTTAGAAAGACTCATTAACTCAGGGGCCTGTGTGAAACAAACTTCAGGGGATGCCACTGCTGTGGACTAGCCTCCTTCCCTAAGCCCCGGCTGACCAGACCCAACCAGAATGGGGTCACTTGTGCCGAATGCCACATAATTATACTGAACTTTCAAAGGGGCCAATTAAAAAAAAATACAAAAATACTCAGAAGGTTCAGTCAACCTGAGTCAGTGTTATAAGCGTGTCCCCTCATCTTTTAACTCTAGAAGGAAAGTAACTTTGAAATGACTGTGTTGGTCACTTTTGCACTGTTATAAAAGAATACCTGAGGCTGGGTAATTTGTCAAGAAAAGAGGTTCATTTTGACTCGCATTTCTGCAGGCTGTACAGGAAGCATGGCGTCATCATAGCCTTCTTGTGAGGGCTCAGGAAGCTTCCATTCATGGCAGAAGGCAAAAGAGGAGCTGGCATATCACATGGCGAGTGAGAGAGCAAGCAAGAAAAGGAGAAGCTGCCAGGCTCTTTTAAATAACCAGATCTCATGTGAACTCACAGACAGAGAGAACTCACTCATTATTGTGAGGACAGCAGCAAGTTATTTATAAAGGACCCACCCCCATGACCCAAACACCTCTCCCACTAGGCCCACCTCCAACATTGGAGTTCACATTTCAACATGATATTTGAAGGGCACAAAATACCCAAGCTGTTTCATTCTGCCCATGACCCCCCAACAAATCTCACATCCTTTTTGCACTGCAGAATACAAGCATCCCTTCCCAATAGTTCCCCAAAAGTCTCAACTCATTTCAGCATCAACTCAAAATTCCAAAATCTGAGACTCAAGGCACGTTTCTTCCAACTATGAGCCTGTAAGATAAAAAAACAAGTTATTTACTTCCAAGATACAATGGTGATCCAGGCATTGGGTAAATATTCCAATTCCAAAAGAGATAAATCAGCCAAAAGAAAGGGGCAACAGGCACCACACAAGTCTGACACCCAGCAGGGCTGTCATTAAATCTTAGAGCTCCAAAATAATCTCCTTTGTCTCCATATTCTGCATCCAGGGCACAGTGATGGAAGGGGTGGGATGCCAAGGCCTTGTGCATACCCATCCCTGTGGCTCTGCAGGTGCAGCTCCCATGGCTACTCTCACTGGTTGGAGTTGAGTGCCGGTTGCTTTTCCAGGTTCAGAGTACAAGCCGCTGGTGGCTCTACCATTCTCAGCCACCTTCCCACAATCCCACTCAGCAGTACCATGATGACTCTGTGCAGGGGCTCCAACCCCACATTTTCCATGAGCACTGTTCTAGTAGAGTCTCTCTGTAGGAGCTCGACCCTTGTGGCAGGCTTTTCCCTGGGCACTCAGGCTTTTCAACACATACACCCTCTGAAACCTAGGTGGAAGCTGTCAAGCCTTTTTCACTCTTGCATTCTGTTCTCCTGCAGACATAACACCATGGGGAAGCCACCAAGTCTTATAGCTTGTGTCCTCCAAGGCAGTGGCCTGAACTGTATCTGGGGCACTTTGAGCCATGGGTGGAGCTGGATCAGCCAGATGCAGGTAGCAGTGTCCAAAGGCTACAGAGAGCAGCAGGGCCCCAGGCTTGGCCCCCAAAACCATTCTTACCCACTAGGCTTCTGGGCCTGGGATGGGAGGGGCCTAGATTTCTGAAATGCCTTCAAGGGCTTTTTCCCATTGTTTTAGATAGTAGCACTTGGCTCCCTTTTAGTCGTGCAAAGCTCTCCAGCAAGTGGTTCCTCAGCATCCTGCTTGGTTTCTTCTCCGAAAATGCTCTTTCTTTCCCTACAACATGGTCAGGCTGCAAATTTTCCAAACTTTTATGCTCTGCTTCTCTTTTAATTATAAATTCCAACTTTAAGTCTTTCCTTTTCTCCTACATCTGAGACAGGTTGTTAGAAGCAGCCAAGGAACATCTTGAATACTTTGCTGCTTAGAAATCCCTTTGGCCAGATACACTAATTTATCACCCTTAAGTTCAAACTTCCACAGATCTCTAGAGCATGGACCCAGTGCAGCCAAGTTCTTTGCTAAGATATAACAAGGGTGACCTTTGCCAGTAAATTCCTCATTTCCATCTGAGACCTCATCAGCCTGGCCTTCATTGTCCATATTTCTGTCAGCAATTTGGTCAAAACCACTTAACAAATCTCCAATAAGTTTGAAACATTCCTGCATCTTCCTGTCTTCTTCTGATATCTTCTGATATCTCTGCCCATTACCCAGATCCAAAGCTGCTTTCACATCTTCAGATATCTGTATAGCATCACCCAACTCCTGTACCAATTTTATATGTTAGTCAGTTTTGCATTGCTATAAAGGAATACCTGAGGCTAGGTAATTTATAAAGAAAAATGTTTATTTTGGCTCATGCTTCTGCAGGGCGTACAGGAGGCATGGCACTGGCATCTGCTTCTGGTAAGGGCTCAGGAAGCTTGCAGTCATGGCAGAAGGCAAAAGGGTAATCAGCATATCACATGGCGAGAGAGAACAAAGAGCTGCCAGGCTTTTTAAAGCAACCAGATCTCATGTGAACTTAGAGAGTGAGAATGTAAGGTTAGCCGAGAGAAAGGACCAGAGAGAGAGAGCCCCAAGTTCAGGCAAGCCTTTATTAACCTGTCGGCTGCCCCCTTAACAGTCAAGGAAAGCAGCCCCAAGCTTACAGAATAGGGGGTTTACATTGGGGCAGGGAGTTTGAGGGAGTCCTTTGGTATGGCTGCATCCCGGGGTTGTCTGCTGGTTAATTCTGCCACATATCACCTTGTGATGTTTACGGTACTGGAGGGTGTAGGTAAAGTTTGTTTATGCTTCCCACAACCTCCCCGTTTGGTCCGGATGGTTTGTAATTGGGGTTTGCTTTATCGCAGCAAGGCCTGATAGGTAAAGTCTTCTATCAGGCTGGCTTCACTGCGGTGCCTAGATAAGGGCTTGGAAATGTAAGAAGGTTTGGGGGAAGGGTGGGCAGCGCGGAGAGGTTTGCGGGGAGTGTTGGCAGTACCAAGAAGCTCTTTGGGGTGGTTTGTACCTAACAGAGAACTCACTCATTACCACAAGGACAGCACCAAACCATTTATGAGAGATCCACCTCTATGACCCAAACACCTCCCACTAAACCCACCTCCAACGCTGAAGGTCACATTTCAACATGAGATTTAGAGGGACAAAACAGCCAAACCACATCAATGACTAATCTGCTCTGTTTTCTCTTTTTGCTTTCTTCAGCCATTTTCTGCTTACAAAGACAACTTCTTCTGCTCAGATCATTGGAACACTCATTGTACTTGAGTAAGGTTGTAAGTCTGAGAGTCTGACCATGTGGGCCTATTCTGGCCCTGTTGCTTCTTCACTGCAGAAACTGCACCATGGCTCAACCCCTCCATGGCCTAGCTTGGCTCATTGGAGAAATGGGCTCATTCCTAATATCCACCCAAGAGATGGGTGTGCACAGTAAATGACACAGACTAGCAGAGCACTTAGCACAGCAGATTGACTACGAGTTGTCCAGGTCTTTGGCGTTTTGAACAAAGAATTGAACAAAATGCATAAAGTAGCAGAGGAATGAAATGCAGGAACAAAGCAGTGAAAGCAGGAATTTATTAAAGTGAGAAAGCCCTCTGCAAGGTGAGAGTGGGTCTGAGCAAGTGGCTCAAGGGCCCAGTTACAAAGTTTTCTGGGCTTTAAGTACCCTATTTGAGGTTCTTAATGACTACCCCTTATCTGGATGAAGGATTTGGTCTGTGGCTAATTAAAGGCTGAGGTGAACTGGCACCCTATGCAGATGAAGGGATGGTCCCTGCTTGGCCCATGGTCAACAAGGCACCCTCCCCTCCCTTTCCATCTGAGATGTGGTGGAAGAGGGATGGTTGTAGGGAGAGTAGCCTCTGATCCTTTGTTACTCAGCATGGAGAGATGGGGTTTTTGTCTTTTGGTTTAGCTTTAGGAAGTTTGTGTTAATCAGCCTTAGGTTTCCTGCCCCCAGACCCCGGTATTTTCCTTTTGATCCAGCTTTGGGAAGTCAGAGTGAATTGGCCTTAGATTTCCTGCCTCCAGACCCTGGTGTTTTCTCTTTTAGGAAGTTAGCACAGAGTGGCCTTAAGTTCCCTGTTTCTAGGCCCTATTTTCCTGTCTCAATAGGAGCTCACAATAATTGTTCTGTTATCACTGTTCTAATGTGGAGCCATGTCCAAGGATGCTAAACCCCACTGAGCTCCTGGTGACATAGAACTTGCCTCATCCAACATGTATTGAGGGCCACATTTGCACTGTGGTCTCCGCCATCCTCATGGGCCTCTTAGTCCAGAGGGGAGATGGCTCATCAACATGCCCAACCTCATAGGAGTTCAGGATCCACCCAACCAATGGTGGAGAGCTGTGCTGGGCCAGCCCCTGGGAATAAGCCTTGCCAGCTGACCTCATGGAGTGACCTGGACCCTGACAAGCTGAGTGACTTCTGGGTTGAAAAGGGCATTCCCATAGGGGAGGCAGCACAAGCACCCTTACCAGCAAGGAAGTTCACAGTGTGCTCAGAAAACAGCACCAGAGGGAACCAGAGGTTGATGTAGGGAGACCCCCTGAAACTATTGCTATGGAATAAAAGATGAAATGCTCCTGATTATTGTAAATACATAATTGCATGCAGGATTGTGTAAAGACAATGCCAGGTTGGACTGCCAGAATGAGCCAACAGCACGTGATGTGCTTTCCCCTGCAGAGAGCCTATGAATGGACGTGCAGTCAGGGAGGTTTCACATCACCAAGATTCCTATCCTAGAAAAGCAGATGTTCATAGCTCTGGGAATGGAATGTGACCCTTGTGGAGAGCCTATAAACGGATGCATGAGGAGCACCTGTCCATATGGATAAGATAGGGCTATAAACGCCCTCATCTTGCCACGGCTCTTCTAGGCCTCTTTAGGGTTAAGGCATACTCCCTTCTGAGAATTTCTGGTCTAACCGGTTGTCTAGCTTCACATCCTGTTTCTATGGATTGTTTGTAACCAGCTTTTGCTGCAACTGTTACTGCTGATTAATATCTTGCTAATCATAGGTCATGGAAAGACTGTGTTTCTGTTTTAAGGCTCTGTTAGAAACTACTGATGCACACACTATATCATAAATTCTTATCCCTGTATACTGTACTTCTGCATACAGATGTTATGTTAAAGAATTACTTCATCCCCATGTGACCATCTCACCTCATAATCAAATGACCCTAAATCCCTCACTAACCTTCCCCTGCCCTCTCACCAAACTTAATAATAAATGCCGGTATATCCAGTGCGTTGTTGGCACCGTGGGAGCAGAAGGCGGTGACCCCCCTGGACCCAGATTTTGCTATCTTGCGTGTGTCTATTATTTCTCGACCTGCCGATCTGCCTGGGAACAAAGAGAGAGCACCGTTGCATTGCAGACTGCTGGCCAGATCCCGCAATAGGTTGAGAGTTGTCTTACCCAGGACCCAGCATCAAGCAAATGCTGAGTGAAGGAGGGTTAAGGGCAGGTGGCATGGCGGATACCTGAGTGTGTGAGAAAGAGCAGCCCAGTGGCTAACGAGGCTGGGAAAGGAAGGCCTTGGAAGTGTGAGGAGGTGGTGCCTAAGCAACTGACAAGTTCCGAGCCACAGTTTAGAAAGACTCCTCTGGGGTGGGATGAACCAACTGCAGGGACACATCCTGGAGCCTGGGAGAGATCAGCAGGGAAGAAGATCCTGAGAGGCCACGGGGAGGATGAAGAGGGCCTGGCAGATCATGTGACAGGCAAGGCCTACACAGCAAGTCTTGGCCTGTGGCTGGCCTCATACCTTGGGGCCCCACCATCAAGAGCTCAGCACTATTCTTGATTGCTGCATAGCTACAAAGAAGCTGCAGCGAGTCAGCACTGAGACCGCTTTCCACAGGGCCACTGGTCCTCATACCATAGTCAGCTGTGCTCTGCTTGGGTCGCCTGACCATGATGATTTTATTCATAATGCAGCAACGCAGAGGGGCCATCTCAGGGGCTTTTGGAGCATGGAAGAGAAGACCAACCATTTTCCTCAAAGTGGCTTGCAGGTGGCAGGTGACTCATAAAGAATGTCTGAATGGTTGCTGAAAGTTGCAGAGCTCATCTTTGGGGACTGAGCAGGCTTAGCCAGAGGAGGCTGGATTTCCCACCATGACTCTTCTTGACTAGACTTAAGTCAGTGCCCTGAATATTCCCTCCAGGGGACAAGAGGAGCTTGATGTCTTAGACTCGAAATCCCAGTGTACATTCTGTGACTTAAAACAAAGGACAATGGTCGCTAATGGTCCTATAGAAGCCACATGACATAGTGTGACTAAATCAAATCAATACCAGCTCTTGGCTGAATGCCACCGTGTAGTTTCCCTAGTAATTTTCTTCATGATAATTCCCCTCCCACCCAATGGCCAAAAGCCTTTATATAAGTAATCAGCAGAGTTTATAAGTTCGCAAAAGCCACAACAAAATGTCATTCTCAGTCTTAAGAATTCCCCTATGAAAAAGCACTTTGGTATGTAAGTGAAAGATACCAGCTGTCTAACTGAATACTCAAGGATCCTCA
The DNA here is from genome assembly GCF_000001405.40 of Homo sapiens. Classification (NCBI taxonomy): domain Eukaryota; kingdom Metazoa; phylum Chordata; class Mammalia; order Primates; family Hominidae; genus Homo; species Homo sapiens. The sequence continues at coordinate 149,928,124 of NC_000023.11, forward strand.
TTTAGAGATCTCACCAATGGCCTCTATTTTAATATTTAGCCTCAGAGTGTGTGTGTCTACAGGTTACACTGAGTCCTTGAACAAAACCTTTGTAAACCTGTTTAAAAAGCTTGGTGACCATGAACCAAGCCTGCATCCAGGCATTGGGGGCACCATGAAGGATTAGAGAGCCCTGAGATTGAAAAGCACCTTGGAAGAGCCTCTTCCAACCCTCTTCGCACTCAGGGCCGACCCTGAGTGGGCAAAGGGTGCTACTCAGTGGGACAAGGACCCAGGGTCCTTTCAGTCTGGTGCCTTTCCACTGTATCACTCTGTCTCCCTATACAGAGTGAATATTAAGAACAAAGTTGTCTTTAATGGCTAGAGAAAATGTATCACCAGAAAGACTGTTGTATCCTCTCATCTGGGGTTGAACATGGCTTTCATTTGGGTTTTCTCCCTCCTCCTGCCCACCGCAACACACACTCATACGCTCATCTGTTTTCAAATACATAATGATGGAACTTTTGTGCTGGATTACTTTAGTCAGGTCTAACTAGACAAGCAGAAACTTTTCTTAGGCTAGTCTGTGTAAAGCAGGCCTCAGAAATGAACATGTCTTGGGCAATGAAAACAGTATTTATGGGCAAAAATGAAACTAAAGGTAATCTCCTGTTGTGATCTGCAAGAGGGTGAGATGCAAGGGCAAGCAGAGCTCCACAGGAGACTCCAAAGCACAGCTGAGGATGTGGCCATCCAACCACAAATGATGCTCTGGGTAACACAGTGGTAGACGAGTGAGGGGAGTGCTCCCACCATGCTCAGGCACAGCACCACTCTGGGGACAACTTGACCAAGGGGAATAAGAAACACTTTATCTGGGCCCACTGGAGCACATGCAACCAATCATTAGGAGTACCTGGAAGAGACCAAAGCAGGAAGGAGATGGGGGGATTGGAAAAGAGGGGTGCTACCACACAGATCAGGCCAAACAGCCTGGTAGGGACCACCATCTCCTAGAAGGCAGTCACCCATGAGGGGTCCATCTGAGTCAGGCAGTCTTGGTGAAACCCAAGCTAGGGATAACTAGGGGCTGGCTCTTGAGCAAATTAGAGGCCAGCAAATGGCCTCCCCTGTCTTCAGGGTTGGGAGTGGCCATAGAGCCATGGTTTCTCAGCTCATCTGGGGCCTGGCCCTTTGACACAATGTGACTGTCAGAAGATGGGAGACTTTTCTGGGAACTTGAACCATGCCTGTTTATACTTTTAGAAGAGGGAGAAGCTGAAGGCCATGCCACCTGTCTACTCCCCCAACACCTGGCCAGGGCCCCCTCTCCAGATTGGCTGAGAGCCACCTTTGTGACATCATGCGACAAATACAGCAGATGATGAGTTAAGCCACTGGTTGCCCTGATACCGAGACTCTAGAATTTTGTGGACAGTATTTATTGGGCACGCCTACTCTGACTGAAGGCATTTTGGACTTGCTAGGACAGTGATAAGGGCCTTGGGTACAAAATGCTCCTGATTCTGGTGTAGCTCCATGGCGAGTCAGAACACTGAACAGGAATATGAAGCCAAGCTGGCCCCATCTGTTGGTGGAGAGCCAACAAGCGGGGGCCCATCTGGTTCTTCACCTGATCCAAATCCAGATTCCAGCGAGGTTTTGGACAGGCACGAGGACCAAGCCATGAGCCAAGATCCAGGCTCCCAAGATAACTCACCACCAGAAGACCGAAACCAACGCGTGGTCAACGTGGAAGACAACCACAACCTTTTTAGGCTCTCCTTCCCAAGAAAGCTTTGGACGATTGTGGAGGAAGACACATTCAAGTCTGTGAGCTGGAACGATGATGGAGACGCCGTGATCATCGACAAGGATCTCTTCCAGAGGGAGGTTCTTCAACGGAAAGGTGCAGAGAGGATCTTCAAAACAGACAACTTGACGAGTTTCATTCGCCAGCTGAACCTCTATGGATTCTGCAAAACACGCCCAAGCAACTCTCCAGGAAACAAGAAAATGATGGTAAAGTAGAAAGCATTTCTGTAA